>NC_000009.12:130417277-130731095 GCF_000001405.40 Homo sapiens
TTGGGAGGCCGAGGAGAGTGGATCACCAGAGGTCGGGAGTTTGAGACCAGCATGATCAATATGGCAAAACCCCGTCTCTACCAAAAATACAAAAATTAGCCAGGCGTGGTGGCACACACCTGTAATCCCAGCTACTCAGGAGGCTGAGGCAGGAGAATCACTTGAAGCCGGGAGGCAGAGGTTGCAGTGAGCTGAGATCGTACCACTGCACTCCAGCCTAGGTAACAGAGTGAGACTCCGTCTCAAAAAAAAAAAAAAAACAAAAAAAAACGAGAGAGACAGAGAGCTGGGGTGGTGTGGCAGGGGAGAGAGAGAGAGAAGAGAAGGTAAAGTGGAGACAGAGGCAGAGGATGGATTGTTGCAGCCTCAGGCTAAGGAATGCTGGTGGGGCAGAAGCTGGAAGAGGTGAGGAATGGGCTCTCCCCCAGAACCTCTGGAGGAAGCAGGGCACCTTAACTTTGGCCCAGTGAGGCTAATGTGGGCCTCCTGGCCTCCACAGTTTCTCCTGTGTTTCTGCAGCTTGCTGCAGCATCTGCAGGAAGCGAACACACAGGCACACAGCGCCCCACCTTGGCTGAAGCACGTTGCATTTCCACCTCAGTGTGTGCGAGTTCTGCTTGTTCCGCAGCCTCACCAGCACTGGGCCTTTCCCATCCTTTCCATACTAGCCTTCCAGGAGGGTCTATAATAGTAAGTGGACAGGAAGCATCATCCCCATATTTCAGATGGGAACACTGAGGGTCAGGGAGTGACTTGGTGAGAGCCACCCACAGTAGGTGACAGAGCACGAGTTTGCCCATTTCATTGGCATCAACTAGAGGCAGTTCTGACAGATGGCCCCCCACTTCATTGGAAGCAGTCTAACTGTCCTATAGGAGAGGCTTCATTTAGCCAATCCCAATACAGTCAGGCAATAGAAGACTACCTAGCCACTAACAACAGATATGTAACTGCATGGAAAGGTAGTTACGATCTATTGCAGAGGAAAAATAAAAGCAGATGGCCGGGCGTGGTGGCTCATGCCTGTAACCCCAGCACTTTGGGAGACTGAGGCGGGTGGATCACTTGAGGTCAGGAGTTCAAGACCAACCTGGCCAATATGACGAAACCCCATCTCTACTAAAAATACAAAAATCAGCCAGGTGTGGTAGCAGGCGCTCTTGGGAGGCTGAGATGGGAGGATCGCTTGAACCCAGGAGGCAGAGATTGCAGTGAGCTGAGATCGCACCACTGCACTCCATCCTGGGGGACAGAGTGAGACTCCATCTCAAAAAATAAAATAAAAGCAGATACGGCCATATGATCATATTTTCATAAAGAAACAGTGTCTAGAGGGAAATATTCAGGAACGATGACTGGGTGGAAGGATCCTATGCAGTTCTTATTTTCTTCTTTCTGCTTCTCTGGATTTCCCAGTGTGTCTAAATGAACATATCCCACTTGAATATGCAAAAATAATTAAATGTTCCTAAAAGCCACCTGGGCCTCCCACAGGTGCTCCGGTGTTCCAGGTGGAGCCCCAGGACATGACAGTGAGATCTGGGGATGACGTGGCCCTGCGGTGCCAGGCCACTGGAGAGCCCACACCCACCATTGAATGGCTACAGGCGGGTCAACCCTTGCGGGCCAGCCGGCGGCTCCGGACCCTGCCCGATGGGAGCCTGTGGCTGGAGAACGTGGAGACTGGGGATGCAGGCACCTACGACTGCGTCGCTCACAACCTCCTGGGCTCTGCCACAGCCCGGGCGTTCCTGGTCGTGAGAGGTATGGGGCATCCCTGTCTGGACCTTCGTGGACAGAGGCAGGATCTCTTGCCGATGGGGATTGTGTGGTGCTTATGGGAGACCTGTCCCCTGCCTTGCCAGCTCCCCACCTCTTCCCTTTGCTTCATCACAAGCCCAGAATGAACCCCTACCCTGCCCGTTTACAGTTGGGTAAACTGAATCTTGGAGGTGCTGTTTGCTGCTCATCTTGGACAGGGAACACAGGTTGTTCCTGCTTAACTGGCACAAATGCATGTCCTCTGTCTGGACACTGCACAGCCCCTGGAAGCAGGCAGAGGAAGACAAGGGCATCCCCGGTGCCCTCGGGGGCTGCTGTGAAAAGTCTGTGCATCAGTGCATGTCCCAGGCATCACACATTGCCTGGCCGTGGCAGGTGGTTGGAAAAGAAATGGCTTCCTGGTGGGATGGACCCCTGCCATCTCGATTCCTCAATCAGCTCCCTTCTACCTTGGGTCAGACCAACTTTAAAATTAAGAAAAGATCTATCCTGAGAAACCACAGTAAATGGATTCAGACCTGCATAAAGGCAAGTCATAAGATATTATTTCTGTGGCCTGTGCCTCTGAAGGGAACACTCCATATATGTGGGGATGTGTCCCCTTCCCTGTACCTGGCAGACATCACTAATCTATCACCACATGGGAACACTCCCTATGTGTGGCGATGCATCTCCCTCGCTGTCCCTGGCAGACATCACTAATCTATCACCACATGCGTTGGCAGAATCTTTCTCCAATGAGCCCTCCCAGGCAGCGCCTCTCAGCTAATTGGAATTGGGACTTGACACTTGGCCACCTGGAAATCCACGTGAAACCCACTGCCAACCAAATGTGGGACCCTTTCTGGCCGTTGCTCTCATTATCTCCCACAGGCCGGGGCAGGGTACCAACCTATGCAGCTCTGAAAGTTCAGCGGTTCTCTGACCCCCCAGCCAGAGATGCAGTCTCAGAGTTAGCCTTGGGTCTAAGCAGACCCCCATGTATTTCAGGGCTTCGTCCCACTTCTTTTTTTTTTTTTTTTTTTTTTTTGAGACGGAGTCTCTCACTCTTGTTGCCCAGGCTGGAGTGCAGTGGTGCAATCTCGGTTCACTGCAAGCTCTGCTCCCCGGGTTCACACCATTCTCCTGCCTCAGCCTCCCAAGTAGCTGGGACTACAGGCACCCGCCACCATGCCCGGCTAGTTTTTTGTATTTTTAGTACAGATGGGGTTTCACCGCGTTAGCCAGGATGGTGTCTATCTCCTGACCTCGTGATCCGCCCATCTCGGCCTCCCAAAGTGCTGGGATTACAGGCGTGAGCCACCGCGCCCGGCCCGTCCCACTTCTTACCCTCTCCTGTTGGCAGGCCCCAGTCCCAACCACAGAGCTATGTACATGGCCTTTGTATTTGTTCTGTAGGGCTACTGGTAAAAAAACAAAACAAAACAAAACAAAACAAAACACCACAAGCTGGAGGCTTAAGCCACACTGATTGTCTCATAGTTCTGGAGGCTGCAAATCCAGGATCACACTGTCAGCAGCCCTGGTTTCTTCTGAACACTGTGGGGAGGATCTGGTCTGGGTCTCTCTCCCAGGGTCTTGGTGGTGGTCCTCGGCATTCTGTGGCTTGTCGAAACATCACCCCCACCTCTGCCTTCATCTTCCCTGTGTGTGTCTACACTTCCCTATTTATAAGGACACAGTCATGTTGGATTAGGCCTGCCCTAATGACCTCATTCTAACTTGACTTACTCTATAAAGACCCTATCTTCAAATAGGGTCACATTCTGAGGTCCTGGGGGTTAAGACTTCAACGTATGAATTTTGGGTGGTGTGGTAGCATTCAATCCATAACCCAGCCTCCTTATTTTTTTTTAATAGAAACAAATATTCTTCCTTTATATATGTTAACTGTAGAAAGGCCAGATACTATAGAAATCTGTGAAGAAGAAGGTAATTCTCTCCCATAATTCAGTGACCCAAAGTAGCTTAAGCAATTATTTGGGGAGATACATTCTTCCACACTGTTTTCTCTGGATAGAGGAGATACACTTTTCTTTTTACAAATGTCAAATTTACACCCTCTATAACCTGCCATTTTTACTTCCTCTATCTTGGAAGACATCCAATTATGATACACATCGGTCCACAGCTTTTTGATTGGCTTCGTATCATTCCATGGGAACGTTTTTTATCTTCGTTCGTGTTGGCTTTGTCAAATGAGCAACGTAGTTTATTTTCCTAGTTTCCATTCCCCAAAGCCACACCGTGCTGCGTATCTTTGTGTGTGGCCCTGAAGATTTCTGTGGGACGATTTCCTTAAGGGGCATGGGTGGGTGAAGGGAGTTCAGGGTTTGGGAGCTTCTAAACCTGTTTTCCCTCCTGAAAACCTGCTTTTCCTCCTTCCCCATCAGCCTGGCAGGTCCCAATCCTGGCCTTGTAGGGGGACAAGAGGCTGCTACGTCACTCCATGTCTGAGAGAGCTGGCGGTGGCTTGCCTGCCGTGCCTGGGTTCCATTTCCTGTCCCCTTCCAAAGCTGCGCGGGTCACACTCCAGCCTTCTCATCTGCAGCTCCCGATCTCTTCTTCACTCCCCTATTAAAAGGCCAGGGATAGGTTCACGGCCCTTCTCCTGTCCCTCCCATGGGCCCCAGAGCATCGGATACTGATGAGAAACATCCCAGATGGGCTTCAAATCTCATCAAACCCCAGCTATGGGCTGCAGGAAATGGCCCTGCTTCCTAGAACCCCAAATTAACCAGCCCCTTGATTCATCCATTTAGGATCCTAGCACTTGAGTGTTTTATGTTATTTTTTGACAGATCATGGGCAATTTGTTGCTAATTTCCCCTGAGAGCTGCTGAGTGGAGAGGCAGGCTAACTTCTGTCTCTCGCCCCCTGGAATGCCATCTGCCTAAACAAGACAGCTGGCGCATTAGTCAGAGGAAGCACCCCCCTGTGCCTGCATCATCCGTTTGATTAGCGCTAAAGAGCATCTGCTCACAGATGGCCTGGCGGGCAGCGGCTAGGAAACCAGCCCACCCGGCCAGGCCAGCTGCAGGGCAGCCAGGGCCAGCAGCACTGATGGAATGGGGCTGTTCAGGTGATGGCACCCGGCTCTGGCTCGGTGCCCTGGCTCCTTCAGTGTGCCAGCCACGCCATCGTGGGCTCCCGGCATTTCAGAGACCCACAGGTCTTCTGTGAGTTTGTGGTCCCGCCTCCTCATTTTACAGGTGAGCCAACTCAGGTGTGGCTTGGGGGCCTGAGGTGGCCAGGTTTTAAGGAATGGCAGAGCCAGAATTAGAAGCCAGCTCCGCCCTGAGCCCAGGGTTCCTCCTAACAGCCTCCCTTCCCTTTTAGAGCCAAGATCCCCTGGGCGTTGAGTCCATGACCCCTTAGCTGTGTGTCCTTGGACAAGTGGAGGTGAACTCTCCGAGCCTCCATTTACTCCTTCACGAAATGGGAATGACAGCCTGCTTGTGCTGTGGGCCCCGGGGTGGATAGTCAGTGGCACTGTCATTCTTTCCCTTCCTTACAGGGGAGCCCCAGGGGAGCTGGGGCAGCATGACTGGGGTGATAAATGGCCGGAAATTTGGCGTGGCCACACTCAACACCAGCGTGATGCAGGAGGCACACTCCGGGGTCAGCAGCATCCACAGCAGCATCCGCCATGTCCCAGCAAACGTGGGTGAGTGGAAGGCAGAGCATCACCTGCCTCTGGGTTATTGTCACAGCCCAGCGAGCATCCTCCAGAACATGCTGGACCTAGGAGGCGCAGAGCCTGTGCCCCGAGACTTGCTCAAGGCCTGATGACCAGAGCACGTCTGACCATCTCTCAAAGCTGAGTGCAATCCAAAGTGGACTCAGATGCAGGCAACTTCCTGTCCCCCTCACAACCTCCCAAAAACAAAGGAACTGCATTTACAGTCAGACCAAGAGTGTGTGAAACGGTCAGTGTTCTGGGGGTGCGGGCGCTCAGATTGTGGTTTCCCAAGCCACCGATGGCTCCCTGAGGCTTTTCCCCATTTAAGTTAAAGCTCAGGCTGATGGAAGTGGAGGGATCTCCAGTCATGAGTGAGGGGTGCAGGCTGGAGGTGACGGGAAGCGGGAAACATGGAGAATTGAATTGCCTAGAAAACCTAGAGGACTAAGAAGAGTCACCTGCACACAGAGCTCTCATGTACGGTGTCTGAGCGATGAATGCTCTGAGAGACTTGCAGAGCTTGTGACAGTGGACGTCACTGTCTCTCCCTTCCCAAGGAATCCCTGGCCCCTCGTGGGGGTCCAGGAGGGGCAGTATTCATGGAGTCTTCACTGAAAGTAGCTCCTCTGAAGCTGCCCTTGGCCATGGTCCCGCATGAGCAGTGTGGGGTCAGGGGATTTTGCTGGGGAAGTCACTCTGAGCTGGCTGTCAGCAGACAGCAGATGAAGCGAGACGCTGCCCAGACATGGCTGCTTATTCTAGCTGCAGGAGTGTGAGGCCTGGAGAAGCATCTGGCCCCAAGCCCGTGGACCAGGCTTTGTTCCATGAAACAGACGCACAGAGAGGCTGGGAAGGTGGTGCCCATGCACAGGGGCCTGGCCAGCTCCTGTGAACCTTGCAAAGCTGGCACCGTCCCTGACTCAGAGCAAGTGGGGAGCGGGTGTGTTCCCCTTGCCCAGTCCATGGCCCCACCTGGTCCTGCGTGGAGGGCGGGGCATCACATGAAGAAGATCTGAGAATCCACGTCCAGGGCCATTTTTTGGTTCTTTTTTCAAACGGTTTGGAACAAACCGGGGCTGGTCCAGAAGGGATCTGCAAGTTAGAAAAGTTGGTTCACTTCAACTCAGCAAATATATAATGACAGTCTGTGGAGTCCCTGGCTCCGTGGTGACCCGGGGCCCTCAATCGGTATTTGTTGAACTGAGTTAAATATCAACAAGGTACATGCATTTATTTCTTCTTTTTTTTTTCTTTTTGAGACTGCTTCTCGCTTTGTTGCCCAGGCTGGAGTGCAAGTGGTGCAGTCACAGCTCACTGCAGCCTCAACCTCCCAGGCTCAAGCGATCCTCCTACCTTAGCCTCCCCAGTAGCTAGGACTATAGGTGAATGCCACCACACCTGGCTAATGTCCATATATATATATATATATTTTTTTTTTTTTTAATTTTTTTTTTTGAGACGGAGTCTCGCTCTGTCACCCAGGCTAGAGTGCAGTGGCATGATCTTGGCTCACTGCAAGCTCTGCCTTCCGGGTTCACACCATTATCCTGCCTCAGCCTCCCAAGTAGCTGGGACTACAGACGCCTGCCACGGCGCCCGGCTAATTTTTTTTTTTTTTGTATTTTTAGTAGAGACAGGGTTTCACCGTGTTAGCCAGGATGGTCTCGATCTCCTGACCTCGTGATCTGACTGCCTCGGCCTCCCAAAGTGCTGGGATTACAGGCATGAGCCACCGCGCCCGGCCTGTCCTTAATATTTTTATTTTTTGTAGAGACAGAGTCTCACTATGTCGCCTAGCATTTCCTTGTATAAATTTATTAATTTCAGTTACTCCAGGAAGTAGATTATTTGCCTCCACCAGATCCCTGATTCTGGTTAAATAATTGGCATGGCAGTCACAAGGCTGAGTATGGACATCAAGGGAAGGGGCTGAGCTCTCCTGGGGGCAGTGGGGAGCCATGACGGGACCTTGAACAGGAGGTGGCTGCCCTGAGGATCAGCTCTAACCCGGCCTCTATGCCCTGCCCCACCCAGGGCCTCTGATGCGGGTGCTCGTGGTCACCATCGCCCCCATCTACTGGGCCCTGGCCAGAGAGAGTGGGGAAGCCCTGAATGGCCACTCTCTGACTGGGGGCAGGTTCCGGCAGGAGTCACACGTGGAGTTTGCTACAGGTAAACAGGGCCTCCCCCAGGTGGGCCAGGTAGGACTAAAGCCTGCGCCCAGGACCTCCCGTGGTGACTCTGGGCTGGGTGGGGATGGTTTGCAGGGGAGCTGCTCACGATGACCCAGGTGGCCCGGGGTCTGGATCCCGATGGCCTCCTGCTCCTCGACGTGGTGGTCAATGGCGTTGTCCCCGAGAGCCTGGCTGACGCAGATCTTCAAGTGCAGGTCGGGGGTCAAGCCCTGGGGTGTGCAGACAGGGTAGGTGAGAGAGACGAAGGTGCCCGGCTCTCAACCACCCCTGAGCAGCCAGGCCCACTCTCCCTTCTGACAGCGCTGCAGGGCTGGGTCACAGTCTAGCCTTGGACTTAGGGTAGGATGAGCAGTTGTAACAGGCTCAAGTTCAAGCGCTTGAAGGGATGCTCTGAGCCCTGCGACTTCAGATCAGAGTATTCTTGTTCAAAAGCACGAGTCCTGAAGAGAGGTGAGCTGCCTAGAGCAGCCCAGCTGGTTAGAAGAGGCTCTGGGAGGCTCACCCCATCTCCTCCCAAGGCTCACCCCATCTCCTCCCAAGGCTCACCCCATCTCTTCCCAAGGCTCACCCCATCTCTTCCCAAGGCTCACCCCATCTTCTCCCAAGCCTCCTCAAGCCCCTGAGTTGGGGTAAGGGTCTCAGGCTGCTTGGGAGTTGAAATCTCAGCATTTTCCTCCTCCCCTTCCAACCCTGACCCCTTTCTCCCTCTCCCCCACCCCTCCTCCTCCTCCCCTCCTCTTCATCCTGCAGGACTTTGAGGAGCACTACGTGCAAACAGGGCCTGGCCAGCTGTTCGTGGGCTCCACACAGCGCTTCTTCCAGGGCGGCCTCCCCTCGTTCCTACGCTGCAACCACAGCATCCAGTACAACGCGGCCCGGGGCCCCCAGCCCCAGCTGGTGCAGCACCTGCGGGCCTCAGCTATCAGCTCGGCCTTTGATCCAGAGGCCGAGGCCCTGCGCTTCCAGCTCGCTACAGCCCTGCAGGCGGGTGAGGCCCCTCTGCTTTGTTCCACCCCCACTGCCCCAGCTAAAACCTGCCAGGGGGCCCAAATGCACGTGGCTGGAATCCACCCCTGCCCCTAACATCCACTGACCATGGGCCAGAGACTTCAGACTGAGACGGCCCGGCTGGCCTACTCACCTGGCCTGTCCCCACTCCCATCCATCCACCCCCCACTCCTCACAGGGACACAGCTCTCTAAGCCACCCTTGTTCCAACCTCTGGATCCTTTCCCCAGGCCCCAGGGTGAAGGTCCAACCACCCCAGGCTGATGTTCAGGAACTGAGTCACCCCGCCCTCTTCTCCCGAGGGCACCTGCACTGAGGCCACACCCAAGGAGCCAGGAACCACTGTTGGAACCCTAGAGACCCCCAGGAACATGCTTTCTGTTCACCCAGTGAATGCTAAAGATACATACGTTCACATTATTTGAGGTCCCAAAGTGTTTTGAACATTGAATGAGAGACAGTGCTAAGAGCACCGCTTTGAGGTCAGGCAGACCCCAGTTCAAATCCGAGGTACACCACTTTCTGGCTGTGGGACCTTGGGGGCAATGTCCTGGTCCTCTCGGAGCTTCAGTGTTCCCATCTGCACCGCGGGCATGACATCGCCTGCCTTGCAGGGTGTCGCCGTACAGATGTTGTCTCTAAAACCCTAGCCTGGCACCTAGTGGCTGCCTCATCAAGGCTGGCTGTCCCTACAATTTATGTGGACCAAGCTTGTCCAACCCATGGCCCACAGGCCGCATGCCACCCAGAACAGCTTTGAATGCGGCCCAACACAAATTTATAAACTTTCTTAAAACATTATGATATTTTTTGTGATTTTTTTTTTTTTTTTAGCTCATCAGCTATCCTTAGTGTTGGTGTATTTTATGTGTGACCCAAGGCAATTCTTCTTCTTCCAGCGTGGCCCACAGAAGCCGAAAGATAGGACACCCCTGATTTAGACTGCCTTGTGTCCTTCCTGCCTCCAGAACCCAGCTCACCCCTCCCCTGCCTTTGCTTTTGCTGCCCGTCTGACGCTATCCTCTGCCCCTCCGCACGGTCTCTGTGCATTGCTGCTATGGTCTCAGGAGAGCCGTTTTGCACGTGTTGACCTCCTGCGTTTTATTTTAATGGTTTTCCTGGGGCTGCCTGACTCACTGGCCAGCCCCACTGGGAGCCCTTCAGGACACATTTCCTTGACTGGGCGTGCCCTGCAGTCATCGCCTCCAACAGGCCTGGGCAGGAAATGGGCTTGCTGACTCTCTGGCACCGTCTTGGCTCTGCCTGGCTAAGCTGGCAGTGGGGGAGCTGTGAGCCTGGGCTATGGCCAGGGCAGCCTTGGGAGAGGACACCCTCATGTCCTTAGAGTCTATCCTCTTTGCTTTGCAGAGGAGAACGAGGTCGGCTGCCCCGAGGGCTTTGAGCTGGACTCCCAGGGAGCGTTTTGTGTGGGTGAGCGCCCCCAACCCTGGCATGGATGTGGGAGGCCTCTCAGCCTGGGATGGATGGCTTCTCCCAGCCAGCTGGCAGGAGGGCCTGGGAGCGGAGACCACCAGACCCCTTCCTGCCCCAGACAGGGACGAGTGCTCAGGAGGCCCTAGCCCCTGCTCCCATGCCTGCCTTAATGCACCCGGCCGCTTCTCCTGCACCTGCCCCACTGGCTTCGCCCTGGCCTGGGATGACAGGAACTGCAGAGGTGAGGGAGCTGCCGGGAGGAGGGAGGAGACGCGCTCCTCAGACCTGACCCAGGTGTGCAGAAGGGTCCCCAGGGCCAGGACCCTGGCTGGGGACACAGACCTGCAGGGATGGCCAATTCTTGAGGGTTTTGATGTCAGCCTGGGGGTCCCAA
The DNA here is from genome assembly GCF_000001405.40 of Homo sapiens. NCBI lineage: Eukaryota > Metazoa > Chordata > Mammalia > Primates > Hominidae > Homo > Homo sapiens. The sequence goes on from NC_000009.12 coordinate 130,427,773, forward strand.
TGCTATGTCCCCACCAGGCTCCTTCTTGCTATGGGAGCTGCAGATGAATGAGGCCCAGGTATCAGGGGGTGATGGGCAGCCCCAGAGACATATGGGCGGCTACACATGCTCACCGCATTCTGAACCTGAACAGGCCTCGGAAGCTCTCCCAACACTCAGCATCATTTCCAATTGACTGAGACTGGCAAGTGAGTTGTCCCCCTCAGCAATGTTGCTGGATGACAAATCTGACCTCAGGTGATGGTGCTGACGCTGACCCCCAGTCTGCATCCCTGCACTCCCACCGGGAGGGCCTGGTGCTGCCAAGTCTCCGCTGGGCTCCAAGCCGGGTGCCCAAGGGGACGTTGTCTGCAGCCTTGCATTGGAAGCTGCAGGCCCAAGGACTCGGGTCCCTTGGAGTGGGCCCTATGTTTTGGGATAGGGAGCAAGACAATGGAAAGAGCTAGCAGAAGGGGTGGGGACCTTCCTGCCAGTGGCTCCTGGGCCTGCGGACGAAGCCTCTGTGGATAGGCCGGGCCAGGGTCAGGTGGCGAGGCACGCCTGGGGATCATGTTCACACAGCCGTCTGCCCTGATCTGCCCCCAGATGTGGACGAGTGTGCGTGGGATGCTCACCTCTGCCGAGAGGGACAGCGCTGTGTGAACCTGCTCGGGTCCTACCGCTGCCTCCCCGACTGTGGGCCTGGCTTCCGGGTGGCTGATGGGGCCGGCTGTGAAGGTGATGGGGGCACAGCATGCGGCCTGTCCATACTCCTGGAAACCCAGAGGTTGCCAGGGATCAGCTGACAGGGGGCTGTGTGTCACTGGGCTCTGGGCTTCCAGGAAGACTGGGACTCTTGGCAGAAGGAGTACAGCAAGGCTGGGGACAAAGCCTGCGCCAGGCTCTGGAGGTCTGAGCCCTCCCCTGGCTCCTGGCAGCTGGCACCTTCTTTGACAGGGGTGTTTTCTTTCTGCACCTCAGCATCTTGTCTGCTTGATAAAGAGGGAGCCAGGTCAGGGATGGCAAACACATGCTCCCTCTGCTGCCATCCGTTCTGTTCCCCCATATGAATCAAGGCCCAGCTAGAGACCACCTCTGAATCCTTCTTGACGCAGCAGCCCCTGCAGCCACAGTGGAACAGGTTCAGTCAGCCTTTGAGATAAAACTTAGGTGCCACCCCTGGATGGGTGACCTCAATGGTCCTTCCTGCTCTAACAGTCTATGGCTGTAGGACCGTGGGTCCACCCGGCTCCTCTGAGAGACTGCACGGTGGAGAGGGAAGCATGGTGGAGCCTGACCCAAGGGGATCAGCCATCGCACCTCTGTGGCCCCCAGGGCCCTTGGAGTGCCCGACAACTCACCGGGCTCTCCTGCCTGCCGCCCTTCCTGCCGCCTTTCCTCCTTTCTCACCACTTTCTTAGCTCTTCCCACATACCAGGCTCCCCTCCTCACCACGACCCCATGAAGAGGTCACATCTTTACCCTCTTTATGGATGAGGAAACTGAGGCTCAGAGAGGGAGAGTTCCTTGCCCAAGGGCTAGAATATGGAGAGCTCAGCGGAACCCAGGACTCTGCCCACAAAGGGCCTTTCAGCCCCTTCCTTTCTCTGGGACCTGGAACCCTGTTGACCTCCAACCTGGTATAACTGGGGGAGGTGCTGTGAGGGCGGCCATGCAGCCTGGTGGCACTGAAACTGGAGAAGGGGACAGGGAGGAGGCCCAGATATGGAGGGGGATGGTCCGTCCCTTGGGGGAGGGGCCCTGGGCTAGACCTCCCCACCACCGACCATGCCCCTGCCTCCCAGATGTGGACGAATGCCTGGAGGGGTTGGACGACTGTCACTACAACCAGCTCTGCGAGAACACCCCAGGCGGTCACCGCTGCAGCTGCCCCAGGGGTTACCGGATGCAGGGCCCCAGCCTGCCCTGCCTAGGTACGGGGACACCCACCCTCTGGCCACACCGCTGCAGCTGCCCCAGGGGTTACCGGATGCAGGGCCCCAGCCTGCCCTGCCTAGTTACGGGGACACCCACCCTCTGGCCAGCACCTCAGCTCAGGGGCTGAGGGTGTCTAAGGCGCCAGTGCTGTTGAGTTCTGAGAATAACCAAACAGCAGCCGACACTTTGCACTCACTGGGTGCCTGCCTGTGCACCAAAACCTCAGCCTGACCCTGTGGGGTCATCTTCCGGGGAATTTCAGGAGGGGGAGGACTGTGGAGGCAAGTGGGTGTATCTCAGAGAGGCTTAGGAGAGGGAATGGATCTAACTGGGGCACTGAAGGGCTGAGGGGGAGCTGGAGTCTGGGACGAGGCTGAGAGCTGGGGAGGCTGGGCCTCTGGGAGCTGTAGGTGGAATCGGAGAGGAGGCTGGAGTTGGTCCGGGAGAGGGGGATGCAGCGTGGCTCACATGCAGCATGGGAGTGGCTGGATTCTAGGGAATGCCAACAAGAGAGAAGGCAGGGCCAGGCAATGGCTGCAGGCTGCAGGGGAACCTGGGCCACCTGTGCACACACCTGACCCCACCCGTCTGCAGATGTCAATGAGTGCCTGCAGCTGCCCAAGGCCTGCGCCTACCAGTGCCACAACCTCCAGGGCAGCTACCGCTGCCTGTGCCCCCCAGGCCAGACCCTCCTTCGCGACGGCAAGGCCTGCACCTCACTGGAGCGGAATGGACAAAATGTGACCACCGTCAGCCACCGAGGCCCTCTATTGCCCTGGCTGCGGCCCTGGGCCTCGATCCCCGGTACCTCCTACCACGCCTGGGTCTCTCTCCGTCCGGGTCCCATGGCCCTGAGCAGTGTGGGCCGGGCCTGGTGCCCTCCTGGTTTCATCAGGCAGAACGGAGTCTGCACAGGTAAGGCCAGGCCCTGACCATCCACGGGACACTGCCGTTATGGGCTCTTGGGCCCCTAGGGTGGGTGTGCAGGTGTCACCCACCGAGTTCAGAAACCCAGACCTTCCAGGCAAGTGGGGTGAGTGGTGTGGTGGATGGTGGCTTCTCCAATGCAGGGTGTCTCAGAGCCTTGGCTGTGCTATTGGGCAGGGGGCTTCCAAGATGGTGTGGACTATTTTTTAAACCATTTGACTTCAGGACACTTTGCCCAGAGGGAGGGCATCCTAGGCAAGTGGTCCTGGGAACCCCCTTTGAGAAACACTCCTCTTAGCACTCAGAGGGAAAGCAGTCAGGGAGGGAGATTTTCAGGGGTGAAGGAGAATGTTCCAGGTAGACATGAGAATGTGACAAGGGACTGCTGGGTAGAGGGGGGTGGGGGTGGGGGATGGCCCCTGGACCCTGCAGAGAGGGACAAAGAGGAGGTGGCCTGCCCCAGGGCTGATGCCTCGGCATTCCCGCCTGGACGGAGGGGTCTGCGGGGTGGTGCTGCTTGCTCCTTCTATGCCTTGGTGAGCACGGGGTAGGTAAGGTGGGGCTCCTCCCTCTCAGCAAGCACAGGGACTCCCCCAACCCCTGAACCTGGGCTGGGAGGGGCAGGACAGGGAGAAGGAGCAGGGCAGCTCCAGAGCCCAGCGGGCAGGTGTGTGGCCACGTTGGTGTCTGTGGCTCAGTGCGTCTCTCTGCCCCCATCCCCCACCTGCCCCACCCCCATGCCCGGGCCAGACCTTGACGAGTGCCGCGTGAGGAACCTGTGTCAGCACGCCTGCCGCAACACTGAGGGCAGCTACCAGTGCCTGTGCCCCGCCGGCTACCGTCTGCTCCCCAGCGGGAAGAACTGCCAGGGTGAGCCGGGCTCAGGCCGCCGCCCAAACACCCGTGGGGCTAGGGCAGGCAGCGTGGGATGGGACATGTGGCATCTTACCTACTCCGTTCACTCCAGCCCCTTCACAACTATCCTGTGAGGTGGGGCGGGGAGGCAGGCTCAGAGGGGTTCTGTGAACACCCCAGGCTCCCACAGCCACGCCAGGGCCCATGCTCCAAACAGGAGCTCTGAGATCACGCGGGCAGGCTCTGAAAGCAGCCCTGCAAGGCCAATCCTAGCACTGCTGTGTGTCCCTGGGAAACTCACTTCACCTCTCTAAGCCTCCGGCCTCCTGGTTAAATGGGGCTAGCACAGTCCCCTCTCAGATAGCTGGGATGAGAGCTGTGGAGGTTGAGCACAGAGCCGCACAGCTGCTGCTGCTGGTATAGTAAGTGCCTCTAACTCCCAAACCGGGCACAGTTTCCCTGGTGTGCACAAACGGGGCTGGGGCCGGTCATGCTGCTTCCTCCACTCTAAAGAACAGGAACCATGCCTGCCCTGCCTGTCTCTGTCCCTCATGCTGCCATGGAGGTCACTGAACATCCTCTGAGAAGGGTGGGGCTTCCACTGAGGAAGACAGGATCAGGGGCTCTGCCCGTGGGCAGTGGGCACTCTGGGTCTTCGGGCAAAGCAGCCACCCAGGGAAAGCCCCATCTCTCCCAGGCCCTCCTACCCAGCACTTGCTCAGGAGGCCCCCACGGTGCCCACCTACACGCCCTGGAAAGCCCTGGCCCCCCGAGGGAGATGAGAAGGTGCTGCGGGCCTCCAGCTGGGTGGTCATGGGTCAGACTGGCTGGGGACAAAGGGAGAAGGGCTGCCCACCTCACTGGTCCCCCAAAGGTACTTCTCCCCACGCACTCCCCCCTTCTCCTTTGCTCCATCTTTTCATCTCCCTCCCCCGCTTCACCAACTTCCCCATCCAGACATCAACGAGTGCGAGGAGGAGAGCATCGAGTGTGGACCCGGCCAGATGTGCTTCAACACCCGTGGCAGCTACCAGTGTGTGGACACACCCTGTCCTGCCACCTACCGGCAGGGCCCCAGCCCTGGGTAAGGGCTGAGTTGGCAGGGCCTCGTGCCCTCAGGAAAAGCACATTTTTCAGTCACTGGGGGTGCAGGCTGGCCCTGTCATTGTCACTCCCCACACAAGTGATGCAGGCAGGAACGCACGGAGCCCTGGGGGCAGGGAGAGGCCAGAGTGGGAGAGAACGGGGACACAGGAGCACACACACCAAACCCCAGACACAGGACCACCATGCAGACTCACACAACCCCAGGACAAAACTCAGACACGCCAGCACCAAACCCATCTCCTCCACGCCACTCACAGCGGCCACGGACACTCATCAAGACACACGGAGACATGGGGACCTTAGGGGTGGCAGCTGCTGCCCTGGAAAGGTTTCTCCCGGCGGGTGACCTGCCCCAGGCCTTACAACTAGAAACGTAGGCTGGGGTTGGAAGCAGATGCCCGCGGCAAGGCTAAGCGCAGTCTCCACCTCCAACCCCGCCCCCGCAGGGCAAATCCAGACTGGGTGACTTGGCCCAGGGGCACATCGCTCCCCTGTGTCTGCTGGGCTTCCCTGGGGCATGGATCCCGAAAGTCCGCTGGAGGGACCATGAAAGGGCAGGCCTCTGGCTTCTCTGGGCTTCAGTTTGTTGAACTCTAAAACGGGCTAGCGTGGGAGCCTGCAGAGAAGGCGTGTGGGGCTCTGCGGGAGAAGGACGGGCAGCGCGTGGGCGGAACTGCAGGGGCTGGCAGGGAGGTCTGAGTTACGCGGATGGGCCACGCTCCGACCGCACCCCCGAGTCCGCCTGTCCGTGTGTCTGTGCCGCCCGCAGGACGTGCTTCCGGCGCTGCTCGCAGGACTGCGGCACGGGCGGCCCCTCTACGCTGCAGTACCGGCTGCTGCCGCTGCCCCTGGGCGTGCGCGCCCACCACGACGTGGCCCGCCTCACCGCCTTCTCCGAGGTCGGCGTCCCCGCCAACCGCACCGAGCTCAGCATGCTGGAGCCCGACCCCCGCAGCCCCTTCGCGCTGCGTCCGCTGCGCGCGGGCCTTGGCGCGGTCTACACCCGTCGCGCGCTCACCCGCGCCGGCCTCTACCGGCTCACCGTGCGTGCTGCGGCACCGCGCCACCAAAGCGTCTTCGTCTTGCTCATCGCCGTGTCCCCCTACCCCTACTAAACGGGAGAGGGCATTGGCGGCCGCCCTGGCGTGACCCCCGAGGAAGGGGTCGAGGAGAAGCTTGGTCCACGCCACCTGCTGTGGCAAGCGGAGCGTCATCGTCTCCCGCCCCGTGCGTCAGCGAGACCTTGGGTCAACACGACCCTGCGCACAGCCTTGACCCCCGACAGCGAGGACCTGACCTCACAGAGGGAGGCGTCCAGGGCGGCCCTTGGGTGGCCAGTCCCGCAGGCAGGGCCCGGGGAAGCCCGGATCAGACCTCCAGGTCTGATCCGCCCCTCAGTGGGAGCGGGACAGGGACACAGGGCACCTGGACGCGCGGGAGAGGGGGCAGACCCCGCGTTAGGGGTGGCAGCAGCTGTCGCCCGGCCACACCTGGTGGTGTCATTCTGAACCCTGTTGCAATATAAAGGGATTTTTTTTTAACCAACTTGGTTTCTTTGTCTAATTATTTTGCTTTGTAGGGAAGGGTTTGGGCTGGGAAGGAGACCATGCCTTCTGTTCTGATCCAGGAGCACTGCAGTTTGAGTCTACCAGCCTCCTCTCCTTAGGAGTAGGGCTGCCTCAGGCACCTCCTGGCCTCAGTTTTCCGATCCATAAACTCTTGCAGTAGGGCCCTCCCTTCCCCCATAGGGCTGTGGGGCTATTAAATGAGGAGTAAATGTGTTGCAAAGACAGCAACAGCCGGTGGCAAAAAAAATAATTCTTACTTTTTAGAGGCAGGGTCTTGTCCTGTCGCCCAAGCTAGAGTTGCAAATGACATGATCGTGGCTCACTGCAGCCTCGACCTCCTGGCCTCCCGATCCTCCCGCCTCAGCCTCCAGAGCAGCTGAAACTACAGGCACATGCCACCATGCCTGGCCTTTATATTAATTATTAATGTTTTGTATATATGTAAGGCATACAACGTGATGCTTTGATACACATAATGAAATGGTTACTATAGTCAAACCAATTAATATATCCATTTGGATTTTGTGTGGGCTTGAAAAAATTAAAACATACCCATCATCTTGTATATACTTATTTTTGTGGCAAGAACACCTCATATCTACTCCCTTAGGAAAATACCAGTGTGATATTATTATTATTTTGAGATAGGATCTTGCTGTGTCACCCAGGCTGGAGTGCAGTGGCGTGACCTCTGCTCACCTCAATGTCTGCCTCCCAGGCTCAAGCGATCCTCCTACCTCAACCTCCTGAGTATCTGGGACCACAGGCATGCACCACCACACCTGGCTAAATTTTTTTTCTTTTTTTTTGAGTTGGAGTTTCACTCTTGTTGCCCAGGCTGGAGTGCAATGGTGCTATCTCGGCTCACCGCAACCTCCGCCTCCTGGGTTCAAGTGATTCTCCTGCCTCAGCCTCCCGAGTAGCTGGGATTACAGGCATGCGCCACCACGCCCGGCTAATTTTGTATTTTTAGTAGAGATGGGGTTTCTCCACATTGGTCAGGCTGGTCTCAAACTCCTGACCTCAGGTGATCTGCCCGCCTCGGCCTCCCAAAGTGCTGGGATTACAGGCGTGAGTCACCGCGCCCGGCCTAATTTTTTAAATGTTTTGTAGAGATGAGGTTTCATTATGTTGCTCAGTCTGGTCTGGAACTCCTGGGTTCAAAGGATCCGCCCACCTCAGCCTCCCAAAGTGCTGGGATTACAGGCATGTGCCACTGCACCTGGCTTACCCCAGCCTATTTTTATCTTCTAACTCTTGTCGCTTTCCAGTCATAGACTCTTACAGCGGGCTTCTTTATGGCTTGCTTGTCATCTTGTATCCTTTGCAGCTCACCCCTGGCTTTCACTTGCAGTCCTCTTCTGAGCTATCTTTTTCCTGATAGCATCTCCCCTTCTGGGGGATGGATTATTGAAGGCAAGGGCCATTTCTAGGCCCTGGCCTTAATAATTCATCTAATTCATCTACAGGAAGGGCCTTTGTTGGACGAATGGATGGATGGAAGTGTAGTGCAACAATTCCTAAGTAGTCTTTTTTTTTTTTTTTTTTGAGACAGAGTCTGGCCCTGTCGCCCAGGCTGGAGTGCAGTGGCGCGATCTTGGCTCACTTTAAGCTCCACCTCCCGGGTTCACACCATTCTCCTGCCTCAGCCTCCCGAGTAGCTAGTATTACAGGCATGCACCACCATGCCCAGCTAATTTTGTATTTTTAGTAGAAACAGGGTTTCTCCATGTTGATCAGGCTGGTCTCGAACTGCTGACCTCAGGTGATTCACCCACCTCAGCATCCCAAAGTGCTGGGATTACAGGCGTGAGCCACCGCGCCTGGCCTAATTTTTGTATTTTCAGTAGAGACGGGGTTTCACCATGTTGGCCAGGCTGGTCTCAAACTCCTGACCTCAAGTGATTCACTCGCCTCAGCCTCCCAAAGTGCTGGAATTACAGATGTGAGCCGCTGTGCCCGGCCCCTGGGATAGTTTTAATAGGCGGTCAGGGCAGGAGAAGAGGGGACAGCAAGTGTCAGGGCCCTCAGGCAGGAGGGTCCAGCCAGGAGGTTGGGGAGGCTGGAGATGAATGAGGTGGGAGAAAGGGAAGACAGAAAGGTCAAGGGGGTGGGGTGGATCCTGTGAGGTCTTTGGGCCACCACAGGGACTTTGGCTTTGATGAGTGACCTATACAAGAGCACATGTATAGGTAGGTGTGGTGGTGCATGCCTGTAGTACCGCTACCTGGGAAGCTGAGGAGGGAAGACCCTTGAGCCCAGGAGTTTGGGGCTACAGTGAGCTATGATTTGGCCACTGCACTCCAGCCTGGGTGAGAGAGCGAGACCCCATCTCTAACGAAAATGGTTTTTAAGAAAGTCAATGCATATCTGCGTGTTGGCCTATCTCCAGTGTGCTGGGTCTCGGGAGGAGTGTAGGTGAAACGGAGCTTGGCTGTTTATCCTTCTCCTCCCATTCCTGCCCTTCTCCCTGGGCTGGCAGCAGCCCCTGCCTGGTGGCCTCTTTGTTGCCAGCTGCCCCTGACACAGCCTCTGGGAGAGAGAGGTTGTCTTTTGCATATGGTTCTGAAGAAAAGAGTGCCTCTCTCCCTGTTCCTCCTACTTAGTGTGACATGGTCAGCTCCCCCTAATTGTCCCCTCCCTCTCATCTGGGCAATGAGGAAAGTTGTCTGAGTTAGTTCCTTCTAGAGATGAACGACAATCAGGCTGTCTTAACAGAGCTGTTCTGGGTACACAGAGAAAAAATCGCTGTGTCCATTTTACAGATGCAGAAAGGGGGGTACAGGGAGGGAACATGATCCAGTCACTTGACTGAGGTGTGACTGGTTAATGGTCAAACTGGGACTCTTGATTCCCACCTAACAGCCCCAGTAGAACCTTCTCCAGGATGCTTCTTACTGTAGGTTTCCTTCAAACCAGTCTGCAAAGTTTTTCTGTTAGGGGCCAGATAGTACTTTCTGCTTTGCGGGACATTCAAGCTCTGTCAAAATGACTTACCTTTGCCATTGCAGCGCAAAAGCAGCCCCGGAGGACCCATGAACAGATGGGCACAGCTGTGTTCCAATAAAACTTTATTTGTGGACACTTACATTTCAAATTTATTATCATTTTCATGTGCCATGAAATATTCTTCTTTTGATGTTTTTCAACCATTTACAAATGTAAAAGCCATTCTTAGTTTGCACGCAGGCTTTACAAAAACAAGTTCAGACCAGAGTTTGCTGATCTCTGGTTTAAACCACAGAAATTACTGATGATGGAAGTCCAGGCTGGGTGGAGAGATTAGAGGAGGCGGGAAGAAGTGCGGGAGGGGCTTCCCAGGCCCTCCTGTACCCTATTCGTCCAGGGTCCACCTGTGAGGGCCTTCCTTGGGCCGAACGCCCCTCTTTGTGCAACGCCAGGGGTCAACGGGTCAGAACTGGAGCACTGCTCTTCGCTAGGCTGTTAATTTTTTATGGAGCTGGGGACTTTGTGGAGGTGATGCAGAGGCGGAGACCCACAGAGGGGAGGTGCCACTCCTCTCTCACCCCTGCTGTCTCCTGCAGGCCGCTCCCAGTCTCACGCAGGCCTTCCATGTTTGTGAAACTACTACTTGTTAAGTCTTTGTCCAGTGTCTTACAGACTTGAGGTTTTTTTTTTTTTTTTTTTTTTTGAGACAGAGTCTCACTGTGTCGCCCAGGCTGGAGTGCAGTGGCGCGATCTCGGCTCACTGTAAGCTCCGCCTCCTGTGTTCATGCCATTCTCCTGCCTCAGCCTCCAGAGTAGCTGGGACTACAGGCATCCGCCACCAACCACGCCCAGCTAATTTTTTTTTTTTTTTTTGTAGAGATGGGGTTTCACCGTGTTAGCCAGGATGGTCTCGATCTCCTGACTTCGTGATCCGCCTGTCTCATCCTCCCAAAGTGCTGGGATTACAGGCGTGAGCCACCGTGCCCGGCAACTTGGGTTTACTTAGTCCTTCCAGGAGCTCCAGAGCCAAGAAACAGCATCCCCATTTCACAAATGAGAGAAGGAGAGCTCAGAGAAGGAAGCCACTTATCTATCTCACACAGCCTGGAGGGGAAGAGAAGGACTCAGCCCAGGTCCATCTGACTCCAGAGTCCTGGGCTCTGACCACCAGGCTCCCCTGCCTCCACTTTCCAAGGAAGGGGGAAGAGAGAGAGGGCCAGGGGCAGGCTGAAGACAAGGGCCCTTGGCAATTCAAGATGTGAGGAGCTAAAAAGGGAGTGTCTATTCAGCCCCCTGCCTCCCCACTTTTCCCTCCTTTTCCATTTGAGGCTATGGAGCGGAGGCCGGGGGAAAGGAGTGACTTACCCAAGGTCACACAGAAAGCCCAAGGCAGACCAGGCCTTGGAGGTAGATTCTGACCCAGTCCCTTCCTCCCCTACACTCCAACTGCTTACCCCGCCCCTAAGGAAGGTTACCAAGCAGAGGAGGCCCCTCCCAAGCAAGCCACAGCCAGAGCCAGAGAGTATTTTCCATCCAAAAAGGGTGTTTGCCACTTCTTTTTCTCTAGCTGCCAGCTGTCATTGGCCAAGACTCTGTCCAAGCTGCCCAGCCCCCTGGTGCCACCTGACCTCTGCGAGTCTGTTTGCACCATCAGGGGTGGAAAACAGGCCTGCAGGTCAGGCATTGAACTCCCTGATGTGGGTTTTCCACGAACCCAACAACTGGACTCTGTGTTCCTGTGGGCGAGGACTGGCAACCTAGGGTCTGGCCTGGAGGACACTCTCTTTTCCCAGGGCCAATGCCCAGGCTTGGGCAGTGGCAAAGTGGCTTCTGGTGCCAACCACAAGGAGGTTTCAGGGTGAGATCCTTGAAGTCTCTACACACCCAGGCCCCTTCATGCCCAGCAGGTCCAGAGCCCTTGGGTGGCAGAGGCGAGAAACGGAGGCAGGAGGAAGCCCACTCCAGGGCTCTGTACACAGGCTGTATCTATGCCTTTAGGTGGCTGGGGGCATTCGATGAGGTCACATCCATTAAGCTTGCCCTGTAGCCACTCAGACAAGTGGCCACCAAAGTTAGAGCTGAGGCCAGGCGCGGTGGCTCACGCCTGTAATCTCAGCACTTTGGGAGGCCGAGGTGGGCGGATCATCTGAGGTTGAGTTCGAGACCAGCCTGGCCAACATGGTGAAACCCCGTCTCTATTAAAAATACAAAAATTAGCCAGGTGCGGTGGTGGGCGCTTGTAATCCTAGCTATTCTGGAGGCTGAGGTAGAATAATTGCTTGAACCCAGGAGGCAGAGATTGCAGTGAGCCGAGATTGTGCCACTGCACTCCAGCCTGGGCGACAGAGCGAGACTTATCTCAAAAAAAGAAAAGGTCAGAGCTGACTCTTAGAAAAGCCCCCAGCTGCAATGTGGAGCATGGAGCAGAGGGGATGGTGAGCACAGGCAGGAGGATAGGTGAGGTGTCTCCTGCAGAGGTGCATGTGAGAGGTCACAGTCATCCAGGCTAAGATAAGAGCAGTGGGGAGAGACAGCAGGAACCAGAGCGCTCACATTCTTCCATTTTCTTGCTGGAGGCCTCAGCCCTCTGCTCTGTGCCAGTATCAGAGCTTATGACAAGCAACTGATCTGGTGGGGGAGGGAAAGGATAAGAGGCATCACTAAGGAGCAGTGTGTGGAAAGACCACATGGCAAAAAGGGCTTGACACGTTGAAACAACCACAGCCAGGCCGGCAGCAGCAGTATAGTGGGTAAGGGCAGAGGAGGAAGTACAGCCATTGAGATTTGAACCTAAGAGTCATGGGGACCATCAAAACCTTGCTTCAGAAACCATTTTATTCATTAATATTGCAGTACATAGCTCTAAAACTTTATAAATCTTTCAATAAAAATATAACTACAAGCTGGGTGCAGTGGATCATGCCTGTAATCCCAGCACTTTGGGAGGTCGAGGTAGGCAGATTGCTTGAGGCCAAGAGTTCAAGACCACCCTGGGCAACATGATGAAACCCATCTCTACTAAAAATACAAAAATTAGCCAGGTGTGGTGGCATGTGCCTGTAGTGCCAGATACTAAGGAGGCTGAGGTGGGAGGATCACTTGAGCCCGGGAGGTGGAGCTGCAGTGAGCCAAGATCGTGCCACTGCACTCCAGCCTGGGAGACAGAGGAGACCTTGTCTCAAAAAAGAAAAATAACTACAATATCATTATTATTACACCTAAAAAATCAATAGTAATTCTGTCTTGCTGTTATTGAATATCTCATCAGTGTTCAAACTTCCAACTGCTTATAAAAATATTTCTTGCTGGGCGCGGGGGTTCACGCCTGTAATCCTAGCACTTTAGGAAGGCAAGGCAGGCGGATCACGAGGTCAGGAGATCGAGACCATCCTGGCTAACACAGTGAAACCCTGTCTCTACTAAAAATACAAAAAATTAGCCGGGCATGGTAGCGGGCGCCTGTAGTCCCAGCTACTCGGGAGGCTGAGGCAGGAGAATGGCATGAACCCGGGAGGCGGGGCTTATAGTGAGCCGAGACCACGCCGCTGCATTCCAGCCTGGGCGACAGAGCGAGACTCCGTCTCAAAAAAATAAAATAAAATAAAAATAAAAATAAAAATAAAAATATTTCTTTTGCACTTAAAAGAAATCAGTATCTAAATGAGATCTAAACATTGTGATTTATTTTATTTTATTTTTGAGACAGAGCACGTTTTGTGCCCAGGTTGGAGTGTGCAGTGGTGCAATCTTGGCTCACTGCAATCTCTGTCTTGGCTCACTGCAACCTCTGCTTCCCAGGTTCAAGCAATTCTTGTGCCTCAACCACCTGAGTAGGTGGGATTACAGGTATACGCCATGACACCTGGCTAAGTTTTTGTATTTTGACTAGAGACAGGGTTTCACTATGTTGCTCAGGCTGGTCTCAGAGTCCTGGCCTCAGCAATCTGCCCATCTCAGCCTCCCAAAGTGGTGGGATTACAGGCATAAGCCACCACACCCAGCCTTGATTTTATCTTTTATAGCTCTTTTAACCCAAAGATTCCCCTTCTGTTTCTTTTTTTTCTTAAAAATCAATTTGAGATATAATTTTTTCCAGGAATGCAAGGTTGGTTCAACACCTGAAAGCCAATCAATGTAACACACCACATTTATAAAATAAAGGAGAAAATCATATGATCATTTCAATAGGTGTAGAAATAGCATTTGACAAAATTTAGTACCTATTTATGTAAAAATCTTTCAATAAATAAGGAAGAAAAGTGAACTTCTTCTGACCAAAAAAAAAAAAAAAAAAACTATGAAAAACCTACAGCTAACATTGTACTTAACGGTGAAAGACTGAATGAATCCTCTGCCCTAAGATCATGAACAGGGAAAGGATAACTACTCTTACCAATTCTATTCAACATTCTACTGGGGATACTGACCATTGCAATAAGGCAAGCAAAAAAGGTACAAAGGTAATAAAGGGGAAAGTAAAACTGTTTCTATTCATAGACAACATTGCTGTCTACCTAGAAAATCCTAAGGTATTTACAAAAATCTACTAGAGTCAATAAGTGAATTTAAAAAAAGTTGCAGAATATAAACCTAATTTACAAAAGTTGATTTTATATGCCAGGAACAATTGGAAAATAAAAATATCATGTATGATAACATCAAAAAATTAAAATTCTTAGAAGTAAATTTGATGGAAGATAGGCAAAACTTATACACATAAAACATTGCTCAGACATCTAAACCAGGATGGATCTCTTGGTACCTCCACTGAAATTGAAGACTTACCCTGATTTGATGATTACACATTGTATACACGGATCAAAACATCACATGTACCCCCAAAATATGTATAACTAAGATATATCAGTGAAAAATACAAAAAAAAAAAAAAGAAAGAAAAGAAACTGAGGACTTTTATACCACCTATCAAAGATGTCTCAACCTACCAGGTCTTCCTCTCCACTGTATGGAAGACTTAGGCCTTTGCCTGGGCACAGGCCTCCACCAGGCCAGTCATCCAAGGTGTCCAATAAATTAGTCATCTCAGAGCTGGGCCCTGGAGTACCCATACCTGTGACCCCAAGAAACTATCTCTTAAACAAACAAACAAACAGAACCTCTCTGGCTGTTGGGGAGGAAATGTTGGAGGGGCAACTAGGGTAAGTGGAGGAGCCAGCAAAGAGACTTAAGTAAGAAATTATAATGGTCTCAGTAAGAGAAGATGGTGGCCCTGTATGGAGGAAGTGGAAGTGGAGAGAAAGGGGCAGACTTGATATATTTAGAAGATATGAATGTTGTTGGGCACGGTGGCTCACACCTGTAATCCCAGCATTTTGGGAGGCGGAGGTGGGTTGATCACCTGAGGTCAGGAGTTCAAGACCAGCCTGGCCAACATGGTGAAAACCCGTCTCTACTTAAAATACAAAAATTAGCCTGGTGTGGTGGCGGGCCTGTAGTCCCAGCTATTCAGGAGGCTGAGGCAGGAGTATTGCTTGAACCGGGGAGGCAGAGGCTGCAGTGAGGGTGCCACTGTACTCCAGCCTGGGTGACAGAGCAAGACTCCAAATTAAAAAAAAAAAAAAAAAAAAGGAAGGTATGAGTGTCTCAGATCCCAGTGCCTTTGTTTCTCCACCTGCTCAGGCCTAGGTGCTGCTTTGTTTTTAGGAATGCCACCAAGATCACTTACCTAGAAGGTGCAAAGGCTCCTGGAGGACCCCTGACCTAGGTGTGGGCAGGGGGTAAGATGAAAGTCAAAGGCCATGGTGCCCCAGTCTCAGGTGGGGGAATCCCTTTGGGCCACGCCCCACTTTGGCCCTCAGCACTGCTCTGCAGGGTAAGGGCCAGGGCAGGGTTGAAGGTCCCCCTGGCCGATGGAGGGGTCCAGGCAGAATGGGGCTCATTCAGAAGCTGGCCAGTCCTCCCTCACCTTGGTCTCTGCCTCTGGGCAACCACTCACCCTGCTGTTGGTGGCAGGACGGTGGGGGTGGGGGGCGGGGTGCTGCTGGCAGTTTGGGCCCCTGTTTTCTTCTCAGGAGCGCTGTGACCTCACTGTCCCTCATGTCACTGGTGCATGTGAGTTAGGAAGGGTCTGTCCCCTAGGCTGGAACCATTTCTGCGGCAAGGAGTAAAGGTCCCAGCAGCCTGTGACCCTGGGACTGTGACCTCAGTTCAGCTCAGGCTGGAGCTAAAGCAGAGGGTTTGAGCCAGAGCTTCAGACACTGGATTCTAGCTCCGCTCTGCCACTCACATGCTGTGTGGCCTTGGGAAAGATACACCGTCATTCTGTGCAGCAGGTTTCTGCCCATACCATTGAGATAACAATCACAGGTACTTCATACAGGGTAGTCGTGAAGGTGAAAACAGAATGCTTGCTCTTTCCAGGGCGACCCTACCAATGAGAAAACAGGCTGCAGTGGGGAGTGACCGCCCCAAGGACACACAACTGCTGCAAGGGTGTCATTGTGTAGGTGTTCCTCACTTGCCTCCTGCTAGTGTGGGAGGCCCAGAGACTCCACGAGACCCCCAGCTGCTCCTGTGAGAGGGCTGAGGGGGGCCAGCTGTGATACCGCCTCCCATCTAGAAGGGGCCTCAAGCCACCCATGTACACCCAGCCCCACGTGGCTCACCAGGGGCCCCTTTGCCATCAAGGGCCACATCCCAGGTTTAAGTGTCAGAGAACTAAGGGGCTTAAGAGAGAATCGAGCTGTGGCTTTGTTTGTGAATTGGTTTGATCCTTTTTTCCTTCTAGAAGGACTCACAGCTACTGTTGCTTGCCATGGGCTTGAGGGGGTGGTGGGGGCTGACTGGCAGAGGGGCTGAGAGTGGATGGTGATTAAAAGGAGCACTGACTCCAGGGTAGCGGCTGGGCAAGGCTTGGGGCTCCCACCTCCCCCAGGTTCAGAGCCGGCTGAGGACCGGGAGTCCTCCCTTCTGGGGTCAGTGCTCACTATGGAGCAACTGCCTTGGATGGGGTCCCAGGACTTGCTCTTTTACTGGGGCTGTGGTTGCAGTGATCAGGGCTTTGGAGCCGGCAGACCAAGCTGGGAAACTCCTGAGGTAGAGAAGCTGTTGAAGGCGGGCCTGGGGTCACAACTCCCAGCTGCTTTTTACAAGCAAGAGACTTCTCTCTGAACCTCAACCTTCCCTCCTGTCTAGTGGGTTCGCAGCCAGACAGTCTTTTACTCACTGCTTACTGGGTGCCCTCTGGAGTCTGGGCAGGTGCCAGGCTCTGAGAAGACAGGCCAGCAATCAGCCCTGGCCTAAGGGATGAAAGCCGGGCCTTCCCGCGCCGGCTCACCTCGGTTTTCTCATCCTTACTCGGCTACCAGAGGCTATGGTTGGGGAGGGAGGGGGCTCTGGGGGCTGCAGAAGGCCCAGGCTGCCGGCACCGGATAGAAGTGAGCACGAAGCTCCCTGCGCCAGTGGAACTTTTATCCCGGCTCCCACCGCGAAGCGTTTAAATTGCTTCCCCAGGGCCAGGAGGCAAGTCTCTCGAAGGACGGCTGCGGCCACCCTCCGCCCCTGAGTTACATGGGTCGCAGCCACTGCCGCCCTCCTTGGCGCCTCCAGCCCGCGGGCCAGGGCCAGGAACCGCGAGCCGCCTGCGCCCCCGCCGGCGCGCCCCTGGGAGGGTGAGCCGGCGCCGGGCCCAGGCCCGGACCTGGTGGGAGGCGGGGGGAGGTGGGGACGAGGCCTGGGGAGGCGGGCCCCGCCCATCTGCAGGTGGCTGTGAACGCTGAGCGGCTCCAGGCGGGGGCCGGGCCCGGGGGCGGGGTCTGTGGCGCGCGTCCCCGCCACGTGTCCCCGGTCACCGGCCCTGCCCCCGGGCCCTGTGCTTATAACCTGGGATGGGCACCCCTGCCAGTCCTGCTCTGCCGCCTGCCACCGCTGCCCGAGCCCGGTAAGGAGCCCTCGGCCCCTCTCGCTGCCCACTCCCTAGCCGAGAGCACCCGCTTCCCGGGCCCAGAGGAGGAGGCGTAGAAGACGCCCGCCCCGGGGCCCGCGGAGGCAGAGGGCGGACCCCGATCGCCACTCGCCGGGGACTGGGACCGAGGCAGGAGGGAAGGGGCTCCCGATGCTCAAACGCCTGGCACCGGATTCCAGGTTTCTGGAGCGTGGGGGACGCGGCGGGGGCGCGAGTCCCCGGGGGCGCGAGTCCCCGGGTCCGAAGAGCGGCTCGGGTTATTTGTTCCCTGCGCAGCCGGGTCCTTTCTGGACTCCTTGTCGGATCCGGCTTCCTCTGTGTCGTGAAGCCCCCACATGGAGACCTGGGGAGTCCGGAGCGTGTGGGGGGGCTCCCGATTCTCTCTCCCTCTCTCGGACTCGCCGTCTGTCTCCACCTCTATTTCTCTGCGTAAAACCAGGAGTCCAGCCCCTCTGGGGCTTGGACGTATCGCTTTCCCCGCAGCCTCAGTTTACCCTGGACAGATGGGCATGGTGGCCCTGGCTCCCTTCCCTGCAGGGGGCGGCAGCCACCTGGCCCTCCCCGGTGGGGCTGGCGGCCTCGCGGCGGGGTTTCCTGCTGGCCTGGGCTGGGCTCTGTGGGAGGGGCAGTGCCAGGAATATTTTCTATTCGGGCTGCTGTTGCCTTTGGCCCCTGGGCGGCTGCGCCCTCCAGGGAGGCAGGGTCATTGTGAAAGAGAGGAAACTCCTCTCCCAGGCGGCCAGGGCTGTTCCTGAGGAGGGCTGGCCTGGCCTCAGTATTCTTCTCTGAGAAGTGGAGAGTCCACTCCCGAGCAGCCGAGTCAGGCTGCAGGTCTCAGGGCAGGAACAGACCTGTTCTCTCCCCAGGGGTAGATCAAGACCTAGGGGACTTGGGCTTTGATCCTCCCGCTCCCAGCAAGCACAAACCCAGTGATGGGGAGAGCTGGTGAGGCCTTGGCTCAGCCTCCAGATTCCCAAGCTTCCTTTTCATTTTCTTTTCTTTCTAAAAATTTATCAGAGATGTGGACTCGTCATGTTGCCCAGGCTGGCCTCGAGCTCCTGGGCTCAAGCGACCCTCCTCCCTCGGGCCTCCTAAACTGCTAGGATTACAGGCTCGAGCCACCCAAAGTGCCTGGCCCCCAAGCTTCAGTCTGTTAGAGCTGGCTGGGGCTGAGGGCTCAGGAAACATTTGCAGATACTGTGCGGCTGCTAAGGGCTCTGTAGACTGTTGGGTGCTGGGCCTGGGTCCAATTGCACAATAACTGTGCCTGGGGTTAGGTTCTGATGAGAGGGAGGGAGAAGCAGCCACACGGACTGGGAAGCTTGGCTAGGAGCAGGAACTGGAGGAGTCTCCATTCCAAACTCCCTCTCCCTCCCAGACCCCTTAGGCCCAAGGCCTAGGGCGGGGAAGTTTGGGGGTGGGGGCGGGACCCTGTCCTGGCGGGGCCATCTGTGCACCATGCTGAGAAGTAATTCTGGTTCTGCTCTGTGGGGGTGGATCAAGTGAATGAATAGTGACTCCTGCCTGCTGAGCGCCTGGCCGGTGCGGGGGCAGACACGTCGTGAGAGGGAAGGGGAGGCCCCACTCTCAGCACAGTCTCCATTCCTGAGTGCTTGGGAAGCAGGCCCAGGGCCGCAGGAGCCTTGGGGTGGAGCCAGGCCCAAAACAGCCTGCTGCACAAGCGCTTCCCCCTCCCAACCCGGGCCCATCTCATCTTTGGCCTGCTGGGAGGCCAGCCAGGTCAACCAGATGCCTCATCTGAGCACTGACTACACAGTCCCTGAAGTCAGTGGCTTGCCTGTGGGCACCAGGCACCCATGTGGAAAGAGGTAACTTCGCTGGAATTCAGAGTCTAAGGCTCTGATTTCTGATGTAGCTTTGGGCAAAGTTGATCTTCCAGGGCGTGGCTCCCTCCCCAGACTTGGGGTCGACCAGGCACCCATAGGCACTTTGATATGAGTGGAACGAATGAATGAATGTGCCCTTCGTCCATCACCAAAGACAAACCGAGCTCAGCTGAGTTAGAATGTCAGCGAGGGGTTGCAGGGGAATCTTCCACGGGGCAGTAGGCCTGAGCTATAGCACACAGGCTCTCCAGAGAAATAGTGGGCAGGTTGGCCATGACTCACTGGGGGGCTGGTTTTCTGGAAGGTGTGTAGAGTGAAGGGGAGATCTGAGGTCTCCTAGGAGCCAGGGAGTGGAAGGCCTAGTGCAGGGAAGAGCAAGTGGCCTGCAGTCAGGCTGGGTTTGAAGCCGCTAGCTTGTGACCTCGGCTGGCCGCTTAGCCTCTGCCTCCTCCTTTGTAAATAGGTGGTAATGGCAGTCTCCACCTTGAGAGGATGCACCTGTGACTGTGAACATAGTAGCCGCTCTTGTTGTCATTCCAGCTCTGACGTTTTCAAGTAGCACGAGTTTTCCTTAGTGTCAAGTGAGCGCCCAGGCTGGCCTGTTTGCTGGAAGCTGGACAGATGGCTGTGGCTGGGGCCACAGAGAATGCCATCCCAATGAAAGCCAGGTGGCTCTGGTACCTTGACGCGAGGCCACCTTCCCTCCTCCCAGGTGTCTCTTCCGGGGAAGGAGGGCTGGAGGGCAGTGGGCATTTGCCAGGGAGCTGGAGAAACCTGCCGTGGCCCTTTCTGGGGGATGTGGTGGGGGTGGAGCTGGGACTAGGGGAGGCTGAATTCAGCCAGGATCTGCCTGCCAGGCGCAGCTCCCAGGAAGAAAGCCCAATGTCTGGGAGGGTCAGAACCCAGAGGGCTGTCAGGTTGTACAGATGAGGAAATTGAGGCTTAGCAAGCCAGGAACTTGGCTGAGGTCAGCCATAGCAGCGGTGCACAGAGCTTAGTGGGCACATACATGCTTGGTGCCCAGCTCTGGGCTCCTTCCCCCAGCATCTCACCCAATCCTTACAGTCGCCCTGTGGGGAGCAGGCTGTTTGCACCCCTATTTTGCAGCTGAGCAGTTATGCTAGAGAGCTGAAGCCACTCAAACCCATGTCTGGTGGACTTGACCTCTGTCCTGTGCCTGGAGTGAGCGCTCACTGGATTGCAGCTGTGGTTCCTTCTCTCCCTGTCACTTCCTCCCCCGACATCAAACCCTCAGTTTCATTTAGTTTTTGCCTCGGGCTGCAAATGCAGCTTAGGGACCTGCGGAGGCTGAGGGAGGGGGGTGCCCCACCCGCTGCTGGGAGGGCAGGAGCAACGCTGCTGTCTGATTGCATCATTTTCCCAAGCCCATCTGCCCAGCTCATTTCTCTGCATGCATACACTGGCCCCAACACCCACACACGTGTGCATGCACACAGGCACACATGTGCAAGCCCAAACACATCACACACATGCATGCACACACATTGTGTACTCTCAGGTACGCACCCCTGGGTGCACACAGGTGTGTGCGCGCGCACACACACACACACACACACACTGTCTCAGGTACACACGCCAGGTCCATGCATTGCTTCACACTGCCCAGCCCCAGAGGCTGAAGGCCTCAGAGCCCACACCTGCCCAGCTACAACCTGGCAGGCAGGAGGGGCTCACTGGTTTCTTTTGGTTTATTTAAGACAGAGTTTCACTCTGTCACCCAGGCTGGAGTGTGGTGGCACGATCTTGGCTCACTGCAACCTTTACCTCCCAGGTTCAAGCGATTCTCGTGCCTCAGCCTCCCAAGTAGCTGGGACTACAGGTGTGTGCCGCCACACTCAGCTAATTTTTGTATTTTTAGTAGAGACGGGGTTTTGCCACGTTGGCCAGGCTGGTCTGGAACTCCTGACCTCAAGTGATCCACCCACCTCGGCCGTCCAAAGTGCTGGGATTACAGGCATGAACCACTGTGCTCGGCCATGAGAGCATGTGTAGGACTCCACAGCTTCAGGGCACCCCAGCCCTCTTTTTGCGGTGAGGAGCTGACCTCCAGAGAGTGGAACTAGTAGCATTGTTCTAAGTGCCTGCCACAGGCATCTGGGAGATGGTCCCTGTTTCCATGGAGCTCATAGTGGGGGAGAGGGCAGTTAGAATACAGCATGATGGCCGGATGTAGTGGCCCATGCCTGGAATCCCAGCACTTTGAGAGGCTGAGGCAGGCAGATCGCTTAAGTCCAGGAGTTCGAGTCCAGCCTGGGCAATGTAGTGAAACCCCATCTCTACAAAAAATACAAAAATTAGGCAGGTGTGGTGGCATGTGCCTGTAGTCCCAGCTACTTGGGGGTGGTGGCACTGAGCTGGGATGGGAGGATCCCTTGAGCCCAAGAGGTGGAGGCTGTGGTGAGCTGAGATTGCATCACTGCACTCCAGCCTAGGTGACAGAATGAGACCCTGTCTGAAAAAAAAAAAAAAAAAAAAAGGATACAGCTCTGATGGGCAGGAGGCATGGCGGGTCACTGAGGCGATGCAGGTGATCCAGCTGTTTCTGTGGAGCTGCCCCTCCGTGTTTCTGTGGAGCTGCCTCTCTTGGCTCCAGGTGCCTCTGGGAGGAGGCAGGAGCAGGGGTGACTCTCAGAGCTGGGTGAATCTTGGGCCAGCATCATCAGATCACACTTGCCCAGGACTTCCCTTCCTTGAGTCTCCAGTGGTGGTCTTGTACCTATGAGCAGGGGGTTAAGGAGCCGAGCTGATCTGAGTTGGAGTCCTGGCTCTGCTGCCTACCAGTCAAACGAGATGCAGGGCAAGTTCCTCAGCCCAAGCCTCAGTTTTCCTGACTCTAAAATGAAGAGAACCCCAGATGGAAGGGCTTAGCCTAAGACGGACATGTCTATTCCCTTGATTGTGGTGTTGATGTCACGGGCGCATCCGCACGCCGAAACTTGCTAAATTGGACACAAAAAAATATGCGATTATTTTTGTAGTTGATGAATGTGCTGATTGGGTATTCTCGTGTGTGTGTGAGGTGCCACCCTCAAACTTTGTTATGATGTTGGCACATTACCCATCTGATATTTAAAAAATGCAATTTATGATATGTCAAGTAGACCTCAATAGAGCTGTTTTAAAACATACAACAGAATTTCCCGCAACCCAACCACACCACCCGCGCCATCACACGCAAACAGGGGTAGGCTTCCACATATTTCCTGAATGCCTTCTGGAGCAGGGGGCAGGAGGCAGGAGGCAGGACAGGTGGCTCTGGGGCTCCTGGACCTCCTCTGCTCAGTGAGGCTGCTCACAGGAGATTGGGCGGCTGGAAAGTAAGGTTTAGGGCCTCTGGGATGGCCCAGGCTACCTGCAGGCAGCTGAGTAGCTCTGCTTTTGCAGAGTGGTTCACTGCACTGTGAAAACAGATTCCAGACGCCGGGAACTCACGCCTCCAATCCCAGGTACTGCCCACCTTAAGTCCTCCCTGCCTGCCTTCCTCCCTCCTTCCCTCCATCCTGCATGGCCAATTGCCTGGCTGCAGTTGCCATGGATACCACCTGCTGGCTCCAGGGTTAGGGCTGGCTGAGTCACCAGCAACTCAGGGGCAGGGGGTTGAATGCCCAGTAGGGACGTTGTGGGCACCGACCAGAACCATCTTCTCTGCCCCAGCTGCATGGTCCATGAGGTGTTTCCCCTTCTAAGTCCAAAGGGCAGCACAGGCCTGTGAGCCCCGGCTGACTGGCAGGTGGGACCGTGCAGCATGCACGGGACTGAATTCTCATGTGACGGAGCTCCAAAGTCCACCTGGCTACACGGCCAGGCTCTGCAGCAGAGGACGGGAGGCCTGGGAAAGGCACTTCCTCTCCCCGAGCTTCCAGGCACACAGAGAGTGCTCAGGATAGCGATGCCTGCATCACTGCAATGGTGATGGCCGGGTGACCCTTCTGGGCTCCACTTCCCCAGTAGTGTCTAATAAAGACCCTGGGTGACTCTGACCTTGTGACGTTGGTCAGACTCCAGTGGAAACGTTCCCAGGCAGAACAAACATGCCCTGTACATTTGGGAAATGCGGGATGCTGGGGCCAGGTGTCCACGGAGGCTGGAACCAGGAGGCCTGGGCCCACATCTGCCCCTGCTGCTTGTTGATCCGATGACCCTGGGCAGGTGACCTCGTCTCCCTAACCCTGGTTTCCTGTTCAGCAAATTGGACACAGTGAAGACGCCCAAGCCCAGGGCCACAGGAGGCATGTGGGGGAGGGGGGTGCAGGGCGAGCCCAAGGGCAGCCCAGGATTCAGGGAGAGCCCTCGGGGAAGAAGCATGGCTGCAAAGATCAGGAGACAGGAGGCCTTGGCGCCTTCGGGAGGCTTCATTGTGACGGAGGGTGGGGCAGGATGGGAGACCGCAGGCACTTCCCGGCTGCAGAGGGCCTGGCTGCAGAGAGCCCTCGTGCCCATCTGTCCCCCCGGGAAGGGCCGCTGGTTGCAGAGGTCTTAGGCCTCTGCCTGTCTATCGCCTTCCCTCCCTGGGCCTCAGTTTCTCTACCTCCACACTGGGGGAAGTTGGTCTCTGAGCCCCTCCAAACTGGGCATTGGCAGAGTTGAATTCAGAGGCGCTCACATTTGGAGACACGATGTCTAAAATTCCAGCCAGTGAAGGTTCCATGGGGTTGCAGGTAGGAGAGGGACTGGGGCTGGGCCCCTGCCCCACAGCATCCTTCTCCACCTGCAGGTGGGCGGCGGCACTGCGTGCTGGGGAAGCACAGATTCTTGTGCCCTCTGTGACCTTGAGCCTGCCACTGACCTCTCTGAGCCCTGCTGGCTGCCTCCCCAATAGGAATGACAACTCCTACTTCATGAGGTTGTAGTGGGGGCTCAGGGGCACAGGGAGATCCCGCTGAGGCTCCCAGGGCCCTGCCTGGTGCTTGGCAAGGAGCAGTTCTGATGGGGGATGTGTCAGCTGCCAGAGGCTCAGAGCCAAGGCCCCTCCCACATCTCCTGCCTGCGTGCATTCCTCACATCCTGGCCTTGGGCCAAACTGCTCAGCCTCAGCCGCCTTCCCTCGATGCTGGAGGATCAGGTCCAAGAGATGCCTCTCCCCGACCAGCCTAGGACTGCAGTCAGCATTCCCAGGCCCCAGTGTGGTCTGTGGGGCTGTGTGCAGAGTGTGCGAGGTCAGGGTTCCCGGGGGTGGCAGGCACTGAAGGTGAACATCCTGTTCCCGACCTTCAGTGGCAGCTTGCCCAGGAGACAAGGCTGTCCAAGGCCAAGGTCGGGGCTGGGCTGTCTGCAGGGGCTGGCGGGGGGCACTGGCTGTCTCAGGGTCACTCAGGTTGTTCCTCGACTCCCGCCAGACGCTATGTCCAGCAAAGGCTCCGTGGTTCTGGCCTACAGTGGCGGCCTGGACACCTCGTGCATCCTCGTGTGGCTGAAGGAACAAGGCTATGACGTCATTGCCTATCTGGTGAGGGAGCGACCTGGGTGTCTGTCTTCCTGCGTGTCCTGCAACCTGTCCTGTCTGCCCCCTGCCAGCCTCTGTCTGGGTTGTCAGCCTGTCTGCTCACCGTCACTCATTCAAGCCTGGCCTCTTCTCTCGAAGCCTGTCTTGAACTGGAACTAGGAAAATAGCTTCTCGTTGTACTGCCTCACTTTCTCCATCTGCAAATTGGCCATCCTTGAGATGCCTTCCAGAGCCAGGTGATGGAGGCGCGGGGAGGGCACAGAAGTGAACTTGGCAGTGCTGCTGGCTTAGCCTGCTTGCAGAGAGGCATGGGCTGGGACCTGCTGCCAGCCCTGGGAAGGCACACAGTCTTCCCATCTCCAGAGTATGCTGTCAGCCTGCAGTAATTCAGCAAAGATTGTGGAATCCTGAGCTGGAAGGACCCTGGGGGATCACCTGGTTCTGGGATGGGAAATAGGTCACAGGTGATGGGTTATGTGTGAAGCCACTTCCTCATCCAGGGCCCATAGGAGTCATCCCTCTCAAACTAGCTCCTCTTCGACTGAACCTGGCCACAGCTCTGAGTCCTTCTCTGTGTGGCTGTGCTGTTCAGGACTCTTAGGTGCAAATTTTAGAAACTGAACTCAAACCAACTTACGCAAAAAGGAAAGGGAAAAGACAATTCTTGGCTCACACAACTGAGAACTCCAGGGGTAGGATGGCTTCAGGCAGGGCTGGATCCAGGTGCTTCTAAGATCTATCTCCAACTCTACTTGGCTTCATTCTTGGCCTCTCCACAGGGCAGGCAAGGCTCATGGTCACCCTCATAGCCCACCTTTCCCAAAAAGGAGGGCTTACCCCCAGTAGGGCCCATGGGGACCCACCACGCATTAGTCCCTATGGCTGCATCATGGGGTGCGAGGCTTGGGCCATGAGCCTACTCCTTCAGTGGGCGGGATTTCTTCCTCTCCATCCCTGTGGAATGGGGTCCACCCAGGAAAGAAGGTTCTGTTTCCAGAGGAAGTGAGCCTGGGTCTCTGGACAGACAAAACTTAGCTCTTGCCAAAAGTGGCTTGTTTGCCGGCATATTGGCATGTCTAACTGCGCCCAATGCCCTTGTCATTCAGGTTGGGGAAAGTGAGGCCCAGGGGAAGAAATACTTTGCTCACAGTCACCTGGTGGGTGAGAGCACAGCTTTGAGGGGCTGCAAAGAGCCCAGGGTGTATCCATCTCACTGTAGGTAGCACAGCGGGGCAATCAGAGCTGGAGCTGGGCGTATAGACCCCTGGGCTACCACCTGGGGGATTTAAAAGCTGAATGTGATTCAGATAAGCACCTGCAGCTGGGCTTTGGCAAGATTCCAGGGTCTGGTGAGCCGAATGAAGGGAGTGAGGGCTGAGGCCAGGATCTGGGCAGCAGGCCAGAGTCCAGGCAGCAGGAAACATGGCAGTGTCTAGACAGGGGCTGTCAGACCCCGAGGTCAGGGCACTGGCCACAGGGACGGAGCTGGAAGTTCCTGAGCACGGGCTTCTCTGCCTCCCGCCTCTCAGCTGCCTCAGGATGGCCAAGGCATGGCCTTTGACTAGGGAGGAGAGCTGGAGGCTAGGAAGGCCCTGACAAGCTAATCTTTGCACTGGCTGAGAAAGAGTTTTCTGGAAAAGACAGATGAGTTTCAGGAGAACCCTAGACCTTCCAGCAATGACAGCAGATGGTTGTCTCCCAGCAGCCTGTGTGGCCAGGGCCAGGCTCAGCCAATGCTCCAACCCATGGAAGCCACCAGCCATCACCACGCTACAATCCAGCTCCCAATCTCACCTCCTGGAAGAATCTCACCTCTCCAGGCCTTGGGCTTTGTCCTTTTTCCTTCTTACTGTGACTTGGCCATGGAATGGAAGCTGTCTCTGTAGCAGGGGGTGGGAGGCTGCTGCATGCGGATGGTGTGAACTCAGGGCTCCCCCCAGGGGCTGACGGAGCCTCTCCGCTTCTGCTTCTCAGGCCAACATTGGCCAGAAGGAAGACTTCGAGGAAGCCAGGAAGAAGGCACTGAAGCTTGGGGCCAAAAAGGTACCAGGCGGGAGGCAGGGATTTGGGCTGGGAGTGGGGCGGTGATGTGGAGGGCAGTGGTGGATGCTCCTGCCCCAGGGATCCCATCCCTTCCAGTGTGTCTTCTTGCTTCTAAGAGTATGAGATCATCCTGCTCTCAGGTGTGTGAACCCTCTTGTTTTTCTGCCTCCCCCACGCCCTCTTCCACCCACCCACCTTCCCATCCAGGTGGAGTGTCTCTTCCCCACCCACATACCTTCCCTTCTCTTTTATCTCTCTGTCCATCTATGCACCCACTCACCCTCTTTTATCTCTGTTTATCTACTCGTCCACATATCCATCCATCATTCATCCCTCCATTAGCTATCCATCGATCCATCCATCCATCCATTCAGCCATCCATCCATCCATCACCCACCCATCCATTCACCCATCATCCATCCATCCATCCATCCATCACCCACCCATCCATTCACCCATCATCCATCCATCCATCCATTCATCCATTCATCCATCATCCATCCACCCATCCATCCATCACCCATCCACTCATCCACCCATCCATTATCCATCCATCCATTCATCCATCCATCCATCATCCATCTATCCATCTATCCATCCATCCTCCGTCCATTCATCCATCATCCATCCATCCATTCACCCATCATCCATCCATCCATCATCCATCCATTCATCCATCATCCATCCATCCATCCATTCACCCATCATCCATTCATCCAGCCATCATCCGTCTATCCATCCATCATCCATTTATTCATCCATCATCCATCCATCCATCCATCATTCTTCATCCTTCCATGCATCATCCATTCATCCATCCATCATCTACCCATGCATCCATCCATCATCCATCCGTCTATTCATCCATCCATTCATCCATCCATCATCTATCCATCCATCCCATTATCCATTCACCCATCCATCCCTTCATTATCCATCCATCCATCCACATATCCATCTGTCATTAATCCCTCCACTGTCTATCCATCCATTCATCCAGACAGCCAGCCATTCATCTATCCATCCCCCATCCATCCATCCATCCTTCATCCATTCACCGTTTTTCTATCCATCCATTCATCCATCCATCCATCTGTCATCCATCATCCATCCTTCTGTCCATCATCCCCCTACCTGTCCTTCCCTCTTTTATCTCTCTGTCTACCCATTCTTCCATTCATTCAACAGAATCAGAGAACTCCAATTGAGTCTGGTGCCTTGATTGTGAATCTAGGCATGTGGCAGGCAGACCCCTGTCCCATACAGGGCATTTATGATGAACAGTGTCATCAGGACCCCTGCTCACATGTGCTCACTCCCCATGGAGAAGCCCTTGCCACTTGTGCCCCTTCATTTGGGAGAGTGAGCAGGGGACATAGCAGGGATGATGTGCAAGGCCACCAGCCCACCTGCAGGGTCAGAGCTGATCCCCTCTGTGGGGTGCTTCTGCAGGGTTGCCAGGGTAATTAGCATGTTAAAATGAACACGGGAGGGAGTGGATGCCCCAGTCCCAAGTCACCTACTGGCCACAGGCCTGGAACTAGAATGTCCCTCCTTGGTTCTGTGCCTCCCGAGTGCTGGAGAGCAGAGGGGTTGTCTGAGCAGTAGTCCAGGAAGGGGAGAAAGAGCCCTGAGTGTTGAAGATTCGAGTGCGCTTTCAGCAGCGCAGGAGCAGGCTTTGTGCACGGCTTCAGCTTTTGTCCTTTATTCTAGATGAGCAGTTCTCAAAACTTGTGGTCTTGGGAATCCTCTACACTCTAATTTACGTGGCGTTTTTAATGTTTATTTTCTTGCATATAACATTAGGATGGGCCAGGCACAGTGGCTCACGCCTGTAATCCCAGCACTTTGGCAGGCTGAGGCAGGCAGATCACCTGAGGTCAGGAGTTCAAGACCAGCCTGGCCAACATGGTGAAACCCTGTCTCTACTAAAAATACAAAAATTAGCTGGGCGCGATGGTGGGTGCCTGTAATCCCAGATGCTCGGGAGGCTGAGGCAGGAGAGTCGCTTGAACCCAGGAGGCGGAGGTTGCAGTAAGCTGAAATCACACCATTGCACTCCATCCTGGGCAACAACAGCAAAACTCTGTAAAAAAAACCAACCAACCAACCAAACAAACACAAAAACACATTTATCCTAATGTTTTTTATATATCCTTAGTCCCAATTGCTTTCTTTTCTATGCCTTTTTATTTCATTTTTTAAAAGGATTTTTTTCAAAATAATTATAGACACAGGAAGTTGCAAAAGCAGTACCAAGAATTTCTCGACTCTTAAAAATTATTGAAGGCCTTGGCTGGGTGCGGTGGCTCACGCTTGTAATCCTAGCACTTTGGGAGGCTGAAGTGGGCAGATCTCTTGAGGTCAGGAGTTTGAGACCAGCCTGGCCAACCAGCCTAGTTTCTTTAGTAGAGAAACCCCACATGCCTGTAGTCCCAGCCACTCGGGAGGCTGAGGCAGGAGAATCACTTGAACCCGGAAGGCAGAGGTTACAGTGAGCCAAGATTGCACCTCTGCACTCCAGTCTGGATGACAGAGAGTCCATCTCAAAAAAATAAAAATTACTGAAGGCCTTAGAGAGCTTTTGTGGATTACATCTGTTGATATTTATCACATTAGAAATAAAAGCTGAAATGTTTTAAATGAACAGTTCATGTTAACATAAGTAACATTACACTTATGAAAAATAACTATTTTCTCAAACAAAAAATTTTAGTTAAGAATCTTATTGGCTTCCATTTTTGCAAATCTCTGTAATGTCTGGCTTGACAGAAAACAGATGGACTCTTGTAGCGGTTTTCTGCATTCACTTGTTTTTTCGTTTGTTTGTTTGTTTTTCTTTTTTAGCCTCCCAGGGCTTCCTCGCTATGTGATGCCTTGTTTTATTGAAGTTTATGAAGAAAACTGGGCAACACAGTGAGATCCCATCTCTACAAAAAATAAAAAACTTAGCCGGGCGTGGTAGCACATGCCCGTAGTCCCAGCTACTCAAGAGGCTGAGGTGGGAGGATTGCTTGAACCCAGGAGGTTGAGGCTGCAGTGAGCTAGGATCACACCACTGCACTCCAGTCTGGATGACAGAGAAAGACCCTGTCTCAAAAAAACAAAAAAAAAGTTTTCACTCAGTGTCTCCCTGAAAAGTCATTGGGAACCCCTGGGGGTCTACATTTCAAGAACCATTCCTCTGGATCGGGGTTTCTCAGTCTTGGCCTTGTTCCCGTGTGGCTGGCCGTCCTGTGCACGGGAGGATTTTAGCAGTATCCCCATAGCCTTTACCCACTAGATGCCAGAATTCCACCCCCCACCTGGTAGTTGTGGCAACCAAAAATATCTCCAGATACTTCCAAATGCCTCCCCTACTCCCACCCCCAACAGGGACAAAACCGTCTCTGGTTGGGAACTACTGCTGTGAGATCTTAGGTGACAACTAAGTTTCATCTTGTTGGGGCTGATTTAGAAGCCACATCCAGTTTCACAGAACGGTGCATCAGGATTGATTAGCAGGCTGGCCGCGGTGGCTTGTGCCTGTAATCCCAGCACTTTGGGAGGCCGAGGCAGCTGGATCACCTGAGGTCAGGGGTTCAAGACCAACCTGGCCAACATGGTGAAACCCCGTCTCTACCAAAAATACAAAAATTAGCAAGCCATGGTGGCATGCGCCTGTAATCCCAGCTACTCAAGAGGCTGAGGCAGGGGAGTTGCTTGAACCTGGGAGACGGAGGTTGCAGTGAGTTGAGACTGAGCCACTGCACTCCAACCTGGGCAACAGAGCAAGACTTCGACTCAAAAAAAAAAAAAAAAAGAGAGCTATTGATTAGCAATGTCTGCCATGAGTGCAGGAGGGAGAGTAACAGTGCAGTGTGCTGGGATTGATGAATGATGTCTACTACAGATGCAGAAGAAGAAGCACCAGGTACAGCGGGGGTGGCCCCGTATAGGTCTCAGCTAGCTGAGGCCCCTGGGGCTCTGTATGCCAGATGGCCCCTGTCCTTGCCTACTTCTTCCTTCTGGGCTCCTCTTCCCGTAGGTGTTCATTGAGGATGTCAGCAGGGAGTTTGTGGAGGAGTTCATCTGGCCGGCCATCCAGTCCAGCGCACTGTATGAGGACCGCTACCTCCTGGGCACCTCTCTTGCCAGGCCCTGCATCGCCCGCAAACAAGTGGAAATCGCCCAGCGGGAGGGGGCCAAGTATGTGTCCCACGGCGCCACAGGAAAGGTGAGGCACCTGGGAAGGGCCGGGCAGAGGGAGATGGAGGCGGAGGGGTGTGGGAAGGAGATGAGCACCCCTCGAGCGGTTTCCTGGTGTGCCTCCGGGGCAGACTTGGTGCAAGGCAGCTACATGGCTTTGTTTAGACCCCAATGAGAGGGGTAACAGCTCGCCCCTGCGCTCTGTGCACTGTGGCACCTGAACGCCCATTCTGAGTCCTCACCTCCACCTTCTGCTGTGGGAGCGATGTCACCCCATTTGGCAGACTTGCTGCTGAGGCCTGGGGACATTGTCCAAGGTCGCATTGGCCAAGGTCACTGCGTGAGTCCCCCAGGGGACACGCAGGAAAGTGTTGAAAACCCTGAGTTGGCAGAGTAGGGTTCAAAGGCAGCTCTGCTGCTGGCTTGCCGTGTGTCCTCAGCCAGGGCCCTTCTCCCCTTCCTGAACCTCAGTTTCTTCATTTGCAAGATGGGGCTCATGCCATGTCTTAGTTTCCCAGGGCGAGGGTAACAAAATGTCTCAAACTGGTGGCTTAGAACACAGAACTGTTCTGCCTCATGGTTCTGGAGGCCTGAGGTCCATAGTGAGGGCATGGGCAGGGCCACGCAGCCTCTGAAGGTGCCAGGAAGCCTCCGGCTCAGGCCTCTCTCCAGCTTCCAGTGGCCTCTGGTGTCCCTTAGCGTGTGGCTGCGTCACTCCTGTCCTTCCGTCCTCCATCTTCCCAAGCTGTCTTCTTCCTGTATCTCTGCATTGTCTTCCCTCTGCTTGTCTGTTTACCTTCCCCTTGCTACAGGAACCCGTCTTGGATTAGGGCCCTTCAATGACCTCATCTTAACTTGGTTACTTTTTGTGTGTGTGTGTGGGGGAGAGGGACAAAGTCTCACTCTGACGCCCAGGCTGGAGTGCAGTGGCTCGATCTTGGCTCACTGCAACCTCTGCCTCCCAGATTGAAGCAATTCTCCTGCCTCAGCCTCCTGAGTAGCTGGGATTACAGGTGTGTACCCCACCACACCCGGCTAATTTTTTGTATTTTTAGTAGAGACGGGGTTTCGCCATGTTGGGCAGGCTGGTCTTGAACTCCTGACCTCAAATGATCCACCAGCCTTGGCCTCCCAAAGCACTGGGATTACAGGCGTGGGCCACCATGCCCAGCCTTAACTTGGTTATTTCTGTTAAGACCACATGAGGCCACATTCGGAGGGACTGGGGTTAGGACTTGAACCCATTATTTTGTGGAAACACAAATCAACCCATCCCGTACCCCTTCCCTCCGGGCCGTGTGTCCCAGTGCAGACTGCGGGGTCCCCGTGGGGTGCAAGACAGGAAGCCCCCTGCCTGCTGCTCTTCGGAAGGCAGTCCTTGAGAAACCAGATTCCTGACAATGTTGGCAACTGTCAGCCGATGTTTTTATAAAGACCCAAGTCATGAGCTCTCAGTCAGCGGACAGCATGCCAAGAGCCTGGTACAGGAATTGACTGTTTACCAACCCCACAGTCAGAAGGCTCGGAAACTCCCCAGTGACGGGGAGCTCACTACCTCGCCTGCCCGGGCTGGTCAGGGTGCTGATGGTGGGAAGTCCTGGCTCACTGTGGGAGGTCCTGGCTCACTGTGGTGCAGGGACACACACAGCTAAGATGATGATGGAGGAGACGCGGTTGATTTGAGGGTGGCCTGGGAGACAGCCACCCACCAGGATGGCACCTGTCATGTCTTTGAAAGTCCAAGTGTTCATTTCTTCACCGGAGCACTGGTTCAGCAAGCTTGCACTGGGTATCTGCTGGGAGTT
The DNA here is from genome assembly GCF_000001405.40 of Homo sapiens. NCBI lineage: Eukaryota > Metazoa > Chordata > Mammalia > Primates > Hominidae > Homo > Homo sapiens. The sequence goes on from NC_000009.12 coordinate 130,460,367, forward strand.
GGGTGCTTGCTGGCATTGGCACAGTGCTAACTTCTTGGGCTCATTGCGTACCTTCAGAGAGCCCATTTCCTGGCAAGAGAAGAGAAAATGGATGTGTGATGAGGAATGGGAGTGGGGCCAGGGGTCTGTGCCAGGGAACTGCGGGAGCAGCAGGCAGGGGCTGAGGATGAGTCTAGAGGAGTGAATAATGGCATGGAAGAGTGTGAGAGGCAGAGGGAACAGCCTGTGGAAAGGCTTAGAGCCAAGAGGCCCTGAAGGACAGTCTGTCTGGGGCTGTGGAGCAGGAGCTATTGCTGTGGGGGAGGCAATAGGGCCAGGACTGGGCTGAGGCCATGCTGGGAGGTTTGGCTTCATCCTGAGGGCAACTGATTAGTGGGTGGAAGGAGGTCTCAGGTTGGATGGAGGTGGCCAGTGACTACCCCAGCGAGATGCTGGGGAAGAGACAGGGGAGAGCTTCTCACAGACTGCGGCCTTGGTTTTTACTGTCACTCCAGCTGTGGATGATGGGATGGTAGGAAACCAGGCAAGGAGGTTTGGGCGGGCCTGAGCTGTTGGGCAGGACCGTGTGTATGCTGCCATCTGTGCAAAGGTGGTGGCAGAGGAGGAGAACCCAGAGGATCAGGACTGGGCGACACAGCGAGACTCTGTCCCAAACAAAAAAAAAAGCTCCCGACCCATCTGCCTTAATGGAAAGAGCTGGATCGTGAGCTTCCTATCCCAGAAGGCATACAAGCCGAGGGCAGGGGATCAGAATTCTGGGAGGGGTCCTGCCCTCAGGTCTTTCCAACGGTACCATTAAGGTTCAGTAGGGCGGCATTCAGGTCTGGTGGAGTGCATGGGTGGGTGGGTGAGTATGGGTGGGTCGGCTCTGGCTCAGGCAGTTCCCGGGTCCATGCGGAGACCCCCACCCCGGACCAGCCCACATTTAGCCTGCAACAGCCTCCCGCAGCCGTGTGCGCCCCTCCTCCATGTGGCCACCAGAGGGCGCCAGAGGCTTGGGTTTGAGGCCTTGGGGGCCGACAAAGGCGGGAGGAGGTGGCGGCACCACCGGGGTCCTCTGTTCCCCATCCTGGACCTGCAGGGCGTGGTTCTGAGGAGAACGCCCCCCAAGCTAGTGCTATGGCCGCTCGGGACTTGGGGGCGTCCCTGCATTCACACTCAGAAGACCCAACAGGGACGGACTCCGGGGATGCCGGGGAGTAGGTGCTACCTGGCACAGCCACCTCTTTCCTGGGGTTGACAGGCAAGGCGTACTTCTGCGCCTCAGTGTCCCTTTATGACAGTACCCAGGAAACCCCCAACAGCCTCTGGAGACAATTTCCGAGAACTGGGGGTATGAGTGGAGAACCAGGAAGGCTGGGAGCGAGGGGAATCCAAGGCCTTGGAGGTGCTGGTCCAGCCTTCAGGCATTTACCCCCTGAGTAACCACCCAGCACCACCATCCCATGAGTATCCACCCAGCACTGCCCCGGGCGCCATCACGGGGGACGGGCCAGGTGGAGGCTTTCGGGTCTTTGGGCTCAGGGAAGGTGACAGTGAAATGTTGGGGGGACAACGGATTGGCCTGGGATGTGAGGGGGAAGGGCATCCTGTTTGCTGGAACCGCCTGAGCCCAGCCCTGAAGGCAGAGGCGGAGGCAGCCTCCCTTCCCAGCACCCCGTCCAGACAGCACCTGGTGCAGAAATTGAGCCGCACTCTCCCCTCCCATGCCCTGCTGCCAGCCCCACCCCTGCCCACCCAGAGAGCTGCACCGAAGCTGGGGTGGCCCTTGCGGGGCTCCTCTCTCCCCCTAGTTTTGGAAGAGGGGCCTGGAAATATGATTCTGAGACTCTAGCCGGGGAGCGAGAGTTTTGTAAATGGCACCATCTGTATGGGTGCCCCAGGGCAGATGGGAGACCCCAGGCCCCCCAGTCCCAGTGGGACCGTGTTTACATGCATGTTTACACACGTGTGCACAAATATCAGCATGCGGACACTCGTGTGTGAGACACTACATCCTCCTTCTCCCCGGAAAGCTGCCAGGAGCTGCCCTGGTGCTGGGGTCTTGGGGTTCAGAGGGGGAAGGATTAGACTGGCCTCCTTGGCTCTTGCCTGAGACGAGGGCAGAGTTTGAACCAAGGAAGCGTTTGTTTGGCCTCTTCGAGGGTCTCTGGCTCCTGAACAGATGGGTGTCCGCATGGCAGCATCTGGATGGGCAGACAGCAGCCCAGCCGTGCCTGGCTGGTGAGGCACAAGCCGTCTTTGTGTTGGGGAAACATGAAGCTGTGGGGGAAAATAGCTGGGCCATGCAACGTCGGACCATGCCTTACCATCTAAAATGAGGCTGTCTTTTAGTTGCTCCAGGAACGGGGCCGGCTGGGGGTCAGCAGGCAAATGTGGCCGCCCCCACCTCAGTGTCCTCATCCGTAAGATGGGACTAATAGAACCTGCCTCCTGGGGCTGCTCAAAGGATTCAGTGAGTTAATTATGCATGGAGCTCAGCTGGGAAGCCTGAGTGTGAACCGTTAGGATGAGCGAGTTTGCTGTGTGGCCCTGGGCAAGTGGCTGCACCTCTCTGAGCTTCACTTTCCTCACCCATAAAATATGGCTAAAAATCCCCCTGGCCCTGGGGGCCTCTCTGAGTGACAGCACATAGTAGGTGCTCACTAAAGGGGCTGCATGGAGGGTGAGTGAGGCCAGCCCAAGGCCTGTGCCGCACACACAGCTCCCAGCTCTGCAGAGAGGCTGAACCCTGGATTCTGTGCCACCTGACGAGAGTCTGGAAAATAGCATGTAATTCCCACCGCTGCCTGGCTGCGCCCATGCAGTTTTCACAGTAGGCAAAAGGTCCCTCTGTCATTTCCACAGCGCTTAAGTCTCCCTCTGGGCTGCCGAGCCCACGGGGAAGCAGGAGACGTGCGCGGCCATTTTCTCTCTGGGGACAGAGCTGGGCTGGCGGATGCCTGCGCTGACCCCGGCCTCCTCCTCCTCGGCATCAGTGTGGACGGTGGTCCCGGCTATGTCGGGGGTAACGTTCACAGCTCAGTGGGGTGTTGAGGTGTCTCCATTTGCCCACAGAGGATGCAGGCGAGGCAACCTGCCCGAGGGGGTGGCTGTGGTGCTGGGGACCTGGGCTTGGGTCCCGGGCCTGCCCTGGCTGTGTGTCCTTGGACTGGTTCCTTTCCCTTCCTGGGCCTCAGTTTCCCTCTCTGTGCAGAGAAGAGCTGAGGAGCAAAAGGCCCTCAGTGGTCACCTAGTTCCACCTCCTCCCTGACACCAGCCATTGAAGAGATGCGGAAACTGAGGCTCAGAGAGGTGACAGGGTTCCCAAATGTATGGGTATGGGGGAGTCCAAGCACCCTGGTGCCCCAGCCCTGAAGTGAGCTTGATTTGGGGCAGGGCAGGGTCAGCAATGTGGGGGCCTTGAGGAAGAGACTATAGTGCGAGCTCTGGGGCTGCAGGAGCAGGGCCTGGCCCCCCAGGTCTTGCCAGTGGCTGGGCCTCCAGCTCCAGGGGGTCAGATGTGTCCTGCACCCACCCACGTGACATGTGTGCCCTCTCCTATACTCTGCCATGTCCCCAGACGTGCACATCTCCCTCCTGCCACATGCCCACACATACACGACCTACACTGCATGACCTCACATGTGTACACGCTCTGCCCAGCTCTGTCTCCGCCACGGGCTGTCCTTGTCCTCACGTCCTCCCCCAGACTCCAGAACCCCCATCCTGTGGCTCCTGACAGCCCTCTGTTCTGCATTGCAGGGGAACGATCAGGTCCGGTTTGAGCTCAGCTGCTACTCACTGGCCCCCCAGATAAAGGTAGGATGTGGCTCCTCCCCTTAGCAGGGAGCACTAGCATCTGCAGCACCTGATGGGGAGGAGGGCACAGGGTTCTGGGAGATTCCACAGGACAGGCACAGAATCTCCTCCGTGGCAGGGGTGCCCATCGGGTGGACAGCCTGCTGGGGAGGCTCCCTTCGCTGGGGCCAGCTCCAGGGGACACACTTTCTTCCCCGCCATTCATTCTTCCCGGAGAGGCTGTCCAGGTGCTGGGGCACGGGATAGAAAGTCCCTGCCACTCTTCAGCCACATCCCTGGCATCCCAGGTGTGGGCAGGCATGGCTCTGGCACCCCAGGTGCGGGCAGGGATGGCTCTGGCACCCCAGGTGCGGGTGGGGATGGCTCTGAAACGTGGTTGCTGGTGTCTGGGATGCTCAGAGCCCTCCGAGCCCCAGTCAGAGCCCCCAGCTATGCCTGGCTCCTCCCCAGGCCACCTGTGCCTGGTCCCCAGCATCTCTTGAGCCTTTCCTGGGGTGGGAATCACCAGGATCTCAGGGCCTCAACCGCCCTGGCCCGTGGCATGTCACCCAGGCAGGAGGGCACCTGTGGGTATTGCCCAGACTGCTACTACCATCCCCACCCCTCCAGCTTGACCTTGGACCTGGCCTGCGTCCATGCATGAATGATGGACACGTTCCTTCCTTCACTCGCTAGCTCATCCTTCATCCAGTGTCTACTGAGCACCCACTCAGCTCCAGGGGTGCCGAGTGCAGGGCCCAGGGCAGGGCCGAGCAGTGGGAGTTTGAGGCACACTGCCGCTGCAAGCTGCCCAATTTTTCTAGTAGCCATATATATAATATATAAATATTTTTATATAATATGTATTACATATAAATACATATGTTTTATATATATATATATATATATATTTTTTTTTTTTCTTTTTCTGGAGACTCGCTCTGTCACCCAGGCTGGAGTGCAGTGGCACAATCTCACTGCAACCTCTGCCTCCCAAGTTCAAGCAATTCTCCCTGACTCAGCTCCTGAATAACTGGGACTATAGGCATGCGCCACCACACCTGGGGTTTCAGCATTTTGGCCAGGCTGGTCTTGAACTCCTGACCTCGTGATCTGCCCGCCTTGGGCTCCCAAAGTGCTGGGATTACAGGCGTGAGCCACTGCACCCGGCTGTAGTAGCCATATTAAAAAATAGAAAAATGAAACAAGTGACATGATTTTAATAACATGTTTTACCGAAACCGATATATCCAAAATATTATCATTCCTCCTATAATCAATGTAAAAAAATAATTATTAATGTTTACATTCTTTTTTCTTCTGTGTTGAGTCTGCAAGACCCAGAATGTGCTGCATGCAGGCATGTCTCGCTAGCTGGCTGGATTTCAGGTGCTCTGAATGGCCACCCGTGGCTTGTGGCCACCTGTGGGCAGCACAGGCCGGGACTGAGCTCTTTTGAGGCCGCTTTGGGCTCAAGCTCTGGAAGAGTTGCCCCCTCCTAAGCCCCCAAGGGGCTCACAGGAGTTTCCATTTTGTTCTTTCTAAGAGGAATCTCTTTCCCCGTCCCTTTAACCAGCTGGTAGCTCTTGGGATGCGTGGCCTGGAGGTGAGCCGTAATGAGCTCTAATGATCTGTTTTGACCCCAGACACCAGGCAGCTCAGTGGCTGGGACAGTAGCTGCTTGTTGACTTGCTGCCAGCGAGGCCGCAGGACGGGGCCCTCCCTCGGTTCCCACAGCAGCTTGTGGGGCCAGGGTGTCCAGTTTCGAGGTCTTTGTCTGCAGAGGCCAAGCCCAGGCACTGAGATGGGATTGGGGCAGGGGCCAAGCTGCTCCAGGAGCTGGGAGTAGGGCTGTGGTCTTCCCATGGCTGCTCTGAGGGGCTGAGGAGGTGGCGGGCCCCTTCCATTGCCCTGCACCACTGTCAGCTCCACGGCCCAGCAGCCAAATGACATCTCCACCCCCACACACACATGCCCCCGAGTCCTGCTCAGAGGCAGGGGCCTGGTGAGCTCCAGGGCTGAGTCGGGGGCTCTTTTTACCAGCTCAGGCCGAGGGGCTCAAGGGGAATGAGCTTGGTCCCTCAGCCAGGCTCAGAGTCTTCCCCCACTTCTTTCCCTTCCACACCCAGAGAAGTGGGTGGGGGGCAGCCTATGCCTCTCTGGGCCCCCGACCACACGTGGGGCCAGGCCAGCAGCGGCAGCTCTGTGGACTCTCCCTGGGTCACGGCAGTGGCCCTGTGGCTGAAGGTGCTGGCAAGGACCATGAACCCCGTCTAGTTCAAACTCTCAGGTCTCATCTGGGGAGACTGAGGCCCAGGGAACAGGGACCCCCTTCTCACCCCAACACACCACCATTCTGCCATGGAGTGCAGGCTCCGTCCAGCCAGCCCCGGTGAGGGAGTCTGTGTCCTTCCCCTCCTTCATGGGGCTCCCTCTCACCCTCACAACAGCATCCTCTCTGGGGACATGCTGGAGACCCCCATGGGCCCCTCCCAGGAGAGGCCAGCTCTGCAGCTTACAGGCCAGGGGAAGCCCACAGCTCGGCCCTCCCGGCTCTGACCCCTTGTCCTATGTCCAGGTCATTGCTCCCTGGAGGATGCCTGAATTCTACAACCGGTTCAAGGGCCGCAATGACCTGATGGAGTACGCAAAGGTATGGCCGAGTCTCCCCACCACCCCCAACCTTTCCCTATAGCCCCCTTCCCGGGCACGTCCCTGCTGGGGGCTGTCTGAGCCAGTGGCCTAGGCCGGGACTGACCCCATGTGATGGGGGATTGAACTTCCACCCCAGCTGCCTACACACGTGGCCTCTGTCCCCTGGGCTGACCCCACAGAGGTGTGGTCATCTGCCAGCCCGTTGCCAGGGCGGAGCCGCTCTGAGGCCATTTCCCAGTCCCCCGAGCCAGAGGACACAGGGCTCACTCTCTCTCCTGCTCCCTGGGAGGCGGAGACCAGAGCCCTGCTTGCCACCTCCGCAGTGTGTGTGTCTTGGTGTGTGTCACTTGGGGGGATGGCTGGGGGATGTGATGGCCGGCCGGGGGGATGTGATCGGGAGCTGTTCTCCCAATTCCCTGGATACTAATTGCCCCTAGCGCTTTCCCCGGGAACAGGTAGGCGCTCCAAGGGACAGTCGCAGACAAAGCCTTTTATGGCACCAGCCCTTTTTGAAGTACAAGTTGCAATAAAACATATTAGAAGTTTTGCATCAAGATCCTTAGCCGCTCCCCAGGGCACCTTTCTTTTTAGCGACTCGATGGCAGCCCTTGACAAACAGCCTCAATCAATCAGGCCGGGGAAAAGCAACTCAGCGCACACACCAGAAAATTGCTCAGGTTTTTAAATAGCAGTCGCCAAGGCTGGCTGTGAGCTCTCGCTGCAGCCAAGGTGCCGCGTGGTAGGGGAGGCGGCAGGGACGCAGCCCTGCCCCCGCCGCCAGCAACCCATTAAGACCTGGAGTGCTGGGAGGGAAGACCTTCTCCACCATCTGTTGTTTTATTATTAAGAGGGGAGTTTACAAGAGCAAGCCCATATGTTGCCAAACAAATTGTCAAATAGCAGAGCTATTAAGGGAGCCGGGTTGGTGAGGTTTCTCCCCTGGTCTCCTTGATGATATAGAATATGAAGCGTGTTTCATCTTTAAGAATAATGAATTGGAGCCCCCACCCAGCTCTACCCTCACGCCTCGAGTCCTGGATAGAGAGGGGCAGGGCCGACCCATACGTTGCCCTTTCTTTCCGTTAAGTCCCCAGACAAAAGCAGCTTCTGGTTTTTCTAGCATAGATGAGTCTCAGGAGCACACTGCTGTCCTTCCTTCTCAGGTTTTGAGGAGAAGGTGCTGAGCTCAGCTTCCATCCCAAATAACCTTTTGAGCCGGAAAAGTTTGCCAGGGAAAGATGAGCATGGCCCCCTCGGCCACCTACCCTCTCCTGGAGATGGGTTTCATCAGAAATGACTGTGGGGAATCTGAGCACGTTCTAGAAGGAGGCAGAGGCAGTGTTTCTGCACCCAGGAAATGTCAGAATGACTGAGCAGTGATGAGGCCTCCTCCAAAATTCTGAGCCAGGCAGGATCTGAGATGGATGACACAAAAATCAATGGGGCTTTCAAAAATCTCTGCTTTCAAGACGCTTCGGTAGCCAAGGCAAAAAGGCGCCAGAGGACTCATAAAAAACATGCATTTGCTTCGCTGGCCATCCTCTCCCAACCCATCGTCCAACGGAAAAACACTCAGAACCACCCCATCCTTGTCACTGTCACCATAATTTAAAAAAAAATTTTTTTTAGAGACAGTGTCTCACTCTGTCACCCAGGTTGGAGTGCAGTGGCACAATCCTAGCTCATTGCAGCCTCAACCTCCTGGGCTCATCTGACCCTCCTACCTCAGCCTCCTGAGTAGCTGGAACTACAAACGTGCCCTAGTACATCTGGCTAATTTTTGTTTTTCATATATTTATTTATTTATTTTTTTACAGACAGGGTCTCACCATGTTGCCCAGGCTGGTCTTGAACTCCTGAACTCAAGTAATCCACCCTCCTTGGCCTCCCCAAAGTATTGGGATTGCAGGTGTGAGCCACCACACCCAGCTTTGGCTAATTTTTAAATTTTTTTTTGTAGAGACAGGGTCTTGCTATACTGCCCAGCCTGGCTATAATTATTATTTTTAAAGCCAGACTACAAGGTGGGAGCTAGAAACAGGATGGTCTCACGTTGTCTACATGTTGGAGATCGTTTTGTTTTTTCTCCTCAATTACAATGAGAGTGTGAGGGGAGGCACCTCGGGACCGAGAGAGGCTGGGAAACACAAATCTCTTTGGTCTTGGGAGGGTCATTGTCATTGGCCCCTGTTGCTTTCCTCCCCGCCCTTTAGCCTCTCCTTGCTCCTGGACGGAGGTCCGCTGAGAAGGGAGGCAAAGGTTCTTTCACGCCACCGCCCAAAAACAGAGGCTCCACGGAGCCTGGCCGGCTGCTCTTCTTAGCACCCAGCTGCTGAGCTGAGTGAGGAGCGAGGACGGAGCCCAGCAGGCCACCAGGACATCTCTGCTGGAGAGTCCAGTCTTGCCTTGCACAGGGTCCGGGTACCCATGCCTGGCCAAGGGCACAGGGCGAGTGTGTGGGCTGAAGAGTCTTCAAATTCTAGAGTAGATCGTGGGCTGTGTTTTGTTTTTTTAAATTTCAGTTTTCACGTGTAATATGGTAACTGTTGATGAGATAATCTACACAAACTAAGGCTCTTAGGGGCCCTTAGTGATTTTTTCTTTCTCTTCTTTTTTTTTTCTTTTTTGAGATAGAGTCTCACTCTGTCACCCAAGCTGGGGTGCAATGGCACTATCTCAGCTCACTGCAGCCTCTGCCTCCCAAGTTCAAGTGATGCTCCTACCTCAGTCTCCCAAGTAGCTGGGACTACAGGCGCCTGCCACCATGCCAGGCTAATTTTTGTTATCTTTAGTAGAGATAAGGTTTTACCATGTTGGCCAGACTGGTCTTGAACTCCTGACCTCAAGTGAGCCACTGCACCTGGCCTTGTAGGCTGTTTTAAAATGAGTCTCCTGGCTTTCTAGAAAACCCCGAAACCAGAGCATTTAGCCTCATTTTAATGTTAAGGTGGTGATGGGGAAACAGCTGCTCCCTGCAGGAGGCCTCTAGAATCTCACCATCTTGGGAATGAGCCTGAGTGGGGTCGATCCCATCAGGAGAGAGATGGGAGGGTGACCCGGTGGGGGCTGCCTGTGGTTCCCACAGGGATCCAGTGGGGCTGAGGGGCTGAAGGGGCTCAGAGGCAGAGCATCCAGTCTCGCTGGCTCTGAGGGGCTGGGTGGGGCCCCTTCAGTGCACCCTGTGCCCTATAAGCTTGGGGCCAGGAGAGCAGTGCCAGGTGTCCGAGTGCAGGAGGAGGCTGGAGTGCACGAGCTGGATTCCAGTCGGGCGTCATCAAGGGTGGTGCGGGTCCCCAGGGCGACAAGCCTCATCTTCTTCCTCCTCTTAAGGCTGAGTCAGGTGGGCCTTCCATGCGTGACCTGCAGCCCTCTTAGCCTGGGCCTCCTGGGCAGAGGTGGGTGTCCTCCTGTAACAACAGACTGGGCCATTTAGGAAGCGAAACAGAGCCAGAGCCGAGTGCCTTGGAGACGGGATCTGCTGGGTGTTCCCCTTCTAGGGTCTGCAGAGTGATGTGTGTGGCTGTTGCGCCAGGCCCAGGGAGGGGTGCCCCCAGAAGGTGTGGGCCATGAGCTAAAAGCTCTCCCTGCATCCTACCTGTCCTGGGGTCCACAGGAAGCACTGCCTGGGCTCTGGTGCCAGGTGCCCCGGTCCACAGTGCGAGCGGGTTCACACAAGCCCCAGCTCGTAGGGTGGTGGCGGGGCTGGTTGGCTGGTGCCGGGAGACCTGGCTGGGCATGGCACCTGCGTGCTTGCTCAGTGCTTCAGGGGTCCTTGAGATGTAGACTCAAAGTCTTCTGGAAGGAACCTCCAAGGTCAGCATTGCAGACACACGGTCCTGCAGTTTCTCTGGGGCATGTCCAGCAATAGGGTCCCCCCAGGGAGGTGACCGTGACCAACACTAGGAGGTAGCCAGGGTCTTGTCTGAATGGGGGCCAGAGTTTGGGGCTCTCTGAAAAAGCAGGGCCCCTGGGACGGACCTCACGCGTCCTTCCAGCCGCCTTACCTCCACCTGTGCTGTCTCTTTCCTGCAGCAACACGGGATTCCCATCCCGGTCACTCCCAAGAACCCGTGGAGCATGGATGAGAACCTCATGCACATCAGGTAAATCCCACCCTCCACCCATCCTTGGTCCTCCCGGGCTCATTCCAAAGGACGGCCACGCGCTGCCCCAGGACGTCCTGGTGACCCCCACACCAGTGGTCCCTGCCCTCGGGGAGCTGAGAGGCCTCAGGCAGGACAGAGGTCGAAGCGCCCGGCTCATGCACTGCCCTCATTGCAGTTCTGCTGAGTGTTGTTGGGGAGATAGATCATGGGGACCCGGCCTCATCAGGAGTATCAAGGAGGGCTTCTTAGAGGAGGTGGCATTCAAGGATGGAGAAGAGGCCCAGATGTGGCACAGGGGAAGAGTGTTTAAGGCAGAGGCAGAGGCCCCCCCAACCACGTGCAGAGCCCCGGGGCAGTCCCCAGAAGACAGGTAAAGGCCCCAGCTCTTTCTTACAACCTGCAGCTCCACGGGTGACTATGGTGGGCCCAGAATGTTTCAGGCAGGTTGGCAGCAGATGCTCTGGCAGAGAGTAAAAGGCAGACCAGGCTCATGGGCACAATGGGGTGTGTGTGTTGGGGGATGGGGACATGCCATGTCCCTCCCCAGCTGACCCTGTCTTTCCTTTCCCCTCCGCAGCTACGAGGCTGGAATCCTGGAGAACCCCAAGGTAATCCCCCAAACCCCATCTCCTCCCAGCTGGCCACCTTTGGTGGTAGCAGCTCCATGCCGATGCTGTCTGATGTATTTATAGCCTAATTTGAAATTTCACGGGGGCCAGCCGTGGGGCTGGGGCCGAGCCCTGCCTGTGTTCCCCGACCCCCGCACTGGCCCCCCTCTGCCCACCGTCTCCTCGCTGCATTTGAAGACCTCCCCCCGCCCTTCCTCTTCTAATTGCCTCTGGGATGAACAGGGGAAGGAAATATCTCAGGGCAGCATAGAGAGAGAGTGTGATTGTGAGACAATAAAGAAGTAATTAGGCAGATGAGACACTTGGGGGAGGGCCCAGCCTGTGCCCACCAGCTCCCAGGCTGTGCTGCTGGAGTTTTGGTTGTGGGGGGTGGGGGGAGGCATGGCTGAGAGCCCTAGGCCCCATTTGTCTGGATCCGTGTTGCACACCCGCCACCACCGGCCACCCTGATCCGGTCCCAAGCTTCCCGGGCGGGCTGGACTGGGCCCTCAGCTCTGTTTGAAGTTTCGGGTTTCTCTCCCGGGGGTAGGGGGCTTCTTTGTGTCTACCCCTGCCCACTGTGGGAGGTGGGGGAGGCAGGGCCAAATCTATCATGGGAAGAGAAAAATCTCTTTGTCCCTGAGGGAATGTGTCTTAGTTCCCGGGCCCAGCCCCACACCCCGGGGAGGCTGGTTTGGAGGCGGGAAAAGTGTGCTTTTTGAGGGGATGCAGCTGGGCCTGGGGGAATCAAGAAGACCAGCTGGAGGGGAGGGTGCCCGGGGAGGTTTGGTGAAATTGGGGAGCGCCAGAGCCCCGCCCAGGATCCCCCAGGGCCCGGGCGTCTGTCACTCTCACGCCCGCGTGCCGCCCCCTGGTCGGTGTTGGCTGTAATATCACATGGCAGCCACCATGTCTGGGGAGCGGGCCGGGGGTGGCATTGTCCTGGCTCAGTTCCTAGGACACTGGCTGGGAGCATCCTCACTTTATGGTTGAGGAAACTGAGGCCCGGGCACCGGCTGCTCAGGGCGAGGGAACGGGCCCTGGGGCTGGTGCCCTCCAGCTCTGTGGCTCCCCTACTGCCCACGGCCCCTCCCTGTCCAAACCTGTCACTCAGGAGAGCTGCCACCCTTGCCCCCTGGGGGCTGATGGCCCCTGTGTGTGGCTGCTGCCTGCTGGTCACAGGTTTTTCTAGTTCATGCTCTGCTGACCCCACAACACTCAGGCCAGCCACCCTAATTAGCCAGTCAGTCAGCTCCAAGGGAGGCAGGGAGGCCGAGCCTGCAGGGTGGCTTCCAGGCAGGGCATCCTCTCAGGCCCGTGGGCCCCAAGCATGCTGGGCAACCACTCCCGGCCATTCTCCAAGCAGCCTATGGCCTCTGCAAGCAGCCTATGGGGGCAGAGAGGAGGCCCCCCCAGAATAGAGGACCTCAGGATTGAGAAAGCAGAGCAAGGCCAGAGGGAAATCACCCCCTCGGACCGTGCAGGAGGGCATCCGGGGCCTGGAGCAGGTTACTGAGCTACGGTGGGCAGGTCCTGCGCCCTCCCAGGCCTCCTGTCTCATGAGGGCATTGGGTGGAGAAGTCAGTACTAAAGAGAATCTGGATTAAGGATCCTGCTACCTCACCCACACTTGGGTCCCAGAGACAGGAAACCCGAGTCTAAATCCCAACTTTTCTTCTTATTGCTGTGCAACCTCGAGCAAGTTACCCAACCTCTCTGAGCCTCCAGTACTCCTTGCCCAAAGTGGGAAAACACAGCACCTCCCTCCTAGGGCATCTAAAGCGCTTGGCCTGTCTCAGGGCAAGCCCTCAGTCATGCAGCTGGGGGTCCCATGCTACCTCTTCATGGGAGGAAGGGTCCAAGGTCCTCTCAGGGACCCCTCTCAAGAAAGGCTGGGCTGGGCTAAGCTGGGTGTGAGTCAGGGGAAACATCGTTCCTGCTGAGAGGCCCGGGGCACCCAGAGTCCCACCCAGGCACCCAGAGTCCCACCCAGGCACCCAGAGTCCAGTCACTCTGGAAAGAAGTTTGCCCCAGCCATGCAGACTCCCCAAGGGCTTTGTGCTGAGGGTGGGGCTCAACGTCAGGACGCACCCTTGCATCCCTGGACCTGGCAGCCCTGTCCCCCTCGGGATGAGCTCAGGGGAACAGAGCCTGGGGAACCCGTGCCCCTCCCCCTCTCCAAAAGAAGCCAGGAGACCTGCGGAAGGGAGGGCTTGAAGGCAGATGGCTGAGCCATTTTCTGCCTCCGTGAGGGCTGATTGAAGGGCAATGAGGCAGCTAATGCGAAGAAAGATAGAAATTTACTTGCTTTAACTTCATACGGTCCACAGTGAAAGAGTTCATTCAGTCGCCGGCCCGCCATAGCTGATGGATGAATAAACCATTTGCGGCATCGATCATGCCTCTACATCATGGTTTAGTTCATGGGCCATTTGCTTCCAATTTCTCCTTCTCGGGGCCTGTTTCATGCTTTCTTTCGCCCTCTCCCCCTAGCCCCCACCCCGACTCTCTCTCTCTCTTTTTCTTCACTCTCTTCCCTCCCCCGCACCCCCCCCCCCCCACAGATGACATTGGAAGTGAGCCCTCCCGCTGGGAGGGATAAATAGATGGCATTGATACTTGGCAACAAACTATTTGTCATTAGAACTGGGCTTTTAGGAAGGAGAGTAAAAAGAAGGCAGGCGCTCGAGCCACCGCGGAATGCAAAGCAAATGTCATTTTATTTCTATTTAGTTATTTTATTTAATCGGCGCTGTCAGGTGCCTGCCCGACAGCTGCCTCTGACTTCCGCTGCGGTCTGCAGAAACTCGTCCTCCAGTCTTCCCATCCCCTCTCCTTCCAAATGCACACACTGTCAGCCTCCACTTCGGTCTGGGGCTCCCTCAGGAAGTGTGGCGGGAGAGAAAGTGACAAGCAACGCATTGAAAACAGTTGACAGTCGGGCCCAGCGCAGGTGGAGGTGGGAGAGAGCTGGGCTTGGGTGGGAGTGGGGCCCTCGTACCGGCACCCTGGTTGGAGGCTTGGGGGAGTCCCAGGCAGCTGGAGATGGGGCTGTGGAGTTGTGTGGTCACCCCAAGATCCAGTCCAGTTCACTTTACCTTTTTGCTGAGGATGAGCCTTGGGACCCGTCTGTGCCCAGGGAATGCTGCAGTTGGCAGGGTGGGCCAGCCCTGATGCCTACCTGTGGCTGTGATGCTGGCTGGCTCTGGCCACAGGCCTCACCCTGTTTCTCAGCCCAGGTTACTACAGCAGCTGGGAACCAGCATAAGGTGGCGGAAAGAGTCCCTGTGTTTAGCTTCCAAAGCATGGTTTGGAGAAGCCACCTCTCAGCCTTGGCTTTCCCTGTGGTCCATAGAGGCATCAGGCTGGGGGTCCCTCAGGGCCCCTCCTACCTCCTGGAGTCTGTCTTCAGGGAAGGTTCTGGGTTCTTGTTCCTGCCCCACAAATGGGCACTGATGCAGGGATACAGCTGGCCCTGAGTCACATCGTACCTTGGAGGTGGGGGTGGAGGATCCACCACAGTCCCTGTCTTAGAAGGATCAATTGTCCTGGTTTGCCCAGGACTAAGAGGTTTCTTGGGACAAAGGACTTTCAGTGCTAAAACCAGGAGAAATCAGGGCACTTGGTCACTCTAACACAGAGCCACAGGCAAATGACCACAGGTGAGCTTCCAAGGCACTTATGTAGCCCCATCCCATGCAGAATGAGGAGGAGGCTGGGCCGAGCATGTACCCCCAGAGTGAATTTCAGCTGCCCTTTCCACCTGCAGAGCATGTTCCCGTTTGTACCAGGCCTTCCCTGACATTTTCCTGTGTGTTTTCATGTCCAATTAAAAAATATATATATACTACTTAAATTGTAAGATGGCCAAGGGCAGGTATCATTTTCCCCATTTTACAGATGAGGAAACTGAGGCTGGAGGAAGTGAAGCTTCCCCAAGGCCCCCCAGCCTGAGCTCTTGATCCTGGCACGGGGTAATGCCCATCACTCTAAAATACAATGTGTATTTGGCGAGGACCTCGCGGGGCTCCTGTCCTGAGTGCCAGGGAACAAGTCCCACGTGGTCTCTGCCTGCACAGAACTCACAGTTGTAGCTCCAGTCCCTCCCGCTCAGCCTCAATTTCTTCATCTGTTGATGGGGTAAGAGCGCTTGACCTTCTTACCAAATGGGGCTGCTGAGAACTCAGACTGCAGATGGGAAGCAATACGTGAATGTGTGCAAGGTGTTTTTTTTTTTTTTTTTTTTGGTGGGGGGGTGGGGGACGGAATCTTGCTCTCTCACCCAGGCTGGAGTGCAGTGGTGCAATCTCGGCTCACTGCAACCTCCGCCTCCCAGGTTCAAGCAATTCTCCTGCCTCAGCCTCCTGAGTAGCTGGGACTACAGGCGCATGCCGCCATACCCGGATAATTTCTTTTGTATTTTAGTAGAGATGGGGTTTCACCGCGTTGCCCAGGCTGGTGTCGAACTCCTGAGCTCAGGCAGTCCACCCACCTCAGCCTCCCAAAGTGCTAGGATTACAGGTGTGAGCCACTGTGCCCAGCCGTCTGCAAGGTTTTTAAAGCAAAGATGAGACAGCAGTTCCTGGATGTCAGCAGGTGAACAAGGACCCCAGGCACAGGATGCCCACAGGAGGGACCTGAGCAGTCAGGCCCAAGAGGCCCCAGTCCCCACAGTGGCAAATGTCCAAGCCACGGCCTGGGGGAGCTGGGGCCTCCGAAGGTGGGAGGGAATTTCGAGAGTTTCAGGCAACACGCAGCCCCTCCACCACTGCATCAGACGAGAGGCCCATTTTCCAACACGCCCAAGAAAAAATATACATAAAGGTTGATGTGTTTTCAAATGGGTTTTTGCTTTGCTCTTCTCTTTTCTCCCTGTGAGTATTAACCTTGGGGACCCTGGGGACGGCTCGGCTTGCCAGAGCACCTGCTGGGGTCACAGGCAGTCATTAGCTTTGCGGTCAGTGCAGAATAAACCCCAATCCCGAGCCGGCGAGAGCGTGCGTGCCGCTCCTGGGAAGCCCTCGGAACGCCGCCTTGCTCCTCCAAAGTCACACTTTTTCCTGCCTGACTTGTTCCTCTCCAGCTATTCTACCTCCAGCTGTGGGGGCGTCGAAGAAAAAGATGAGATCAAGTTGAGGGGAAAAATTGTCTGATTTCTCCAGCCCTTTGTTTCCCAGGCCTCTGGCAAGCGAGGCTGGTGCTAGGCTGAGGGCTGGGGACCGGGGGATCTGCCGGACCCCACCAGCTGGTGGGGAAATGGACAGAGGAGAGGGGTGCAGATCCCCGCGGGAGGTGGGCTGTAGGGTGTCCAGGGACTGGTATGTCATCTGCCCACCACTTTCTGTCTTTTTTCAGAACCAAGCGCCTCCAGGTCTCTACACGAAGACCCAGGACCCAGCCAAAGCCCCCAACACCCCTGACATTCTCGAGATCGAGTTCAAAAAAGGTATGTGCCCACCTGTTGGGACTCGAAGGGGGTTGACTTTTGGGGCCCTGGCTCCTTTCCCCTCCCTGCCTGGGAACCTAGGCCCTCTTTACCCCCGCCCTGCATTCCTGGAAGCTAGAGTTCAGGCAGGGGCTTCAAGGTAACGCACAGCCCACCTCCCTGGACAGTACAACCCATGGACCATGGATGCCTCTAGGCTTGGGAGGAACATGCCCTCGGCTACCCATCACTCGGGTTCATGGGCACCAGGTCTGGAATGAGAGCGCTCTAGTCCCTGAACAGCCACTCAACTTTCCTGGGCCTCAGTTTCCTCAGCTGTATCTGAGGATGAAAGAGTGCCTGCTGTTTTCCTGGGGTAGAATGAGGCCTGCAAGGGAGCGTCCAGCCCTGGGCCCTGACCCCGGAAGGTGCTCAGTAAACGGTGAGTGTTGGCGAGCTGGCCTCATGGACCCCTGGGACCCCACATGGAAAGCCTTCGCCAGTCTTCATTGAGCCGCTCTGGGCCTCACCCTGCTGACCCCACGTTCAAAGCTGCGGCCACTCTTGCTCCCCTCGGCAGTGGAGGCTGTCCTGATCGCTCCCTCCTTCTCACTGCTGTCAACAAGAAGCGTTTGCTGACCTGGCCTGAGTGCCTGGGTGCCTGAGCTTGGGAGAGGGCATCTCTTGGCCTGGAGGAAGGATGGAGAAGCGAGGCATGCCCGCCTGGGCTCAGAGGGAGGGCTCAGAGGGCGGGCTCAGAGGGCCTGAAGGGGTACCTTTTCAGGAGGCTGGAGTGATCAGGGAGGCTTCCTGGAGGAGGTGGTGCTGGGCACAGGGGCACCCAAGGACCAGGCGGGGGGCTGGCCCATTCGTCCACAAAGTGGCTGCCCACACTGGAGCTGGGATGAGAGGGAGAGAGGCTCGTGGAGAGGCCTGGCCCGGCTCTGGCGCTCGGCTCTTACCCCGGCTACCACAGAAAGGAGGATAGGGTGGGGAAGCCTCAGGCCGGTGGGGAGGCAGAGCTGCAGATCCCCCTCTCCCCCTTGCTGGTGTGACCTTGACAGCCAGCTTCACCATGCTGGGCCTTGGGTGCACTCATCAAAAAACGGACCACAGGCATGATGCTCACAGGTGCCCGGCATGGTATGTGGAATGGGGTGTCGGAGGCTAAGTGCTTTAATAATCTGCCTCTTCTGGGCCTTTCCCAAGAGCTTGGCCAAGCCAGCGACTGTCTTCCTTGCTCCCCTTCATCTGTCCCAACCTACTGGGGGGCCAAAGAGGACCCCAAAGGCAGCCGGGCCCCCAGGCCTGTTTGCAGGCACAGAGCCTCCCTTTAGGATCATCTCTGAGAAGATGGTGGGAGTGGCCCCAGCAGCACCTCCTGGCTCCCTGCACAGGGCTCCCAGGAGCCTGGAGAGCCGTGAGGGTGGGAGGCGGGTGGCAGGCTGCGGAGGGTCCTGGGCACCAGGCTCTGGCAGCCCTGCCCGAGGACCAGGGCAGCTCCGCAGGCTGAGCTGGAGAAGAAACGTGACCTATTGTCATGATTTGGGGACTGTCTGGAAGAAGAAAAAAAGACCGGAGGAACCCTCCCCTGGCTAGTGCCCATTCACTCTCTAGTTAATTTATTTGAAGTTTTAATCTAATTATTAACTATTTTAAAGGCTAAGAGGCTTTCTCCAGCAGCAGCACCAACAATGTCACCTCTTCTCCCGGGCAGGCCCCATCTAAGGCCCCAGCGAAGGCCGATAATAGGACCGGGGAGGGAGAGAAAGGGAGAGAGGAGAGGCGGGGGGTGGTGAGAGGGGCTTAAGGTTCATTATTGGGCAGACTTACATTTAATAGCAATTTACAACCAAGTTATAAAACCCCTGGAAATGGGGGTTAAGAATGGCGAGGCTGACAGCGCCTTGAGTGAAGCCCCTCCAAGCGGCGCCTGGCTAATAAAGCCTCGAAAGCCGCTATTGAGGCCTGATTGGCACCCGATGGCTCGCTCCATGGTAATGAGCCGGGCAGATGGGTGGGGGATTAGCCGCCAACTTTGAACAGCTTTTCTTTGTCACTGTTTCAGCTCTCTTGTTAGCCCCAATACATTTATTGCTCATTTCACACCGCTCGAGAAAGTGCCCCTTGCTATTCAAAGTCAACCCCGAACCCACCCACTGCCCCCACCCAACCCCTTCCCTCCTGCCACCCCGGACCCAGCTCCTCGGATTCAGGGACGCTGCCGACACCTCGCCTGCTGGAGCGGGCACCGTGTCACCCCCATCAATCAGATGGCTGCGTGTGGGTCTGGGGTACAGGGTCGGGGCGCGGGGTCCGCCTGACAGACGTGGCAGGGGGCTGTGTGTGTGTGTGTGTGTGTGTGAGCGAGTATGTGTGTGCTTGAGCCCAGCCACACCTCGGCCAGGCGGCCCCCGGGTGACTGGTGGGACAGAAGGTGCTCCCGGCGTAAGACAATGGTGGAGCGTGAAATTCAATTAGTTCAGGGCCTGGTTCCAATTTCACAGCCCCTAAATGCAAAAGGGGCAAAGAGAATGGGAGGGTGGGGGAGAGCGTTTTTATTGCATTTTCTCTTTCATTCTGGGGGGCTTTCTCGCCCCTTCTCTCCCTGCAGCAGGCCTCAACCTGCACAGGGCTTTTGAAGGAGTCATTTGGAGTCCATATCTGTCACATCCATTTAAGGCGTTTCGGGAGGAGGGAGAGGGTGGGGTGGCGGGTGCAGACTCCTCCGCTGAGCCGGGCCCAGAGGCCCACTGCCCTCTCTTCCCACCCTAGGGGTCCCTGTGAAGGTGACCAACGTCAAGGATGGCACCACCCACCAGACCTCCTTGGAGCTCTTCATGTACCTGAACGAAGTCGCGTGAGTGTCTGCAGCCCTGTCCGGCCTCTTGGGAACCGCCGTCTCGGGCGAGCACGAGCCTGGACCGTTGCAGCTAATGGTTGTGGCTGAGGCTCAGGGGTGCGGAGCACAGGCCATGTCCCTTCCCCATAGCCACAGAGTTTCCCGGACCAGGGGGACCCATTTGGCAGGAGAGGCTCCGTGGTCCTTAGCCTTGGAAGATAACAACCCCAGGAGGTCTCCTGCCTCCAAGGGATCATTAGGCCGGGGCTCTCAGGCCCTTGGCTGGATGGGAGGCCAGGATAGAAGGAAAGGGAGCAGTAGTTAGCTGTGGCGCTAGGCAGGGCCCCAGGACACAGGGAACGGAAGGAACAATGTGAACTCACACCTGGGCAATCCCTGCTCTCTCTGGGCCTCAGTTTCCCCACCTGTCCAGTGGGCACCTGGACTAGGTGACCCGGCTCAGATGTCCTCTTGAGTCTTAGATCCTGAAATGCTGCCTAATGTGTGGCCTAAGCTGTGCCCACCCTGGGACAGCCCAGCTGGGTGGGTGACTCTGAGCCTTGCGGTAGCGCCCGAACCTAATGGACCAGTTCTTCCCACAGGGGCAAGCATGGCGTGGGCCGTATTGACATCGTGGAGAACCGCTTCATTGGAATGAAGTCCCGAGGTGAGTCTGCTCAGCCTCCCTCAGGGCCTGCCTCGGGACCCAGCAAACCCAGAGATCCCTGAGACCCTGTCCCCTTTGGACGCTACTACCCCCATGCTCCGTGGGCGACCTTGGGCACGTCCTTTCACCACACCCCGTGAGACCGCAGTTTCCCTCCTGCCAAGTGGGGATCGTGGGCCCTTTGCCCCTGACTTTCAGGGTGTTATGAGAAGAGCTGTCCAAGGGCTGGGAGAGGCCCAGGAGGGCCTGGGGAGTCTCCGAGGAGCAGGGAGGCCAGGGCCAGGCCTGGAGGTCAGGCTGTCTTGTGTCTGGGGTGGGCAGGCCGGGTGTGGAGGCAGACCGTGCAGGCCCGATTTCGTGGTCATTAAGGCCGCATGGAGGCCGCCGGCCAGGCAGGGCGAAAATCCTGCCAGGGGTGGGCGCTGTGGCTGCACAGGCACTGGGAGCCGGCCAGGGCCTAAGGACCTGTCCCAGCATCAGGCACGGCTCACTGGCCCTTTTCTCCAGGGATGGGGCTGTGCCACAGTTGGGGCTGTGCCGCAGTTGAGGCTGAGCTTCAGTGTGACATGCCTGCCACCTCGGCTGGCCTCTAGCCTGCCTAGCCTCGTATCCGCCTGTGGCTGGGCCCAGGAGCAGGGCAGTTGGTCCCCAAGCAGGTGCCTCTGTCTTCTCTTAGTAGCCAAAGCCCATGATTCCCTTTGTCAGCCAATCAGCATTTCATCTTGACCACAACCCTCCTCTCCAGGACTCAGTTTCCCCATTCATACACCAAGGGGATCTCAGCTCCCTGAGGGTCTGCCAGTGTGTGATAAAGCCATGCTGTGTTCTTTCTTGGGGGTCCTAAGAGGGAAAGAGCAAGGTTTCAGCAGTTGCAGCCCCTGAATTGGGCACCTGAATTTTTATACTGGTGGTGGGGTCAGGGCTTCCTGTTTCGGTAAATGTTCAGGTCTCTTTGCTTAGGGTTGATTTGAAAAGATACCACAACCAAATATCACCTGGCCACGGTATAGTCACGGCCCCATGTCTCTCAGGCTATTTTTACTAAGATTCTAAAATCCAAAGAGAGCCGATCACCCCATGTGGGCCAGAAGAAAAGGGTGGTGGTCCGGAGGGCAGGATGCCTGCTTCTGGTCTCAGGTTTGCCCTGCCTTGCCCAACAACCTTGGACTTGTCATCTATCGCTAGGCCTCAGTTTCCCCAAGTGTAATGCGGTAGGCGCTGGGAGTTGCATCACTCTGGCTCTGACCTGTCTGCGTTTCCCTGGAAAGGCATGGCAGCATGGACCGGGGCGGGGACGGGCTTGCCTCGAAAGACATGGGAGCGCGGAAGGGGAGGCAGGCTCGCCTCTTTCTTGTGGCTTTAGCTCCTTGCTTGCTGTTATTCAGGAGAAACAACCTAATTGAAGCTCTGGGGAGGCCTTGAGAACAATGTTACTAATTAGCTGCTCCTTTTTATCCGGGCTTACCTTTGTCTCTTACCTATATTAACATGTGATTAGATGCCCCTTTGTCGCAGCCTGCCCTTGGGAGCCAGCGCGGTGTGCACCCTCCAGGGAGAGCTGGGAGGGACCTTGAGGAGCCACAGACCAGCACCCCATTTACAGATGCGGAAGCCAGGGCTGGGGAGGGGTGGGATAGAGGGCTTGCTTCAAGTCCCAGGCACTTTAGTGGCAGGACCAGGACTGCCATCTGGGCCCAGAGTGGCATGGAGTGGAGGGCTAACAGCTTAGACTGGAGTTGGACAGATCTGGGTTCAAACTCATGTATGGTGGCAGGAACTGGTACACTGGAAGTGCTCCATAAATAGCCATCAGTCCCCCGGGCATGTGGAATGGGGACAGAAGCAGCCCCCATCCTCTGGGAGCTGTCAGTGTGGCGGGGGGTGGGGTGGGTTCCAGTATTGCACCTGTCTTATCATAATAAGGGCCTGCCACAGGCATGCCCTTGCCATGCCTGTGGCAGGCATCACCAGTCAATGCTGGCATTATCCTGTTGACTCCAGAGGTATCTCAGGGCTGCTTGCAGGCACTACCAAATGATCAGGATTGGCATACGTGATGAAAGTGTATTGCCTTCCCTATTGGAAAGATAAGGACTGGCCTGAAGTCACTGTGAAATGGCATCCTGTGGGGTGGGGCGAGTCAAGCAGAGTTGAGCAAAAATGAACTGAAGGAGGTGGTTAGTGATGAAAACCTGGAATGCACTATTCTGAATGTGGAATGGTAGCTGACAGCATTCCACGGAGGCTGGACCTTTTTCCCAGAATGGGGGCCTCATCCCCGTAGAAGGTCAAAGCCATGAGATCAACAGTCTGTTCCAATCCCCGTGGCTCCTTACCACCCACCTGGGGAAAGCTTCCTGGAGCCCAGCCTTCACTCTGCCCTGGTACTTTGTGTGTGCTGTTGGAGGCTCTCCCCAAAAGCACAGAATTTAGTCAGTGTCGTACAGGGAAGAAAATCGGGATTCTGACGGCAAGAACTTGCTGTGTGATCTTAGGCAAGTTTCTCCCTCTGGAACTCCAATTGTCAAGGGGCCAGATGAGGAGGTCGTATCATCTCCCTCTGAATGTCCTCACTCACCTATTTTCTTGCTTTGGGTTGGGGAGAGAAGACAAAGTTGCTAGGTAATTTTAGGGTGGTGTCTTGTTTTTATTTCTCTACTCCAAATATTTCATGTGAGAAGGAAAGAGGAGAGACGGTAAATTAGGGCACTGTGGATTCCCCCATGACAAGGTTTTTATTAAGTGTACAGTAATGAGAGAAGCTGTTAATCGTCAATTATATTGAGGGCAGAACAGAAAGATGCTATTGTCCGTATCTCGGTGTACAAGGGGAACATGTCATTTGTATTGATTTTACAAAGCTCGTAATTGAAATTCGTTAAGGGCTGATTTTTTTCTCTGGGGGGCGGGGGCGGGTAGGGAGTTGGGCAGCGCCAGTGCCCTGGGTCTGGGGTGGCCTAGTCAGCGGCGCTCAGGGTCAGGGACAGGGGGCTGGGGAAGCCGCGGCTGGAGTAGCTTTCTCCGTATTGTGGCTGTTCACATGTCATTATCACATTATCTTTTTAACTCTGGAGGGGGGCTAATTAAGTGAAGTAAATGAAATCAGTGGGGAGGAGAAGGGGGGCAAGGCAGGCCGGAGGGAAGCCGAGGGAGGCCGGGAAGGAGCCAGCGCATGTCCTTGTGCTCAGCCTCTTTCTCTGTCTCCTCTCTGGCCCCAGACTTCTCCCGCCGCTCTCCCCTCTCCGCTCTCCTCCCAGCCCTGCCCGTCTCACCTCTGCCTGCCCCCGCCTTGCTCCTCCTCCTTGCCTTCCTTTCCTCCTCCCTCTCTCCCTTTCCTCCTCCCTCTCTCCCTTTCCTCCTCCTTCCCCTCTTCCCTCCCTTGCCCTTCCCTCTTTGCACATCCTCCTCCCCATTCCCCACTCTCCCCTCCTGTCTCCCTTCCTCCTTACTCCTCCACTTTCTGGCCCAGAAGGAACAAGGGCTGTCACCCACTTGCCCAACGTGCCCACCCACCATCTGGAACATTCCAGATGGAGAATGGAGGGAGACCTGTGAAGCAAAAAGGTTTTCAGCCCCAGAGGCCCACCCAGGATGGGGCCCGCCAGGCACCAGGAGCATAGAGGATGGCTAGAGTCCCACCCTGACTGGCCTCCCATCACCATGGCAACTGCTTCTCACCTTGGCCCTGGTACCTAAGAGGGGAGCCCTTGGGCTCCAGCCAACCCCTATGCCCCACCTCTTCCAAATCACTTCTTCTACTTTCCCAAAGGACCAGAGCCTTTAGTCCAGGTGCCCTCACCTCCAGCCCAGGCCCCAGCTGAGCTGGCGGATCCCACTCAATTCTGCAAAATTGCTCATTCTGCCTAACCTGGCAGCCTCAGGGACAGATGAGAAGAATTTGGGCCACAGTAGCTGTTTGGTTCCCACCTCTTTCTGCTTGGTCCACTCTCCCCCCAGCCACCCCTGGCCACCCCTAGATCCTTGCCCGTCTCCCCACTCCCCGCTGCACCTTTCTTGGCAGTAATTATGGTGTGATTGAAGCTGCTCCACAGAGAACTGCTGACACCTCTGTCTTTTTCCTGTAAACACGGGGAGATGAAAATAGACACTTGGAGCTGCTGTGTGTGTCACTCCAAAGATGTCCGTTGTCTCTTCCACGGCAACACAGAGGCTCAGCTGTCATTTCCTCCTTCTCTCTGCGCAGTGGTTTGTATGCCGACTGTCAAAAGCCCCAAATTCATAGTCTTTTAGCATCAGGTTTCTGTCACTGTTTTTTTTTTCCAGAAGAAACACACAGAAATCATCTGTACCCCCTACCCCTGTGGAGAGGAGAGGGAAGAGCTTTAAACGCACACACACACACACACACACACACACACACGTGCGCGCGCGCGCGTCGGCAGCAACCTAAAAACAAGTTTTTTGATCCGTCACAATTAACACTTTCGAAGAAAAGGAGCAGGAATATTAATTGCACTGGTGTGTTTTGTGGCTGCAGCCTTTCCCCTTGCCCGTGAGCCCTCCGGAGGCTGCCTGGGAGGGTGGCAGCCAGGAAGCCGGTGCTGGGGGCTCAGGAAGAGGAGGGTTCTGCCTGGCCTCTGCCCACCAGACATTCTCTGCTCCCGGTGGCACTGGCCTCATTTTCCTGGGGACACCTGTGATGGGCCAGTAGCTGGAGGACCTTGGACAAGTCACAGCTCTTCCTCGAGCCCTGAACCCCACCTGCGCCCTCCCCTCTCTGGACTGATGGGAGGCGATGCTGTGGCCTCGAATGTTCTCGAGACAAGACTGTCAGTAAGTAGGGCACACCTGGAGGACGCTCTGAACACTTACCTTTGAGGTAGGTCCCAAAGGAAGTTGGAATGTCAGAGCAGCAGGAACTTGCAGCCTTCTTGTTTTCCAGATGGGTTGCCTGGGTCTAAGAGAGGGGGCTGAGACCGGCCAAAGTCACACAGCAAAGCCAAGCTGGGCACCTTCTGTAAAGGCCAAGCTGGGCACTTTCTGTAAAGCATGGTTGTAGGACTCCTGGTGCCCAGCTCCAGCCCTGCAAATGTAGTTTGGACTGCCCTACAGTTGGCCGAGCTGAGGACAGAAAAGCAGGGAGGCGGGCCTGGGTGTCTAGGAGTTGAAAATGAGGAGGGCTCCTGCTACCGGCCTACCCAGGATGGCGCCATTACGACTCTGTGGCCAGTGTAAGGATGGGCTTTGCAAGTTTCTGGAATTTTCCAAAATGTACCCAAACTAATCACTAGAAGGCCTGTTTCCAACCCGATATGTATCCAGTTCTAGCATGTGCCAGGATGGAGGACCAGCAGGACTTTGTCAGTGTCGTGCTCTTGGGAAATTGCTTTATTTCTGGTAATAAGGTTTCTAGGCTGATTGAAAATTTGCTCCTCGAACTTTATCGTTATATCTGCCATTTTGGAGACAGAGATTTCCTGTTTCTGCACACACTGGTCTTTCTGGACACACTGCTGAACCATTCCCCTTTCTGGTGGCTTTTTTGGCACTGTCATGTTTGTGTGCGGTCATCATGTTTTGTTTTGTTTCTCTTTCAGACAGGGTCTTGTTCTGTCACCGAGGCTGTAGTGCAGTGGTACGATCATGACTCACTGCAGCCTCAACCTCCTGGGCTCCAGCAATCCTCCCACCTAGCATACACCACCACACCCAGCTAATTTACCATTTTTTTGTAGAGACGGGGTCTCCCTATATTGCCTGGGTTGGTCTTGAACTCCTGGGCTGAAACGATCCTCCCACCTTGGCGTAGTAGCTAGGACCACGGGCACATGCCACCACGCCCAGCTAATT
Source organism: Homo sapiens (assembly GCF_000001405.40). NCBI lineage: Eukaryota > Metazoa > Chordata > Mammalia > Primates > Hominidae > Homo > Homo sapiens. The sequence continues at coordinate 130,486,261 of NC_000009.12, forward strand.
TTTTTAATTTTTTGGTAGAGATGGGGTCTCACTATATTGCCCAGGCTGGTCTTGGACTCAGCTCAAGCAATCCTCCCTCCTTGGCCTCCCAAAGTTCTGGGATTACAGGTGTGAGCCCCCGCATACCTGGCCTGTGCTAAGTTCTATGTCCCTGTTCTCCAGGCTGTCTATAATGACTTTTCTCAGTCATTCCTCTGTTTCTGCTGCCATCAGCCTTTTTACCCCTTCCTGGTTTGTGGCTCTGAGCTACTCTGCAGAAAATGATGACGGACCCATTTGAACTGTTTTACAAGAGTCACGGTGAGGCCTGAGGAACTCCCGAGGGATTTGAGGGCTTGGATCTCTGCATAAACTTGGAGAGAGGCCATTTCCTAATCAGAGGTCACAACTAGATTCAGACGGTGGACATGCCGAAGGCTGCAGCCCCCACCAATGAAGCGGGATGGGCTCTTTCACAGCACACGATACTCATATTTGCACCTGGTTGCTCTGAGGGGCTTTCACAAGCATGTCACCTGACACCAGTATATCAGGGGTTTACAGATGAGAGAACCAAGCCCCCAGAGAGGTTCCCTTCTGCCCAGGAACACGGAGCCATGGTGAGAACCAAGCTTTTCCTCCACAGCAACAGCCTGGACTTGGGCTTTTTCTCTCACGCTCTGGTTAGCAGTTGATCACTTTGCCAAAGGCCCTTCGAGGCCACCTGGAGCTGAGATGGGAGACCCCGGGGCCGGGCCCATTCCCCCTCCAGTTGGCTGGGTGGTATTAGGCAAGCCACCCCCCTCCCCAGGCCTCAGGTTCTCATTTGTAAAACTGGTGTGTGGGACTAGATTTAAGGTGAGTCCAGAGTTTGCAGAGGGGCCTCTGTTCCTCCCAGCACAACCTCTGCCATCTCTTCTATATGCTGGGCTTCTGCCGCAGGCTGTTTGAATATTAGGTTGGCAGCTAACAGTCGGGAGAACACGGTACCGGATTGATCCTAATGCAAGCTCTGACATTTCCGTGATTCTAAGACTTAAAGATCAAAGACTGGAGGAGTTCTCCAAGGAGGAAACTTCTGGTTAGTGCACGAGGGCTCAGCAGACTCAGCCTCCCCAGATCCCCGGTAGGCTTCAGAGTCAAAACCAATATCCTTCATGGTTTTTTTTTTTTTTTAATTTAAAACTGTGGTAAAATACATGTAACATAAAATGAACCATTTTAAAATGCGTAAGCGTGCCGCTCAACGGCATTAGGTCCTTTCCCAGGGCTGTGCCACTGTGACTACCGTCCACCTCCAGAACATTTTCTTTTTGCAAAGCTGAGACTCTGGCCCCATGAAACTCCCCATTTTCCCTACCCCGGCCCCTGGCAGCCACCATTTCTGGCTGTATGATTTTGATGACTCGAGGGACCTCGCATGAGTGGAACATACAGTGTTTGTTTTTGTGCCTGGCCTTTGTCACTTAGCGTCACGGCCTTATGTTGATGCTGTGGCATGTGTCAGGATTTCCTTCCTTTTTTTTTTTTAGACAGAGTCTTGCTTTGTCACCCAGGCTGGAGTGCAGTGGTGTGAAATCAGCTCACTGCAACCTCTGCCTCCCAGGCTCCAGTGATCCTCCTGCCTCAGCCTCCCAAGTAGCTGGGGCTACAGGCATGTACCACCATGCCCGGCTAAATTTTTTTGTTATTTTTAGTAGAGACGGGGTTTCACCATGTTGGCCAGGCTGGTCTTGAACTCCTGACCTGAGGTGATCCACCTGCCTCGGCCTCCCAAAGTGCTAGAATTATTACAGTCATGAGCCACTGTGCCCGGCCCCCTTCCTTCTTAAGGCTGAATAATATTCCATCGTATGGATGGACTGCATTTTGCTTCTTCACTCATCCCTCGATGGACACCTGGGTTGCTTCCGCCTCTTGGCTATTGTGATTAATGCTGCTATGAACATGAGTGTACAAATCCTTTCTGGGTTTTTTTCAAGCAGCCACTGTAGAAAGATGTTAGTAAATTCCCAGGATAACTGAGAACCTGCCCTTTTAGTGATGTAACGTATGGTGGAAGAAAGGAAGCTCTCGGGGTAGAATCCATGGAGATGGGGGAGCTATGGCCCCTGCTCCACCCAGACAGCAGCTGCAGGGCAGGCTTGCCCAAGGGCCAGCTCTGAAGTTGATGCGAGAGGTCGCACTCCTGGGGCAAGAGGGGGCCTGGGCTGTGTGCTGTGGGCGGTCCTGCCTCTTGGTGCCCCACTGTCCTCCAATGCAGTAGGACCTTCCCCCAGACCCAGCTCAGCCCAAGACCAGGCATTTCTGTCTCACTCGGAGATCATCTGTTCCAAGCAGGTTGTTTTCCAAATGGAGGGACTGGGCCTGAGGTCACAAGAGGGGACTTGAGCAATCCCTTCTCCCCTGACCTTCCAGGGTTGGGCCTCCACGGCCAGGTGACTTACAGGGCAGCAGACAGCACTGGTGAGGGACTCGGGGGCCTACATTCAGTTCCCAGCTCCACCTAGAGCAAGTCCCTTCTCCTCTTGAGCTCAGTTTCCCCATCTGCACGGTGCGGTCAGCCTAGGTGATTGCCCAAGCCCTCTGCCACCCCAGTGGCCTCTGGAGAGACCTGGCCGCAGGGGCCCCATGGGCTGAAGGTGGCATGTGTGTACACATGTGTACATGTATGTGCACAGCTGTCCCCCTCCCCTGGCTCCCTGGTGGAAGGGAAGAAGGGATATTTGGGGCTCTGGGCTCTACCGTAGTCGCTTTAATTACAGGCTTTCAACCTCGGGCCGGTGGGCACGCATGGGGAGGGAGGGGTTGCTGCTCCGAAACCCTGTCATTTTCTAGCGTCTGAGGGCCCCTTCAAAGGGGGCATCTAGACATTTTCTCCACAAGCCGCAGAGTGGACTGTCGTGGCCCCAGCATGAACATAATGACAGATGCATTTTGCAGCAAGCTGGGAGTGAATGGGTCCGGCCGGCTTGTCTCCTGTCAGACGACTCATTATTATTATTATTTTTTTTTTTGTCATTTGCTGACAGTTTGGGTTTCATGCGTTTCTCTCTTTTTTCTCCTTTTCCCCCTGCCTGGAAAAATGGCTAGGTATCTACGAGACCCCAGCAGGCACCATCCTTTACCATGCTCATTTAGACATCGAGGCCTTCACCATGGACCGGGAAGTGCGCAAAATCAAACAAGGCCTGGGCTTGAAATTTGCTGAGCTGGTGTATACCGGTGCGTAAGACTCTATGGCTGCCCCCTCTAACCGCCTCACAAGGGATCCCAAAGTACTATCAGGCTCTCGGGCCTGGCCCTCCCCTCCGTATCAGCACCTTCCTCCCCTGCCGCCCACTGCCATCCTCATGTGAGACCCCAAAAGGTGCAGGCCAAAGGGGGTTGAGGGAAAGTGCAGGGCATGAGGGAGCAAGGGGATGCTAGAACCTGCCTTGCCATGGGGTGTGTCCAGGGAGATGCACCGGCTTCCCAAGGTGTCCGGCAGCTTCCACCCCCTACAGTTTGCATGACTGCAGCAATGCCAGGCACTGGGCACTGTGCGGCGACATGCATCACCCCGCATGGTCCTCACAACTTTCCCAGGAGGTCTGCAGCTCCTTGTACACGAGGAAACTGAGGCTCAGAAGGAAAGCATAAAACCAGAAGTGGCCTAGCTGGGTTTGACCCCCAAGTCAGGCTGTCTCCAGGAAGAACCTGGACCTACTCCATGAACTTGAGGGAGAGGCTCCCTGGACCAGGAACTCAGCCCCAGACCCCAGTACCGCAGGAGCCAGATCTTGACCATGAAACCACTGGGGTGGCCACAGGGCCTGAGCCCTGTCACACACCCAGCCCATGTGTGGAAGGACCGGTGGGTGACAGCACCTGAGGCGGGGGTGTCCCCGTTTTGCAGGTGAGGAGCCCGGGTTTCCATGCCTTGGAATCCAGGCCTCCTGACTCCAAAATCCAACCCTCATGTGGTGTAACAGAGGTCCCCAAACTACAGTCCCTGGGTCAAATCCAGCCCGTCACCTGTTTTTGTTCAGCTCATGAGCTAAGAATAGTTTTTACATTTTTATTTTATTTATTTATTTATTTATTTATTTGGGACGGACTTTCGCTCTTGTTGCCCAGGCTGGAGTGCAATGGTGCGATCTTGGCTCACTGCAACCTCCGCCTCCCTGGTTCAAGCGATTCTCCTGCCTGAGCCTGCTGAGTGACTGGGATTACAGGCATGCGCCACCATGCCTGGCTAGTTTTTGTATTTTTAGTAGAGATGGGGTTTCACCATGTTGGCCAGGCTGGTCTCGAACTCCTGATCTCAGGTGATCCGCCCGTCTTGGCCTCCCAAAGTGCTAGGATTACAGGCATGAGCCACTCTGTCTGGCCAGTTTTTACATTTTTAAATGGTTGGGAGGAAAAAAAATTTTTTAATGCTATTTCATGACAAATTATATAAAATTCAAGTGTTGCCGGGCACGGTGGCTCATGCCAGGTGAGGTGGCTGTTTCTGCATTGTCTGTGGCTCCCCTGGAGCGGCAAGGGGAGGTTGAGCCATTTGAGAGAGACCATAGGACCCAAAGAGCCTAAAATATTGACTCTCTGGCCCTTCCCACCCACCTCCATAACATACACATAGCCCTGATTTGGGGCGTTACATTAAACAGCTGCCCTGAGCTGTGGGAGGACAGGCTGCTGCCTGAGGCCGATCCTCACATCTTCGGGGGCCTGGACGTCAGGGGACCTGTGCAAAGTTAGTATTAGTTAATCGAATAGCTACCTGGGCTAAGCTCTCCTCCCCTCGCCTCTCCCCCTCCACTCCCAGATTTTGTTTCCTTTTAAGCCTCCTAATCACTGTAACTCATCTCAGGATTTCGAGAGGGCTCGATGGTTATTGGCTGGCGTTATTTCTCCCTGCCATTGTTCCTTGCAGCTTTGAAGCCAAGTTTCTGCCCCCGTTCCCAGGGACAGACAGGTGCTTAAATACCATTGTCTCCTGCAGGCTTTCCAGCCCGGCGGGATTGCGACCCCGAAAGGAGGATTTTAGTTACAAAGTGAGAGAGTCATTAAGACGTGGCGGAGGAGAGAGCACCTGGCCGGGCTGCTCCGGGGCCTCCACGGAGGCTGATCCCACCGTGGCCGCGGCCACGGCTGCCACTTATCCTGCCATCTTGCTGCTAGGCTCTGAGCTGGGCACCTGATGGGGTATTATCTAATATTAGCTGCGCAGAGGTGAGGAAACGGAGGCCCCCAGGTGAAGACACTCACCCAGGCTCTCCTGGCTGGTGATGGGCAGCTTTGAGCCGGGGACAGGCCAGCTGTAGCGGCCAAGTTCCCAGTTACTCCAACAGATTCCAGGATGCTCGTGATCAAGGGGCACGGCGGCACAGACAGGGGAACCCTGGGTGTAGGGCACAGTTTGGCTCCTGGCTGCGGTCACGATGCCTCTACACTGGACTGGCTGGGTTGAGTCCCTGCTCTGACAGCCAGCGACAAGCCCTCTACATCCCAAACTGAGGTACAATGATTAGGAGACTTAAAAGGAAACAAAATCTCAGAGTGGAGGCGAGGGAGAGTAGGGGCTTCTTCTGGGTAGTTATCACTAATATTAACTTTGCCCTGGTCCGCTGACATGCAGGGCCCCACAAACATCAAGATCGGCCTCGGGCAGCAGGCTGACCCCCACAGCTCAGAGGGCCTGTTTGATGCGATTTTCCCCATGAGGGATACAGACATGGTATAGACCAGGGCTTTGCCTGATCATGTTACTTAACTTCCCTAGGCCTCAGTTTTCCCATCTGAAGAGTGGGAATAACAGTTCTACCTGTCTGGTGGGTGAGGACTAAAAGTATGAGTATTTGTAAAGCACCTGGAACAATGTCTGGCAGACGAGTGCTTATTCCAGTGCGTGAAATAACTGCGAGCGCCCGGCGTGGTTTCCCAGTGTGGAGGCGCGGCACTTGGAGTCTTGCCTCTGGCTGGGTTAATGGTCTTGAGCAGGGCTGTCTCTTCCTTGAGCCTCAGTTTCCCCTCCTGTCAAATAAAGGGCACCAGGCTGAGGGCACGCCAGGGTCTCTTCCCAGTCCCGTCTAGCTCCTGGGTGGAAAGCCCACCATTCTGCTGTAATGCTTGGCTTCCTCAGAGCCCTTGTGGTCTCGGCACAGATAGGGAGACTGAGGCACAGGGAAGCCCTCCTGCCCCAGCCTCACTCCTAGAGGCCCTAGGTTCTGTGACCACTGCCACTCTGCATCTGTGTGTCTGTGTGTGGCTGGCTGGCTCCCTCTCCTCTCCCACCATTCCCAAATTTCCTGGTCTGGCTGTGTGAGCTTCAGGCAGACTGTCTCCAGGAGTGGCAACCAGGGTTAGCCTGGCAGGACCCCAGCTTCAGGACCCTGGCAGGGCCCAGAGGAGCATCTCATCTAGGGGGTATAGCTCACTTCTTCTCCCCTCACCTCCATTTCTTCAGCAATAAAATGGGTATAATGTGCAACTCACACAGAATTGCTCCAGTTAGAAAGGATCGCATGTGTTTGGCTGGGCCTAGCAGCACGGGGGAGGGGTCCCTCTCCAGCTCAGCCCTAAGCCCCACCCACAGTGATCTGCAGGTCTGGGGGGTGCAGGGTCTCCCCCATTGCAGCTTATGCCAGGCTCACTGGCCCCCAACCCAGGCTGGGTCCGCTGGGAAAAGAAATCTGAGCAGAAGAACCCTGTGGGGCAGAGGTAGAAAATTCTGAGATAAAGCCCAGGCCAGTTGCTCCCACAGAGATCTCTGTCCTATCTCTGGCTCCATCTCCTGCCTGTCTTCCGGCCTGGAAACTTAATGGGCTAATTATCCCAGCTCCGTCAGAAAGATGGCCAAGCCCAGGACACCAGGGCATGGGGGGCTGGGAGAACATCAGTGGCCCCCTCCACGAGGGTCTCGGGGTGTGTTGGAAAAAGCCCTGGGCCAGAGTTAGGAGTGCTTCATCAGACCTGGGCTCTTCCAAAGTCTTGCTGTGTGGCCTTGGACAGGCTCTTTCCCTCTCTGGGCCTCTCTCCCTGTGTACAGTGAGGGCTGGCACAGAGCATCATGTTCAAACTGCAAATGCAAAACGCTTTGCGCTCTGTGCATTCCCTCACTGCATCCACACAACCTCTGGTTAGCAATGTTTTCTCACTGTGCAAATGAGGAAACCGAGGCACAGGGAGGTTAATCACTTGTCCAGGTGTGGCTGGGATGCGGACTCACAGGGTGGGACACTGGAGAGCAAGGACTCAACCTCTACTCTCCGTGCTTGGCCCTCCCCCGCCTCTGCAAGCCCCAGGACCCCATCCCAGAAGCCTGTCCCCTTTCCCACGGAGGACCTCTGCAGGTGCCCCCAGGGGCCTGGGCCTCCCACAATAGCCGCAGCCCCTGGGCTGACCCAGCCCTTTATCAGGGCAGGAGATCATGCGCCATCTGGCCCTGCAGCTGCCCAGGTGGGCTCACCTTCCAGGCTCCATTTCAGGAAACTCTAGCCTTGCCCTGTCCCTCCCCCCGCCATGGCCTGCCTGCCTGCCTGCCTGCCTGCCCCTTGGTCCCAGCCTCCATCAGCAGAGGCTAGAGAGAGGCCGGGGGCAGACTGGGGTCTGAGCGCTACCCCTCCCTGGCCTTTAGGGCTCTCGGGGAGAGGGGAGGGAGCATGTTTCTCAGGCACCTCCTGCCCCCACCTACACACCAAGGGATGTTCTGGCCATAGAGAAAGCTCCAAGTTTATCATAGGAAGCAGAGTTGTTACAACTTGGGCCAACACAAGTCAAATGGAGGCTCCCCACTTCCGGCCTGTGTGATCCTGGAGAAGTTTCTTAACTTCTCTGAGCCTCCCTTCCTCACCCAGAAAGGGGAGAGGCTAAGAGAGTTTCTCTCAGAGTGCTGTCTATGAGGATTCAGGGAGCTAGCCCAGATCAAAGCCTGAGCGCAGTGCTGCTTATCTATGCAGAAATATTCTATCTGCCCAGGAAAACAGCAGCAGGTGCAGAAAACAGCTCACTGATTCCAAGGGGTGGGCTCTGGCCAGGACTCCAGTTCACAGTAGCCCCTAAGGCTGGTGCTGCTCAGTGCTAGGGGCTCCACATGAAATATTACTGTGACATCCCCACTCAACAGATGGGGAAACAGAGGCACAGAGAGGGGAAGGCTATGCATGGCCATGGTCTGAACCACCACCCAGCTGCCTGCACTGGACACCCATATCACCAAGCCCCAGGCAGCATGTGCCTCTGAGTCCTGTCTGAGGTCTTCTGCCTCCCCCGGAGATTAGAGCCTCCATTGGGCCAGGGATGGGGTCCCTTTACCACTGTGTCCCCAGTTGCTGGCCTGTGGCACTTCCTGAATGCCTATGGCATGAAGCAGTGGGTCACTTCCCTCCTCCTGACCCTTAGGGAAATGACCTAGGTGGTCACCTCCTTACCCACAGGCCCTTTGCAAGGTTAGAGGGCAGGGCTATGAAAGCATGGTCCTCAACTCAGCCACTGGCAAGCGCACATTGTGCCAGTCTCGCGGGAGGCAGTCATGGTCTGCATGGCGGGGTAAACCATGGGGCACCCTTCCTGTGCCCCAGGTCTCCCTGTGTCCTCGCGGTGCAGGAGGCCTCCCTAGTGGTATCCTGTTTTCCTCCCTGTAGGTTTCTGGCACAGCCCTGAGTGTGAATTTGTCCGCCACTGCATCGCCAAGTCCCAGGAGCGAGTGGAAGGGAAAGTGCAGGTGTCCGTCCTCAAGGGCCAGGTGTACATCCTCGGCCGGGAGTCCCCACTGTCTCTCTACAATGAGGAGCTGGTGAGGTAGGTGCCCCACACCTCATTCTGACCCCCACTTGGGCACAGAGCCTATCTTTTGACTGGATCCTCAAGACATCTGTGCCTGAGCACATGTCAGGCACCATGCAGAGCACAGAGTGATGGTCACAGAGGATATAGACACCACTATGCTCCCGTGGAACTTACAGGCTAGCTGGGAGAAAGGCATGGATCAAACCATTACCAGAATGTAGAATTAGACAAGGTGGCAGCGGGCTGTGAGGAATGCAGGATAGTCTGGCTGGGTATAATAACTGGGATTGGCTAGGAGGGGTGGTGCATGCCTGTAATTTCAGCTACTCAGGAGGCCGAGGTGGGAAGATTGCTTGAGCCCAGGAGTTCAAGACCAGCCTAGGCAACATAGAAAGACCTTGTCTCAAAAAAATATATATACACACACACATACATATATATATATATATACACATACATATACACACACACACACACACACACACACACATATATATATAAAATAATTGGGGTTGTGAAGAAGCTCCTTTGCTATTCAAACAATAGCAGAAGGAGTTAACAGGTGAATGGGGGGAGGGGTGGAAGGGCAAAAGTGGCCAGGGGGAAGGAGCTGAAGCTAGATCTTAAAGGGAAGGGCAAGATCAGATCTGTGCATTTAGAGGGTCCTCCTGGCTGCTCTGGAGAACGGATTTGAGTAGGTGGGAGGTGGAAGGGCACCTGTGGAAATGCGGTAGCTTGGACCATGCTGATGATTCCTGGACTAGATAGCAGCAGGCGAATGTGACACATATCTAGGAGGAGGGATTGAAATGACTTGGATGTGGAGGGAGATGGAGGGTCCAGAATCACCCTGGTGTCTGGGGTCGTGAGCAGCTGGGTGCAGTCCCTGGGTTGAGGAAATGCTCTTGAGGAAGGATCATGCATTTGGATTTAGGTGTCATGAGTATGGGTTTCTTTTGAGATAGCTGGGAAAAACTAACTGGAAGGCCGCCGGACACTTGGGTCTAGAGTTGAGGAGAACCCAGGCTGAAGACCCTGGAGCATCATAGGCATTTTGATGTTCTCTGAAGCGCTGGGCCAAGAGAGACTGCCTAGGGGAAAGCGTGGAGTGAGACAAGAAGGGAACTAGCCAGGCAAGATGGTGCACACCTGTAATCCCAACTCTTTGGGAGGCCAAGGCAGGAGGATCGCTTGAGGCCAGGAGTTCAAGACCAGCCTGGGCAACATAGTGAGACCTCATCTCTACTAAAAATAAAAAAATTAGCTAAGCGTGGTGGCATGTGCTCGTGGTCCCAACTACTTGGGAGGCTGAGGTGGGAGCGTCTCTTGAGTCTGTGAGATCAAGGGCGCATTGAGCCATGATCATGCCACTGCACTCCAGCCTGGGCAACACAGCAAAACCCTGTCTCAAAAAATAAATACATAAAGTATTAGCCAGGTGTGGTGGCATGCACCTGTAGTCCCAGCTACTCAGGAGGCTGAGGCAGGAGGATCACTTGAGCCCAGGAGCTGGAGGCTGCAGTGAGCCAGGATTGCACCGCTGCACTCTAACCTTAGTAACAAAGCTAGGCACTGTCTCTTTAAAAAAAAAAAAAAAAAAAAAAAAGGAAACACAACTGGAACCATGAGATTTCTCATTGATGGACCAGGCAGAAGGTGGCCAAGGAGGAGCCCCTGGAGGGGCAGGAGGGCCCTGGTGAGCCAGGGCAAAGGTGGCAGGTAACGATTGGCCACTCCTGTGTCCGCCCCGTGGATGAGAGTGACCTGCACCAAGGGACGAGGTGTCACCTCCAGAGGTCACCTGGCCAAACTAGAGATGGGGCAGGCCCCTGTGGGACAGACAGCCCCCACTAGACGTGGGTCCCCTAAGGCCCAGCTTAGCTCAGGCTAAGGCCAGCCCCTCCCTCCTGGAGGCTGGTTGGGAATTAAAGTACGAGTCTTGTTTGGCAGTCAATATTATTTTTTTCTTTCCCTTCTCCTTGCCATGTTGAGTTTCTCCCCGCTTCAATCTTTCTAAACACTTTATAAGCCATAAATACAACTGAGTCAGTTTAGATCAGTTGGGGTAAATGTCAAATTATCTTCTCTCTTTCTCTCTCTGGCTCTTTCTTCCCTCCCCCTCCAAATCAACAGCCTCTAATAATCTGTCCAACCCTTCATTAAGCCTTACAGTCTCACTCAGGGAGATTAAATGAATAAAGTAAAAAGGGAAAGGGGAAAAAAGAGAGAAAAGCAGGAGCATTTATTCTCACTGTGTCTCCGACCATTTCCCTTTTCTTTTTGATTTCTACATCGCTGACTTGAAAGCCCTTGAGTGACAGCGTCACAGGGACCAGCGAGGAAGCCGTGAGAGGTAGCAGAGCTGGAAATGCCGTGGCTCAGTAGGTAGAAAGTAACGTAATTATAGAGCAGGTCAGAGCCACTCGAATGAGCAAAAATAAAAGCACAGAGGTTTTCTGTAGACCGTCAGGGGAGGTAAAAAAAAAAAAAGAAAAAAATCATTGTAAACTCTTTTTCCACCTCCCCGCTCACTTCAAACCACAATTTTAAAAAGAGGTTTTTTAGTTCCTGAGAAACCCCTCTTGGAACTCCCAGCAGCCTCGTGGGACAAGTTTGTCCCTGGATGTGGGCCCTCTTTGCAGGGGCTGCCAGGGCAGCTGGGAAGTTCCCACCTTGGGGAACGGGATGGGGAGAGTTTGTTGTGACTTGTGAGAGATGGAGGTGAAGGGACAGATGGACACAGAGGTGGGGGGATTCTGTGTCCTACGTTCTCCCTGGGCTGAGTATAGGGGCCAGTGGGGCTGAGGCTCGGTTTCTAAAACAAGGTCTGTTGAAGGGATCTGAGGAGGTTGGTGGTCTAGTTTGGTCTAGCTCTTCCTAAGCACTGACTGCACAGAAAGGGGTGGCCAGCAAAAGTCTGGTATCTCCTCCTCTTCCAGGGAATGCAAGCTCCTAGTGGCTTCAGTGCCTGAGCCCTGGAGGGGCCGTGGAGGTGTGGAGGAGGGAGGAAGGGACATCAAGGAGGTACAGGAGCATGGGAGTGACTCTGCAGAGAGTTCCACGCACCCACCGGCTTCAAGGCCTGGTGAAGGTCAGGGCCCGGGTCCTGAACAAATCACTGGGGCCAGGCAGATGCAGAGACCTCATTTGTTCTTGTAAAAAGTCCACTGTCTACAAAGAACCAGTCAGAGGGCCAGCCTCAGGGTCTCAAAGCAGCAGATCCTCCTGCCTCCCAACACCGACCCCCGCTACCCCTACCTCGAGAACCTTGAGTCAGCTTTGTCCCAAGGCTGGAATTCTGCAGACAAGGGTCTGATTCAGAGCAGGACATGACAAGGGACCCCATCCTCTCAGAGGCTCAGAGGCTGGCCTTGTGGAGTAGGAGGCATCTGAGTCCACGTGCCCTAAGTGCTTAGCACAACCATAATTAATGAAGGCAATGGGTGATTGATTGCTTCGGTCTGGCCCCTCCCTGTGGACACCACTCTTGCTCTTCCTTCCTTGGCACCTGGCCCAGCATCTGGCAGGCAGCAAGGGCTTAATAAATGCCTGAACAAATGAATGAGTGAATGAATACTGTTAGTACTAGTGGGTGCTCACCATGTGCCAGGCACCAGCTACATTATTTCATGTGGGGCCAAATGTGACACTGAGAGCTAACCACCATCACGCATTTCACAAGTGCAAGGCTGAGGCTCCGAGTGCAGGAATACTGGCCTGGGCTCTCTGGTGGCGGGTGGCGGAAACAGGACGCAAACCCCAGTCAGCTGGCTGGAGTGACTGCCATGGTTAGGAAGGTTGGGAGGAGCAGCTAAGGGTGGAGAGCCCCAAAGCAGAAGGCTGGTGAGTCTGAGAGGTGGAAACTGTAGAGAGGTAAAATCTGCTCTGCTGAGTACAGCAGCAGTCAACCCAGCATTTTCCATGACACACTGGCAGTGGGTGCCCAGGTTTCAGGATGGATTAGGTAAGGTCTAACTGGTTGGACACATGAGGGGAAAGGTGACTTGGTGGGCCCATCTCGCTGTGAATGCTGGAGGCCTCCCTGCAGCTTGCGAAATGCCCTTGTGCTATTGCAATTCACACCCCAAGGCCTCCTGAGCCTTCAGGTCACTGCATGCCATCCACACAGTCCCAAGGGCACAGCTGGCTTGGACGAGTTACCCATTTACAGACAGAGTGCTCTGGTTGGTGGAATTCATAGGGCTAGTTCTGGGGTGGCTGCTCCTAGCCTCCTGCCACATTGTGTAGCAGGGAAGAGGCTGCTGTGTGCTCCACTAGGGCTCTCCAACCTTTGGGTGGGTGCCTGGCCCAGAACAGGGTTCCCTGAGTTGTACAGAAATTCAATGGAAAGCCGACGTGCAGGGAGGGTTTGGACCCACACAGGGGAAATGCCCTGGCATCTGGGAGGTGGGGCTGCTTCTGGCCCCAGCAGTCCTCCCTTCAAGCAGAGGCCAGGGCCAGGCTGAGCTGACAAGCTTCTACTCTCCTTGCAGCATGAACGTGCAGGGTGATTATGAGCCAACTGATGCCACCGGGTTCATCAACATCAATTCCCTCAGGTGAGAAGCTCAGGGCCCTGACGGGCCTTCAGAGCCTCCAGGTGTAAAGGGTAGGCTTTGAGAGCCCCCAGGTGTAAAGGGTAGGCTTTGATGCGACCTTGACTGCTGCCCTGCCCTGCCCTGCCCTGCCCTAGACAAACCCCACTTTCCTGTCCATCTGCCCATAGCATCCTCAGAAGCATGCTTTGATAGCCGACAGTAACAGAGGGTCCTAGGCATTGGGGTCCTAGGTTCCTGTGTCCCACCGGGTGCCTCTGATACTTGCCCTCCCCTCCCGCTAAGCCACAGGGACTCCACTATGAGCTCCTTTGCAGGGCAGGTTAAACAAGGAAATAGCATAGAGGTGGAGAGAAGCCTTTGTTTTCTGTCACCATACCTGAGCTGTAGGTCTAGCTGGAAGCCATCCTAGCCACGTGGATCTCCATGGCCCAGGAGGGTGGTGCACGTCATCTGAAGTCACTCAGACCTTTGATCCTCTGTGAGTCACCAGTAAGAGTGTCAGCTGTACCTGCCTCACAGATGCAGTGAAGGTTCAATATGAGCCTGTGGAAATCAAGCATGCGGCTCAGGCTTAGACCCTGGCATGCAGGAAGAGCCAGGGGCAGTGCCAGCAGCAAGCACACTCAGCCCAGGGCCGGTGTGCTCAAGGGCAAACAGGGTCGTTTGTCACCAGCAGCTAACATAGACTAAGCTGCTCTGGGACACTCTCCTAGGATGTCTCATTTAATTCTTACACAAAATTTGCAACTCCCCGGGAACAGGCTGAGTGGTTAAGTAACTTTCCAAGGGTCACACAGCTAGGAGGTGGTGGAGCTGAGTCCGGAGGGCCTGTCCTGCTGTGGGTTCTCCATCACCAGCTCCCTTCTCATGGGGATTGGAGTCTAGAAGAAGATGCAAGTCAGTCTCCTCTTGCTAACAACATGCCCTGGGCACAGAGCCATCATTTTCTCCCAGAGCCAGTCTCTTGTCCCTGGAGGCACCTCATGCCCCGAGAGATGTTGAAGCCCGCCCATCTGCCCAGGGTCCTCTCCCTTCCCCTCCGTCACCTCCACCTCCCCTGCCTCCTGCGCCCTCTGTTTGTATTTTATGACTCTATAAACCCTTTTAAATGGCCCAGAACAAACAGGGCTTACATAGTGGCCTCTTCATTTCTCCTATTGCCAGTTAAACGCTTTGTCTTCAACAATGACAAACAATGTTTTCCCCCTAAGATAAATTAATTACATTATCCTGATTGGAGGGCAGGAGGGGCCAGGGCGGGAGAGGGAATAGAAAAAAAGGCAACTTCACACACATCTTAACAAACAGCTGCCCCAGCCACCCCAGCTCTGCCTGAATTAATTGAACCCAGTGTGTGTTGTTATTGTTAATTTACATTTTTCTTTGTTTTGAATCTGGTTTACAGGCTGAAGGAATATCATCGTCTCCAGAGCAAGGTCACTGCCAAATAGACCCGTGTACAATGAGGAGCTGGGGCCTCCTCAATTTGCAGATCCCCCAAGTACAGGCGCTAATTGTTGTGATAATTTGTAATTGTGACTTGTTCTCCCCGGCTGGCAGCGTAGTGGGGCTGCCAGGCCCCAGCTTTGTTCCCTGGTCCCCCTGAAGCCTGCAAACGTTGTCATCGAAGGGAAGGGTGGGGGGCAGCTGCGGTGGGGAGCTATAAAAATGACAATTAAAAGAGACACTAGTCTTTTATTTCTAGTGAGTGTGTGTGTGTGTGTGTGTGTGTGTGTGTGTGTGTGTGTGTGTGTAGTTAATTATGGTTTTCTTAGGCCAACCTTTGTGTTTTCGGACCTAAGTGCTGCCGAAGGCCGCCATTTGCCAGACAGCCTGTTAATCTGGCAGTCGACCCCTCTCCAGCAAAAACTAGGAATCCAGAAGTGCCGCCTGGGTCCGATCCTAGCCAGCATCCTGGGAATCTGTCACCAACTGTGGTCCTGTGGCAAATGTCAGGAAACCAAATAAAATTCAGGGAATGCCCTTTGGGGGCATCAACGCACAGCCCTTTCTCTGGACATCACTTTTACTCACAGCCCACAGGGAGCTTCTATAGAGGGTGGCCATGAGTGACCCTAGGACACTTACCACAGCTGCATGGCCTAAAGCAGCCTAAATCATGAAGGAGGAGGGAGAGGCCTGAGCAGAGAGGAGAAAAGAGCAAGCCCGGAACTTGGCAGCATTTCTCATTGTCCACAAACCAGGCCCTAAAGCAGCCATGTTTGTAGTGTGGCCCTGGCCCCCCTTGGTCATATCTGATTGGACCGTGGATGGACACCTGACTCGAGCTGGCCAATCAGAACCCGCAGGAATTGGGCCTCGGCACGTGGCCGAAGTGAGGACATGTAACACAGGCACTCACCGCTGGGATGCTGTGGACCTGGGGCACAGAGCAGGTGTAGAAGGAAAGGAGAGGGAAGAGATGGGAAGAGAGGGTCATGGTATTGGCGTCCATATTTCTGTACTGGTGCTTCATGAAAGCTGGTGGCATCTCTTGGCCTGGTTTCCCTGACACCTGATATCATAACGAATTCAGGACTCCAGCTCAGTGAGAGAGTTTCTGCTCCTTGCAACCAAAAGCATCTTCACTGGGAAGACTTGAGTGCCGCTTGCTCTGTGCTTTGCCCTGGTTCTGAACTCAGAACCTGACCTCAGGGATCGCTTCGCCACTCCGCTGCCTGTGTCCATGAGGGTTTCTCGCAAAAGAAGTTTTACCTTTAAAACTTATTTTCCTCTGATTATTAATGTCCGTGGTAATAATAAATGACTCAATATTAGCTTTGTGCCAAACACTTCGCTACACACTTTATTCACATTATCTCATTGAATCTTCAAAACCACACTTGGAGGTGGACACTTTCATCTCCATAATGTAGAGGTAGCAACGAAGCTGCAGATAAACTGACTTGCCAAAAGCCACTGAGCTAGCAAGTGACAGAACCAAGAACCAAACCCCGGCCTGGCTGAGTCCCCAAATCTTGTGCGTTTGTCTTGTTGTTGTTGTTAAGATGGAGTCTCGCTCTGTCACTCGGGCTGGAATGCAGTAGCGCAATCTCGGCTCACTGCAACTTCCGCCTCCCAGGTTCAAGCGATTCTCCTGCCTCAGCCTTCTGAGTAGCTGGGATTACAGACGCCCACCACCACGCCTGGTTAATTTTTGTATTTTTGGTAGAGACGGAGTTTCATCATGTTGGTCAGGCTGGTCTCGAACTCCTGATGTCAGGTGATTCACCCACCTCCGGCCTCCCAGAGTGCTGGGATTACAGGCGTGAGCCACTGCACCTGGCCATTATGTCTTTAACCATAGTGATAAGCTGCATCTTTAAGAAAAGAAATAACTAGCCAGGCACGGAGGCTCTCCCCTTTAATCCCAAAACTTTGGGAGGCCGAGGCGGGTGGATCACAAGGCTACGAGTTCAAGACCAGCCAGTTTGAGACCAGCCTGGCCTCGGCCTCCCAGAGTGCTGGGATTACAGGCAGGAGCCACGACGCCCAGCCACATTTGGTATATTATCAGTCATATGTCTTTTTCTTTTCTTTTTTTGTTTTTTGGCTAAACATCCTATAATGCACATATATTTTTTCCTATGCTTACAATATTTTTGCAGTTATTTAGGCTAAAGTATAAATGCTTTATATTTTATAGTTATAAATGTATACTTTATACTTTAAAGTATAAACTTTAGCCGGGCACGGTGGCTCATGCCTGTAATCCCAACACTTTGGGAGGCCGAGGCAGGCGGATCATGAGGTCAGGAGATTGAGACTGTCCTGGCTAACACGGTGAAACCCCGTCTCTACTAAAAATACAAAAAATTAGCCGGACACGGTGGTGGGCACCTGTAGTCCCAGCTACTCAGGAGGCTGAGGCAGGAGAATGGTGTAAACCTGGGAGGCAGAGCTTGCAGTGAGCCAAGATTGCGCCACTGCACTCCAGCCTGGGTGACAGAGCGAGACTCCGTCTCAAAAAATAATAATAATAAAGTATAAACTTTATATATTTATGCTTTAATGTATATACTTTGCACCCTATTTTTAAAATTTTAACATATCATAAATGCTTTCCTATAACATTTAAAAACTCAATCCTTAAGCCTGGGCGCAGAGGTTCATGCCTATAATCCCAGCACTTTGGGAGGCCGAGGTGGGTGGATCGCTTGAGTGCAGGAGTTTAAGACCAGCCTGACCAACATAGCGAGACCCCATCTCCATAAAATAAATAAATAAATAAATTTTTAAAACTCCTTAAACATTTTCAGCGATTACATAATATTTTGTTAACATTGATACTCCCTAACTTAACCTTTCCCCATTTATATATTTAGTTCTCTCCATATTCTAAATTATTTTTCTGCCTTTTGTTGAATTTATCTTTTATATTTTAAATAAATAGAGATGGAGTCTCACTATGTTGCCCAGGCTGGCCTCAAACTCCTGGGCTCAAGTGATTCACCTGCCTCAGCCTCCCAAAGTGCTGGGATTACAGGCATGAGCCACCATGCCCAGCCCTTTTGTTGAATTTAATGGAATGTTTTTAAGAATTGGTTATTAGCTATACTTAATTATTAGTTATGGCTTTTTTAGTGCCCTCTCTGAGAGTTATTTTATATATCTTTAACTTACCACAGTCTACCTTCAATTAATAGTATGCCACCTCGAGTGTAACATAAGAACTCTGCGACAGTACGAGCCTAGAACATTTCACTTTATGCTTTTGTTGTCATACATATGCTACAAAATCCCATAATACATTGCTATTATTTTTGCTTTAGACAGTCAAATATCACTTTTAAAAGATTAAAAATAAAAATAAAAAAAAGATTTTAAAAGATGAAAAATAATGGTGGGCCATGCCTATAATCCTAGCACTTTGGGAGGCCAAGGTAGGAGGATTGCTTAAGCCCAGGGATTCAAGACCAGCCTGGGCAACATAGGGAGACCCCATCTTTACAAAAAATTTTAAAATTAGCCAAGTGTGGTAGCACATGCTGGTGGTTCCAGCTACTCAGGAGACTGAGGTGGGAGGATCGCATGAGCCTGGGAGGTAGAGACTGCAGTGAGGTGTGATCACAGCACTGTACCCTAGGCTGGGCAACATCTCAAGACTCTGTCTCAAAAAATAAAAATAAACAGCTGAGATTGCACCGCTGCACTCCAGCCTGGGTGACAGAATGAGACTCTGCCTCAAAAAATCATAATAATAATAAATAAAGATTAAAAATAAGAAAAGAGTTTATCTTATATTTATCCATATATTTCTTTTTCTGATGCCCTTCATTCCATTGAATAGACAAAGTTTCTATATATATCATTTTCCTTCTGTTGAAGAACTTTTAAAAGTATTTCTTCTAGTGCAGTGATTAATTCTTTCAGTTTTTTTTGTTTTTGTTTTTGTTTTTTGAGACAGAAGCTCACTCTGTTACCCAGGCTGGTGTGCAGTGGCGTGATTTCCGCTCACCCCAACCTCTGCCTCTTGGGTTCAAGCGATTCTCCTGCCTCGGCCTCCCGAGTAGCTGGGATTACAGGCCCCCACCACCACGCTGGCAAATTTTTGTGTTTTTTAGTAGAGATGGAGTTTCACCATTTGGCCAGGCTGGTATCAAACTCCTGACCTCAAACGACCCATCCACCTCAGCCTCCCAAAGTGCTGGGATTATAGGCATGAGCCACCCCACCAGGCCCAGCTTTTATTTCTTTGAAAAAATTTTATTAACATTTACAAGTAGGTCCTTGCTCCATTTCGAGTTCATTACTGTGTAGGTTGTGATTCAGGATCAAAGTTTATTTTTTGAAAATACTGATGTTTTGCTGTTCCAGCACCGTTTCTTAAAAAGTCTTTTTCCTATTATATTACCTTAGCATCTTTGTCAAAAATCAATTGATTAGGCCAGGCATGGTGGCTCACCCCTGTAATCCCAGCACTTTGGGAGGCCAACGTAGGCAGATCACCTGAGGTCAACAGTTGGAGACCAGCCTGGCCAACATGGTGAAACCCCATCTCTGCTGAAAATATAAAAATTAGCCGGCCATGGTGGCGCAAGCCTGTAGTCCCAGCTGCTTGGGAGGCTGAGGCATGAGAATCACTTGAACACGGAAGGCAGTGGTTGCAGTGAGCCAAGATCGCACCACTGCACTCCACCCTGGGCAACAGAGCGAGACTCCGTCTCAAGAAAACAACAACAACAACAATCAGTTGATGGGTATGGGTCTACTTCTGGACTCTCAATTCTGCTTCATTAATGTATGTGTCTAGCCTTACGCCAAAAACTCTCTGACTTGCTTATTATAGCCTATAGTAAATCTTTTTTTTTTTTCTGATTTATTTATTTATTTATTTATTTATTGATCATTCTTGGGTGTTTCTCGCAGAGGGGGATTTGGCAGGGTCACAGGACAATAGTGGAGGGAAGGTCAGCAGATAAACAAGTGAACAAAGGTCTCTGGTTTTCCTAGGCAGAGGACCCTGCGGCCTTCCGCAGTGTTTGTGTCCCTGGGTACTTGAGATTAGGGAGTGGTGATGACTCTTAACGAGCATGCTGCCTTCAAGCGTCTGTTTAACAAAGCACATCTTGCACCGCCCTTAATCCATTTAACCCTAAGTGGACACAGCACATGTTTCAGAGAGCACAGGGTTGGGGGTAAGGTCACCGATCAACAGGATCCCAAGGCAGAAGAATTTTTCTTAGTACAGAACAAAATGAAAAGTCTCCCATGTCTACCTCTTTCTACACAGACACGGCAACCATCCGATTTCTCAATCTTTTCCCCACGTTTCCCCCCTTTCTATTCCACAAAATTGCCATTGTCATCATGGCCCGTTCTCAATGAGCTGTTGGGTACACCTCCCAGACGGGGTCGTGGCCGGGCAGAGGGGCTCCTCACTTCCCAGTAGGGGCGGCCGGGCAGAGGCGCCCCTCACCTCCCGGATGGGGCGGCTGGCCGGGCGGGGGGCTGACCCCCCCCCACCTCCCTCCCGGACGGGGCGGCTGGCCAGGCGGGGGGCTGACCCCCCCACCTCCCTCCCGGATGGGGTGGCTGCCGGGCGGAGACGCTCCTCACTTCCCAGACGGGGTGGCTGCCGGGCGGAGGGGCTCCTCACTTCTCAGACGGGGCGGCTGCTGGGCGGAGGGGCTCCTCACTTCTCAGACAGGGCGGTTGCCAGGCAGAGGGTCTCCTCACTTAGACGGGGCGGCCGGGCAGAGACGCTCCTCACTTCCTAGATGGGAAGGCGGCCGGGAAGAGGCGCTCCTCACTTCCTAGATGGGGTGGCGGCTGGGCAGAGACGCTCCTCACTTTCCAGACTGGGCAGCCAGGCAGAGGGGCTCCTCACATCCCAGACGATGGGCGGCCAGGCAGAGATGCTCCTCACTTCCCAGACGGGGTGGCGGCGGGGCAGAGGCTGCACTCTCGGCACTTTGGGAGGCCAAGGCAGGCTGCTGGGAGGTGGATGTTGTAGCGAGCCGAGATCACGCCACTGCACTCCAGCCTGGGCACCATTGAGCACTGAGTGAAGGAGACTCCGTCTGCAATCCCAGCACCTCGGGAGGCCGAGGCTGGCGGATCACTCGCGGTTAGGAGCTGGAGACCAGCCCGGCCAACACAGCGAAACCCCGTCTCCACCAAAAAAATACGAAAACCAGTCAGGCGTGGCGGCGCGCGCCTGCAATTGCAGGCACTAGGCAGGCTGAGGCAGGAGAATCAGGCAGGGAGGTTGCAGTGAGCCGAGATGGCAGCAGTACAGTCCAGCTTCGGCTCGGCATCAGAGGGAGACCGTGGAAAGAGGGGAGAGGGAGAGGGACAGGGAGAGGGACAGGGAGAGGGAGAGGGAGAGGGAGAGGGAAAAAAAAAAGCGCCTATAGTAAATCTTAAACCTCATTCTTTTAAGACTGTTTTGGCTATTCTGAGTCCTTTACTTTTCCATATACTTTTTTTTTTTTTTTTTGAGACAGTCTCCATCTGTCACCCAGGCTGGAGTGCAGCAGTGGTGCCGTCTTGCCTCACTGCAGCCTCCGCCTTTTGGGTTCAACCAATTCTCCGGCCTCAGCCACCTGAGTAGCTGGGATTACAGGTGTGCACCACCATATCCAGCTAATTTTTGTATTTTTAATAGAGACGGGGTTTCACCACGTTGGCCAGGCTGGTCTCGAACTCCTGACCTCAAGTGATCCACTCACCTCGGCCTCCCAAAGTGCTGGGATTACAGGCGTGAGCCACCTGCCCAGCCCATATATGTGTGTGTGTGTGTGTGTGTGTGTGTGTGTGTATATATATATATATATATATATATATACACTTTTTTTTTTTTTGAGATGGAGTCTCACTCTTGTCGCCCAGACTGGAGTGCAGTGGTGCGATCTCAGCTCACTGCAACCTCCACCTTCTGGCTTCAAGCGATTCTCCTGCCTCAGCCTCCTGAGTAGCTGGGATTACAGGTGACCCCCACCACGCCCGGCTAATTTTTGTACTTTTAGTAGAGATGGGGTTTTGCCATGTTGGGCAGGCTGGTCTTGAACTCCTGACCTCAGCCTCCACCACCTCCCAAAGTGCTGGGATTATAGGCGTGAGACACTGTGCGTGGCCCCATATAAATTTTTTAAACAAATTATTCACTTCTTCAAAAAGTCTGCTAAGATTTCATTGGAATTGCATTAAAACAACAGATTCATTTGAAGAGCATTGTCATCTGAGTTACTCCATTACTATTGCTATAAAGGAATGCCTGAGACTATTTATAAAGAAAAGGGGTTTATTTTGGTTTATGCAGGCTCTACAGGAAGCATAGTGCTGGGATCTGCTCCTGGTGAGACCTCAGGAGGCTTCCAATCATCACTCCTGGAAGCTTCCAATTATGGTAGAAGGTGAAGGGGGATACAGAAGGTTTTATCAGATGGCAAGAGAGAGAGCAAGAGAGAGAGGGAGAGGTTCCAGGCTCCTTTTTAAACAACAAGATCCCAGGCGCAGTGGCTCACACCTGTAAACCCAGCACTTTGGGAGGCCAAGGTGCTTGAGGTCAGGAGTTAGAGACCAGCCTGGCAACATGACGAAGCCCCGTCTCTACTAAAAATACAAAAATTAGCCGGGTGTGGTGGCGCACAACTGTAATTCCAGCTACTCCAGAGGCTGAGGCACGAGAATCGCTTGAACCCGGGAGGCAGAGGTTGCAGTGAGTTGAGATCGCACCATTGCACTCCAGCCTGGGCAAAAGAGCAAGATTCTGTCTCAAAAAAATTAAAAATAAACAACCAGATCTTGTGTGAACTCATTATTGTGGTTAATTTTTTTGCATATGTATATATCTCTCTCTCTCAAAATTGGGAGTTGAATTTTGTCAAATGTTTCTCAACATCCTTTGAGATGTTTTCTCCTGTATTCTGTTAATATAATGAATTACATTAATTGATTTTTGAATGTTAAACCAATTTTACATTCACAGGAAAAATACCATTTGGTATTGCTGGATTTAGTTTGCTAAAATTTTGTCAGAGATTTTTTGTGTCTATATTCATGTGGGATGTGGATCTGTAGTTCTCTTGTGGTTCTTTGGTTTTTGTGTCAGGGAGAGAGTGGCCCCCCAAAAAATACATTCAGAAATGTCTCTCCACCTCCTGTTTTCTAAAACAGCTTTTTTGTAGGATTGGTAATATTCTTTCATAAACGTTTCATAGAATTCACCAGTGGAAGGCCAGCCATGGTGACTCATGTCTGTAATCCCAGCACTTTGGGAGGCTGAGGTGGGAGGATTGCTTGAGCCCAGGAGTTCAAGACAATCCTGGGCAACATAGCAAGACCCCTATCTCTGCAAGGGAACAAAAAGAAAAAGAAAAAAGAATTCACCAGTGAAGCCATCTGAGCCTGGAAATTTTTATGTGTGTGAGGCTTTTATTTTTTTATTTTTATTTATTTATTTCTTTTCTTGAGACGGAGTCTTGCTCTTGTCTCCCAGTCTGGAGTGCAATGGCATGATCTTGGCTCAGTGCAACCTCTGCCTCCTGGGTTCAAGTGATTCTCCTGCCTCAACCTGCCAAGTAGCTGGGATTACAGGCATCTGCCACCATGCCCAGCTAATTTTTTGTACTTTTAGTAGAGGTGGGGTTTCACCATGTTGGCCAGGCTGGTCTCAAACTCCTGGCCTCAGGTGATCCACCCACCACAGCCTCCCAAAGTGCCGGGATTACAGGCGTGAGCCACTGTGCCCAGCCTTAGGCTTTTAAAAAATAAATTTGGCCAGGTGCAGTGGCTCACGCCTGTAATTCCAACACTTTGGGAGGCCAAGGCGGGCAGATCACTTGAGTCCAGGTGCTCAAGACCAGCCTGGCCAACATGGCAAAACCCTATCTCCACTAAAAATACAAAAATTAGCCAAGTGTGGTGGTGCACGCCTGCAATCTCAGCTACTTGGGAGACTGAGGTTGCAGCAAGTTGAGATTCTGCCAGTGCAGACTCTGTCTCAAATAAAATAAAATAAAATAAAATATTCAGTTTCTTTGATTTATGTAAGGCTATTTAAGTTGTCTATTTCCTCTTGGATCAACTTTGGTAATTTGTATCTTTTGAGGGATTTAACCATTTCATCTAGGTTTTCAATTTTATTAGCAGAAAGTTTTTTTATAATTTTCCTGACCTCAAGTGATCCACCTGCCTAGGCCTCCCAAAGTGTTGAGATTACAGGCATGAACCACCATGCCTGGCCCTGGCCCTTTCTAGGTTTTCTGCTTAATGATTCTTATATTCAGTGAAGTCTGTCTACTCTGGCTGGGGGAAACTCAAAATAATTCTCAGTCCTGTATGAGATTCTTAGTAATTTTTTTTCCCTCAAAAGCTGCTCTTGGCTGGGCACGGTGGCTCACACCTGTAATCCCAGCACTTTGGGAGGCTGAGGCGGGCAGATCACGAGGTCAGGAGTTTGAGACCAGGCTGGCCAACATGATGTAACCCCGTCTCCACTAAAAATACAAAAATTAGCCAGGCATGGTGGTGCGTTCCTATAATTCCAGCTTCTTGGGAAGCTGATGCAGAAGAGTTGCTTGAACCTGGGAGGTGGAGGTTGCAGTGAGCCAAGATCGTGCCACTGCACTCCAGCCTGGGCGACAGAGCAAGACTCCATCTCGGGGGAAAAAAAAAGTTGCTCTTGTCTGGTCTCATGGGGTTTTTCTCTATACATGAGGAGATTGGCATCCACCAAAGACTCAAATGGACACTTCACAGATTGCTGGAGGCCTTTCTCCTGTAGTGCCCTCCGTGCTGGTTGTGAGTCCCACAGATTTCAGCTGTGTTGGCTTCCCCAAACCCCATCTGTCTTCTCAGCTTGGCATGATCACCGGACTCTGTCTCCTCCCTATTTTGCAGTTTTGGAATTACCTCCAAGCAGAAAGCTAGGTGATGATAGGGCTTGCCCTGTTAGTTTCCCTTTTCTCAGGAATCACAGCCCTGTACTACCTGTTGTTGAATGTCTGAAAATAGTTGTTCCTTGTGTTTTGTACAATTATCTGTTGTTTACAGTGGGAGTATAATTCTGGACTGCCTCAGTCCTTTGTGGACAGAAATGAAAGTGGATTTTTTTTTTTTCTGAGACAGAGTCTTGCTCTGTTACTCAGGCTAGAGTGCACTGTGATCGCAGCTCACTGAAACCTCAAAATCCAGGGCTCAAGTCATCCCCCCACCTCAGCCTCCTAAGTAGCTGGGACTGCAGGCATGCACCATTACACCCAGCTACGTTTTGTATTTTTCATAGAGACATGAAAAACGGCTCACTGCAACCTCCATCTCCCAGGTTCAAGCAATTCTTGTGCCTCAGCCACCTGAGTAGCTGGGATTACAAGCACACACCACCATGCCCGGCTAATTTTTGTATTTTTAGCAGAGACAGGTTTTGCCATATTGCCCAGATGGCCTCAAACTCCTGGCCTCAAGTGATCCACCTGCCATGTTGCCCAGGCTGGTCTTAAACTCCTGTGCTCAAGCGATCCCCACATCTTGGCCTCTCAAAGTGCTGGGATTACAGGCGTGAGCCACTGCACCTGGCCTAATGTTTTTCAATATAACAATAATATAATCTAAATGCCTATAGGCCAGCCTGGCCTGAGATCACACTTAATATCTTGCTAACATGAATCATGTAGTTTCTCATCCTAACTGACATTCCACCCCTCACTGGCTCCCATCTCACTCAACATAAAACCCAAAGTGCTTACTACAGCCAGCACCAACTACCAGCCATGAAAGTGAGACTACACGGGAACTGCCCTCCGCAGACAAGCCTGACAGCAGCTGCCTGAATCATCCCACATGAGACTAGCAAAAGAACTGCCTAGGCAGCTCACCTATAGGCTCGTGAGAAAGAATAAATAAGTTTTATTTTGATTATTATTATTTTGTTTTTATTTCAATAGTTTTTGGGGTACAGGATTATTGCTTACATGGATAAGTTCTTTAGCGGTGATTTATGAGATTTGAGTGTACCATTACCTGAACAGTGTACATTGCATCCAATGTAGACACTAAGTTTTCTGGTTGTTTATGATGCAGCAACACAGATAATTGATGCATTTATTATGGCCTACCAGCACTTTCATGATCTGGCCCCCACCTACTGTCCGTCCTCTCCTCCCTCCTGCTCCCTCTCACCTCTGCCCACTGTCTTCAAACAATCCAAGCTCCGCCTGGAACATCTTCCACCAAATAGCCACAAGACTCACTCATTACAGCCCAAATATGGCACTGACTATACCTTTATCCTGCCTCCCTCTTCTCCACAGCACATACCACCACCAAACATATGCACTGGTTTGCTTTGTGTATCTAGTAATTTTTTTATTGAATGCTGGACATTGTTGAGTATCTCTCCCACTAGATAGGAAGCTCCATGTGGGCAGAGACCATGTCTGCCTTATTTGCAGCTGTGTACCAGATGCTAAAACCACGCCTGGTCCATAACAGGTATTCAATTAATATTTGTTGAATGAGTTGAATATTCATCCTCGAGTGGGCTCAGAACCCCACTTGAGGAGCGTCAGGAATACATACTTCCTCCCCTGCTCCAGGAGCCCATAAAATGGTGCCTAGGTATTCAGAAGCTATTCCAATCCAGTCCTCATGCCACAGCCCAGGGCCTGCCCTCATTCACTTCTTTGTCCCTCCTGTCACTCCTCTCCAGTCACTGCCTACACTCTTGACATGCTGTTGCCCCTGCTGTCAACACAAATGACCCCAGCTCCACTGAGAAGTGGGTAGGAAACCACCACCTCAGGGAAGCTATGGTAGGTTTGCTTGGACACGGAGATGTTAGAACTCTTAGCTCTTCATGTATGCAGCCCCTCTCCACCTGGGCATGCCAGTGTAGCCAAATGATCTTGATTGGTGATAGTTTCAACAAACAGCCTCCAGCTGTCACCAGAACCACTTGTCCTCCAGCTCTCATATCCTATTGCGGGGATTAGCTTATTAGGACTGACTCTGCCTTCTCTCAGAGTAAATTCTGTCTTTGGTAGACCCTCGATCCTCCTACCCCCTGGCTATAAGGCTTCCACGGAGTTGCCCCCAGACTGCCACTGAAGACTGGGTATGTCTGAACCCAGGTCACTCCCAACATTGAAAATCTTTTCTAGGAATGTCCTTAGTCCTCAAGTCAATCTAGAAACACAGATCAATACTAGGGTGTAAATAGGATTGTTGCTATCTCACAACCATAGTTTAGTGGTTGTTTATGATGCAACAACTTACCCATGTAAGCAATAATCCTGCACCCCAAAAACTATGGAAATAAAAATAAAATAATAATTAAAATAAAACCTTATTTAGTCTTTCTCAGAGTGTCCAAATAGAATAATATTGAAAAATTAAAGACTCAGAAAAATAATTACATTTTTTGTTTTGTTTTGTTTTTTGAAACAGAATCTCACTCTGTTGCCCAGGCTGGAGTGCAGTGGCATTATCCTGGCTCACTGCAACCTCCACCTCCCGGTTTCAAGCAATTGTTGTGCCTCAGCCACCTGAGTAGTTGGGATTACAAGCGCACACCAACATGCCCGGCTAATTTTTGTATTTTTAGCAGAGACAGGTTTTGCCATATTGCCCAGGATGGTCTCAAACTCCTGGCCTCAAATGATCCACCAGCCTCAGCCTCCCAAAGTGCTGGGATTACAGGTGTGAGCCACCATGCCTGGCCCAGAAAAAATTTTTTATTTCTGATTCCAACATCTTTATCAAAATGTTTTGGTTAATATTCAGATGCATTTCCTGCCAGTCATTCTTTC
This sequence comes from Homo sapiens, assembly GCF_000001405.40. Classification (NCBI taxonomy): domain Eukaryota; kingdom Metazoa; phylum Chordata; class Mammalia; order Primates; family Hominidae; genus Homo; species Homo sapiens. The sequence continues at coordinate 130,513,823 of NC_000009.12, forward strand.
ATATGCACATTCGTTTACAGGCATGTCAGGTAGTCTGTTTACATTGTGTACCTGTGCATTTGGTTTTTTGTTTTTCGGGTTTTTTTTTTTTTGAGACAGAGTCTTGCTCTGTCACCCAGGCTGGGGTGCAGCAGCGCGATCTCGGCTCACTGCAACCTCCACCTCCCAGGTTCAAGCGATTCTCCCGCCTCAGCCTCCCATGTAGCAGGGATTACAGGCACATGCCACCACACCTGGCTAATTTTTGTATTTTTAGTAGAGACGGGGTTTCACCATGTTGGTCAGGCTGGTCTCAAACTGCTGGCCTCGTGATCCACCTGCCTCAGCCTCCCAAAGTGCTGGGATTACAGGTGTGAGCCACCACGCCTGGCCTCTGCGCATTTGTTTCATTTAACATAATAAAAGAATTAATTTTCCACATTGTTGATAGGCTCCAGAACCAACTTGAATTGTACACTTAAAATTGGCCTATTTTGTATGATGTGTAAGTTACACATCAATAAAGCTGTTAAAAGCAAGGCTCAATGGCTCACTTCTGCAGTCCCAGCGCTTTGCAAGGTAGAGGCGGCAGGATCACTTGAGACCAGGAGTTTAAGACCAGCCTGGGCAACATAGTGCACACTCATCTCTGCCAAAAAAAAAAAGAAAGCCAGGTATGGTGACTCACGCCTGTAATCCCAGCAGTTTGGGAGGCCAAGGCAGGCGGATCACTTGAGGTCAGGAGTTCAAGACCAACCTAGCCAACATGGTGAAACCCTGTCTGTACTAAAAGTTACAAAAATTAGCCGGGTGTGGTGGCACGCACCTGTAATCCCAGCTACTTGGGAGGCTGAAGCAAAAGAATCACTTGAACCAGGGAGGCAGATGTTGCAGTGAGCCGAGGTCGTGCCACTATACTCCAGCCTGGGCAACAGAGGAAGACTCCATCTCAAAAAAAAGAAAAGAAAAGAAAAAAAAATTACCTGGATGTGGTGATGCACAACTGTAGTCCCTGTCGAGGAGGCTGAGATGGGAGGTTTGCTTGAGCCCAGGAGATTAAGGCTGTGGCGATCACACCACTGCCCCCCTGCCTTAGTGACAGACAAAGATCCCCTCTCAAATAAATAGATAAATAGATCTGTTAAAAATAAATATATGTATATTTTTGAGACAGGGTCTCACTCTATCACCCAGGCTGGAGTCCAGTGGTACCATCACAGCTCACTGAAGCCTCCTGCTCCCGGGCTCAAGTGATTCTCCCATCTCAGCCTCCTGAGTAGCGGGGACTACAGGTGTGTGTCACCATACCCAGCTAACTTTTTTTTTTTTTTTTAGTAGAGATGGGTTTTCATTATGTTGCCCAGGTTGGTCTCAAACTCCTGGGCTCAAGCAATCCCCCCACCTTGGCCTCCCAAAGTCCTGGGATTACAGGGGTGAGCCACCCTACCCAGCCAAAAACATAAATAAATAATTTTTTAATATAAGCGGGAGAAAGATGGCCAATGTTAAAGAAAGGCATTGAGAAGAGCTTGGGCTAGCAAAGTGCAGGGCTGGAGCAGAAGGGGGAGGAGAGGAGGCATCTGGGCAGAGTGGAGCCGAGGATCCTCAAGGCAACTGTGGGCAAGGCAGCTGGGATGAGGGGAGGGGCAGGATGCTGGACAGGCACTTTGGCCTTTAAGGAAGGTGACGTGGGGTGTAGAGTGAAAGGGGAGAGCCCCAGCTCAGGGACCAGACTTAGGTTACACATATTAAATCCTGGTTCCTTCCTCTTTCATGGTGAGAGCTTGGGCTAGGACTTTACCTCCTTGAACCTCAGTTTCTCCATCTGTAGGATAGGATCGTAATGGCCCTTCCTTCCAGGGCTATTGGAGGTTCCAGGAGGCCCACAGTGGGCCATCAGGAACGGGAGCCTGATCTCGGTCACTATTCCACAGGGCTTTCCACAGCATTAAGGAAGCTGGTCAAGACAAATAACTGCCTGACTGGCTGGGTGTGGTGGCTCACACCTGTAATCCCAGTACTTTGGGAGGCCGAGGTAGGCAGATCACCTGACGTCAGGAGTTTGAGACCACCCTGGCCAACATGGCGAAACCCTGTCTCTACTAAAAATACAAAAATTAGCCGGGCGTGGTGGCAGGTGCCTGTAATCCCAGCTACTCCGGAGGCTAAGGCAAGAGAATCACTTGAACTCAGGAGGCAGAGGTTGCCATGAGCCAAGATCATGCCACTGCACTCCAGCCTGGGCGACAGAGTGAGAATCTGTCTCTAAATAAATAAATAAATACTGCCTGATCTTGCCAGGCTCACACCTGTAATCCCAGTACTTTGGGAGGCCAAGGTGGGTGAATCGCTTAAGCCCAGGAGTCCAAGACCAGACTGGGCAACATAGTGAAACCCCGTGTCTTCCAAAAATACAAAATTAGCCAGCCGTGGGGGCACACACCTGTGGTCCCAGCTACTCAGGAGGCTGAGGCAGGAGGATCATTTGAGCCTGGGAGGTCCAGGCTGCAGTGAGCCATGATTGTGCCACTGCACTTTAGCCTAGGCAACAGAGTGAAACCCTGTCTCAAAAAATAAAAACATCTGGCCAGGCACAGTGGCTCACACCTGTAACCCCAGCATTTAGGGAGGCTGAGGCAGGTGGATCACCTGAGGTCAGGAGTTCGAGACCAGCCCGGCCAACATGGTGAAACCCCATCTCTAAAATTTGTAATGTTTGTAAAAATACAAAAATTAGCCAGGCGTGGTGGTGCATGCCTGTAATCCCAGCTACTTGGGAGGCTGAGGCAGAAGAATTCCTTGAACCCAGGAGGCGGAGGTTGCAGTGAGCCGAGATTGTGCTGCTGCACTCCAGCCTTGCAACAAGAGCGAGACTCCTCTAAATAAATAAATACATAAATACATAAATAAATACATAAATAAATAAATAAGCCAGGCGTGGTGGCTCACACCTGTAATCCCAGCACTTTGGGAGGCTGAGGCGGCCAGATCACGAGGTCAGGAGTTTGAGACCAGCCTGGCCAACATGGTGAAACCCCATCCCTACTAAAAATACAAAAATTAGCTGGGCGTGGTGGCACATGCGTGTAATCCCAGCTACTCAGGAGGATGAGGCAGGAGAATTGCTTGAACCCAGGAGGCAGAGGTTGCAGTGAGCCGAGATCCCGCCACTGCACTCTAGCCTGGGTGACAGAGCAAGACTCTGTCTCGGAAAATAAAATAAAATAAAATAAAAATAAAAATAAAAAAAGAAAAATTAAAAACCTGCCTTGACGTGTACACGGGGTTGACAGCTCAGAAGGCGCTGTCTCCTCCTCACTTATGCCGTTGGAGCCTTACAACCATCACAGAGAGGAGAGGAGGTGGAATGAGCAACCCATTTTTCAGGTGAGGCAGCACAGACCTGGGTTCGAATCATGGCTCTGTCACTTCCTAACCCATGACTCAGAGTGACTTCCTTAGCGTCTGACCGGCCTCCATGTCCTCGGCTATAAAACCAGGATAACATTAGTGCTCACCTTACTTGTGAATGTCAAGGGGAATACATGCCGTGTGTGGTTTTGTGCTAGAACCAGTATTCAGTCAGGTCTCAGTAAATACCCAGGGTTGGGGAGGGGAGGTGAGGAGGGAGCAGTTCCCGATAGCCAGAGTCGAGGTGAATTCAGATGCTGTTGGTACCCACCCTCTCCCCTCTGCCCCGAAGTTCACCAGTGGCTATAGTAGAAAGTTTCCAGCATGCTGACAGCGTCCTCCCTCTAGCCCCTCTTGTACTTATCATGTTTGTTATTTCCTGTATTTTATGATGCTTTCACATCCTAGGGCCTTGCTAATCCTGGAGAGACTGCTCCTCCCGAGGCTGGCTAATTCCTAGAGCTAGCAAACAACATGCCTGCAAACCTGCCTTTCATGTACAAACAAATACAGAGCCTATGTACCCAAGCATCTCCTTCCTCTAAACTCTCACACCCCAAGCCAGTTGTTCCCCTGCCCGAAATCAATCCAGGGCCATTTCCCAGACAACTAGAGGCCACCCCTACAGCCCAGAGCCTGCCAGAATTCTCAAACTAGCCATCCCAAACTCGCTGAAACGCACCTAGCCTCCCTTGCCCATTCCTTCCCGCAGGAACCACAGTGAAGGCTTTGGACTAGGCTCTGCCCTCACTCCTGCCACCACCTGACCCACCCTGGTGCCTCCCCATGGGGTGTGGGGTCCCTCCTCTAGAAACTGTGAGTAATCAATTCCTTCTGGGCAGTTGTCTCCTTGTCTGCCATCTTGCCATACCCGAAGAAAAGGAAGTCCTGGGCACACTTGAGAACACCTGCAGCTCACTTCTTTTCTGCCTGACACCTTTCCCCAGCACCCAAGAAATTTGCTCTGAGACACATGCAGCCCAGAAGTGCAAGGGAATTGTCTCCACCAAGGGAGGTGGGTGCAGAGGTCTGGATGCCCCATTTCCTGCCAAGGGCTTTCTTTGACAACAAGAAGTAGAGGTGGGCAGTGGTGGGAGCTGGGGTAAATGCCCAGCTCCCTGTCCTTCCAGCATGTTCCACACAATGCCAGGGAGGGCCCAGGCCGAGTGCTGTGCTTGAGATGGCAAAACCCCAACTCTACGGAAAACACACACACAAACTTGGATCAGGCCCCATCTGCTCATGGAGAACTCCCTATCCAACTCCAGCAGCTATCAACACTCCCAGAAAATCCAGTTTCCTACCCAAGTGGAAGAGTGAGGAGGTACTAACTCTGGAAGCTGAAAAAATGGCTTACATTTGTCCCCATTTATTCTCCTTAAGAAATATATTTATAGGCCGGGTGAGGTAGCTCACCCGTAATCCCAGCACTTTGGGAGGCCTAGGTGGGAGGATTGATTGAGACTAGCCTGGAAGACATGGCGAAACCCCATCTCTACAGAAAACACACACACACACACACACACACACACACACACACTAGCCTGGTGTGGTGATGCATGCCTGTGGTCTCAGCTACTCAGGAGGCTGAGGTAGGAGGATGGCTTGAGCCTAGGAGGTCGAAGCTGCCGTGAACCCAGATTGTGCCACTGCACCTCAGCCTGGGGGAAAGTGTGAGACCTTGTCTCAAAAAAAAAAAAAAAAAGAAATGCATTTATAATACCATTTTACTTTTTGTGTGTAATAGTCCTTTATCTAAATTTGTCTGATTAGAGGGAGCCACAGACGACCTAGGAGCTGCCAGCAGGCAGGGGTGCCTGGGAAGGAGGCCTAAAGCACAAGAGGACAAAGGGGGTGTTAAGATCCTGTCGCCTCCTGGCCCCAAAGCTTCCACTGTCCTCTCGAGTGCCAAGTGCTGGCATCAGGCCATCCCCAGTCCGAGACAGCCTCCTCTCTACTCCCCACAACCCAGCCAGGCATGTCCTCTTGAAGCTCAATGCAGACCCAGCCAGACGCGGCTTCCTTTCCATCTTCATACTTTTGCTGCCACTTCCTGAAACACCTCCTCCCCGTCTCCGATCTGGAAATCAAAGAGCCTGGGGAATACAGGCTCAGAGCCCAGGCCTCAGCCTGCTCCGAACCTCAGGATGCCAGCCCAAACCAGCCCACCTGGTGGGGCTGCTGTCAGCGCCACCTGGATCCAGAAGCTCCTGGCTGCATGGAGGAGGCCAGAGGGCCTTGGCTGCCTGGAGCCAGGAGCCACGGGCCGTAAGCCGGGTGCTGAGCTGATCTGCACGCCTCTCAGGCTGGGGAAAGGGCTCGTCTGGGGTCAGTGCAATCCATATCTCATCTGCAGCTCTCCTAGCGGAAGTGATGGCTATTGGAACATGGTAATGGGTGTTGTCTAGTGGAAGAGACTAATCTTCCCGGCTGTGGAGGGCTCTGCAGGTGGCCCACGCGCCAGCAGGCTCCGCTCAGCCGCTCACTGCTGTCACTGCCACCGCTGATGGGGCTATCGAGGCAGTTGTTTTTCTTTTTTTTTTAAGCCCACATCCGGTGACCTATCAAATTGAGGCAAGTTTAAAGCCAGAGCAGCCTGGTGTCACGCTGGTGTCCATCCCAGTCTTCCTGGCACCTTCCTGGCACAAAGCCTCAGAGCTGATCCCGACCCAGTCCTTCCGAGCACAGGTGGGGACACCAAGGCCAGTGACGCCCAAGCCCATGGACTCAACTGGAAGAGGGCCAGGATGAAACGCTAGTCTCCAGACTCCCCAGCCAGCATCACACAGAACACTGACTATGACTAACCCACGGCCAGGGGCCTAACTTGGCCCTTAGGTATGCCAGGGTTTCTATTGGTCGGCTCAATGCTTCTTGAAAAAACCAGAATTCAAATGCCATCGATACACTGGCTACAGTCCTCACCACTCCCTAATGTCTCACACTCAGCCAGCTTTACTCATTTTGTCATCTATCTGATCTTGGATCAGTAAAACTGAGGTCTCCACATAAGGGGGTGAGGAGAAAGGGAACCAGCCTCCTCCCCTGGAGAGTGGGACTCCAGATCTGGTCTCCTTGTCCCAGAGGCCACGGATCCTGGCAGACTGTGTGCCCTGCTGCCCACTGCTGTGAATGATGCTCATTACAAATTTCAGTAAATATTAACTGAGCAGCTGCTGTATGCCAGGCCCCAGGGACTCATCAGCCCAGCTAGCACAAAGTCCTTTATTTTTTATTTCATTTTGAGACAGGTTGTCAATCTGTCACTCAGGCTGGAGCACGTGGCACAATCATAGATCACTGCAGCTTCGAACTCCCAGACTCAAATGATCCTCCTGCCTCAGCCTCCCAAGTAGCCGGGACTACAGGTGTACACCACCATGCCCAGCTAGAAGCCTTTTATTTCAACGGCTTCATGTGCTGCTCCTTTACGGAGCCCTCCCAGCAGTTAGCAGTAAGCACTGACCCTCTCGTGGTGGAATTCCAAACACCTGTTACCCCAAGCAGCTTGGTGTCATGGGAAGTGACTGAACTGACTCTGCCATGAGCTTGCAGAGGGCTCCTCAGGCCAGAACCTTGGGCAGGGCTCGGAACATTTCTGGACCCAGCTTTCTCCAAATGTAAAACAAAAGGCTTGAACTCAATGACCCCTGAAGAAGGTAGGTTCCCTTTCTTTTCAAATGTCCTTTGTAGAATTTGTGCAATTTTGAAAGCCCCTCCGGTATTCTCCTCTGTGAGGCTTCCAGGGGCGGGAGGGGTGGGACCCTGCTGGTAAGACCCCATGGGAGGGCTGGGAGCGGGGCAGGCCATAGAATTTGAGACAAGTGGGCCGGGCACGGTGGCTCACCCCTGTAATCCCAGCACTTTGGGAGGCCGAGGCGGGTGGATCACGAGGTCAGGAGATCGAGACCATCCTGGCTAACATGGTGAAACCCCGTCTCTACTAAAAATACAAAAAATTAGCCGGACATGGTGGCGGGCGCCTGTAGTCTCAGCTACTCGGGAGGCTGAGGCAGGAGAATGGCGTGAACCCGGGAGGTGGAGCTGGCAGTGAGCCGAGATGGCGCCACCGCACTCTAGCCTGGGTGACAGAGCAAGACTCTGTCTCAAAAAAAAAAAAAAAAAAAAAAAGGAATTTGAGACAAGTAGTTCCAGCTCACATCTCAGAGTTCTAGATGGGCTTGGGCATGCCGATACAAAAAGGACTCTGGGCTGTTTTCCTTTGTGACTTTTGAAATGGCGGAGCGGTGTGCGCTAGAAGTGGGTGTTTCTTGATAAATGGGCAGATTCTTAAATCTGGAACCTCTCTGAGTCTGGGGCCTAGGAATCCACCTGTTTCGCAAGCTGCCTGAGTGATTCTGATGCTCACTGAAATTTGAAGAACACAGGCCTGGAGAGATGGAGGCCAATGGCATGCACAGAAGCTGATGCCTGATGACCAGGCTCCAGGGTGGTTCCTAGGATCTGGGTGGGTTGAGTATCTGCGTGTTTAGCCAGGACCAACTGTGCAGATGCTGCCCACTCGGGCCTCCCCCACCCATAAGCCCACATTCACCAGCCTCCCCAGAAAAGACGATCACAGTTGCCACAGCCTCTGAGGGCTCCCTGCAGAGCCACAGGTATTCTGGGGAGCCAAGTGGTCACAAGCCCCAGTTGGAACTCAGGCAGAACCGGAGCGTGCCGATTACTCCATCTCTGAGTCTCAGTTTCCTCATCTGTAAAATGGGCCCAGTAATAGTACTTATCTTACAGGGTTGTCTTGAGGAATATATTATGCACATAAAGATCTTAAAACAGGGCAGACACCAGGTAACTGTTCCACAAATGAGAACTTTTGTCCTATTGCTACTGATTATCACCATTCTGCCCTGACCCCATTGTATTAGTCTGTTTTCACACTGTTATAAAGAAGTACCTGAGACCGGGTAATTTATAAAGAAAAGAGATTTAATTGACTCACAGTTCTGCATGGCTAGGGAGGCCTCAGGAAACTTACAATCACGGCAGAAGGCAAAGAGGAAGAAAGGCGCGTCTTACGTGGTGGCAGGAGTGAGGGAGAGAAGGGGGACTTCCCACACATTTTCAAACCATTAAATCTCGTGAGAACTCACTATCACATGAACAGCATGGGGGAAACCACTCCCCTATCCAATCACCTCCCACTATGTCCACAAATCGAGATGAGATTTGGGTAGGGACACAGAGTCAAACCAAATCTCCCATGCACTGGCTTCCTCCTCCAGCCCCTCCCCCACACCCTGACCCTGGAGTGGTGGCAGGCACCAGTTGTTACTAATCATGACACAACCCCCACCCCCACAGGGCTTGCAAGGACACAGCCAGCCACTCAGTTAAGATGGTAATGAAGCAGCTGTGAAACAAGAGGCCTTTCCATCTGGGATCCCAGCTGACCTGACTCCTGCCTAAGGTTGGGGAATCTGCTGTGTGGATGCTGCCCCCCCGCCCAGCTGTTTATCCCTGGTGTGATGATGGCTCAGGCTCACTGCAGCCTCAGCCTCCTGGGCTCAAGCCATCCTCCCACCTCAGCCTCCCCAGTAGCTGGGATGACCTGTGTGCACCACCACGCATGACTGGTTTGTTTTATTTTTGGTAGAGATGAAGTTTTACCATGTTGCCCAGGCTGGTCTCAAACTCTCTGAGCTCAAGTGATCCTCCCGCCTCAGCCTCCCAAAGGGCTGGGATTAGAGGCGTGAGCCACTGTGCCCAGCTGCAATCACTTATTTATGTCTCTGTTAATCTGCTCGCAGGCCCAGCTCCCGCCTCATTCGCCTCCATGGAGGCAGCCCCCGCCCTTGGGCGCCAATGGTAGGATGGAGTAGGGGGGCTGTGCGTGGCGAGATGGAAGTAGGAGTACAATGCCCCCTTCCCCTTCCTCTGGATGGGAGTGGCGGAGGGCAACACTCTACAGCTGTGGGTGAGATGATGCGGCCCTAGAAAAGCTCTGGGACGAAGTACCAAGGGCTACAATCCTGGCCGCTCCTCCCAGTCACTATGTGACTTGGGAAGGGGCTTGACCCCACCTTGGAGGGACAAGGACATCTGATTCATTCAGAAATTGTTGATTACACTTGCCCTTTGTGTTCAGCACTATTCGAGGTGCTGGGGATATGGAGATGAAGGAAACAAACCAGCTCCTGGGTGTGCTGGGGGAGGGAGCATCTGGAGAGGGGAGTCAGGGGTCCTCCCAGGAGGGAGAGCGAGAGCAGCCATGTGAAAAGTGCAGGGAAGGGCATTCCAGGCAGAAGGAACAGCATGTGCAAAGGCCAGAGGGTCAAGGAACCAAAAGGAGTTGAGAGTTGGCTCAGGAGAGAGAGAAGAATAAGGGGCTAGAGAGGCGGGCAGGGCATGGGCATGCGGTTGATTCTAAGAGCACTGGGAAGCCGTGGGTGCCTGAAGTGATCGAGAAAAGCCAGGTCAAATGGCAGCCAGGGAACTCCAGGACCCAGGAGTCCTGCTGTCAGAGATCCCAGGCCCCTCAGCCCCACCCTCCCTAACCTCGTAGGCCTGGGGCTCAGTGAGGTTCATGGCCCCGCTCCTGGGAGCAGCTGACCCTGTGCACCCTGGTGAGCCCCTGAGGGGAAGCTGCTCACCAGGGATTGGGGTCCCCACTCCTTCCGAGCCCTCTCAACAAGGCGGCTTTGTCTGGCAGCCCCAAGGACCCCCACGCTCCTCCCCAGGCCCCCTACTCTGAGCTCTGAAAGGAGGCTTTATCTGCATCCCAGGCCAGACTGCTGGGAAGTGAGTGGCCGGGACTGGCACATGGGGCCAGGCAGCAGCCGCAGCCCTGACTCCTGGGGCTGCAGACACAGAGAGAGCCAAGGACAAAAGGGTGCCCTGGGGAATCAGCCCGGCCCCAGAGGAAGACAAGAGGACTACACAGGCTCCCCTGCGCCCCATCCCCTCCCCCGCAATCTGGTCACTTGATCGCAGTGGTCAGTGACACGGCCCTTTGTGCAGCCCCTGCCTCAGGGGAGAAGGAGGCAGGTAAGGCAGCGCTGCTTGTAATCGGACCTCCCGGGGCCTGCTTCCCGTTCCCTTTCTCTGGTCCTGGGAAGCTTTGGGAGGGTGGGAACGGTTTGTCAAGGACGGTACCTTTCCAAATGAAAAGGAGCTTCAGGAAAGATCGATGCCCTAAGCCATCACTGGGCCAACTGGAGAGAATGAGAAGCAGAAAGAAGAAAGGCCAGAAAGGCTGATATTTCTGAGCCACCTCTTCCTGGGTGCGTGGAAGATGGTACCTCTCAGCCGGGTTTCTGCCACCCTGCTTAGCCCTGGTTAATGTGGATAATGGCAACAATGATGTATTCCAAGTGCCTCTATGGAGATTACCTCTACCATCCACAATGACCCTCTGTGGCAAGGAGCAGCAGCCCCATTTTACAGGGACAGGTACAGAGGCCCAGAGAGACTAAACCACCTGCCCAAAGCCACACGAGAGGCCCAGCCAGGATTCAAACCCAGGAACGTCTGATGCCAGAGCCCAGGCCTTGAACCTTGTGCCTCCCAGCTTGGCTGGGTCCACCCATCTGCCAATGCTGTGTCCAGAAGCCCCACGTCAGCTCTGTCCTGGCTGTGGACATCCTGGATGTAAGACGTGGGAGGAACCCCAGCCATCACCTCTACAAGAAAACTTAAAAATTAGGCTAGGTGCAGTGGCTCACGCCTGTAATCGCAGCACTTTGAGAGGCAGGCAGATCACCTGAGGTTAGGAGTCCAAAACCAGACCGGCCAACGTGGCAAAACCCCGTCTCTACGAAAAGTAAAAAACAAACAAACAAACAAACAAACAAAAAACTTAGCCAGACATGGTGGCGTGCAACTGTAGTCCCAGCTACTTAGGAGGCTGAGGCAGGAGGATCACTAGAAACAGGGAGGCAGAGGTTGCAGTGAGCTGAGATTGTTCCATTGCACTCTAGCCTGGGCAACAGAGCAAGACTCCATCTAAAAAAAAAAAAAAATTAAAAAATGAGCCAGGCGTGGTGGCACACACCTGCAGTACCAGGTACTCAGGAGGCTTAGGTGGGAGGATCGCTTGAGCACAGAAGGTTGAGGCTGCAGTGAGCTGTGTTCTCACCACTGTACTCCAGCCTGGGTGACAGAGCGAGCGTCTCTCAAAAAATAAAAAGGTAGTTTACTAACATGACTGAACTGTACACTGAAAGATGGTTAAGGTAAATTTTATGTTATGCATATTTTGCCACAATTTAAATTTTTAAATGTTCAAACATAAAGAAAGAAGTGAGTCTAGCCAGTATCCAAGAGGCACTAAACCAAGTGACACCAGCCCAAGTCTCTCTGATGCAGTGAGAATTTGTGGGATGGAATGGAAGAGAACGAAAAGGAGGATACGTTTAGGCCGGGCGCAGTGGCTCATACCTGTAATCCCAGTAATTTGGGAAGCCGAGGTGGGTGGATCACCTGAGGTCAGGCGTTCGAGACCAGCCTGGCCAACATGGTGAAACCCCTTCTCTACTAAAAATATAAAATATTAGCCGGGCATGGTGGTGGGTGTAGTCCCAGCAACTCAGGAGGCTGAGGCAGGAGAATTGCTTGAACCCAGGAGGCGGAGGTTGCAGTGAGCTGAGATCGTGCCATTGCACTCCAGCCTGGGCAAGAAGAGTGAAACCCTGTCTCAAAAAAAAAAAAAGAGAAAGAGGATACATTTATCACAGCGGGTGCAATGTTCAGCCCAAATCATCTTTTGGGCCACCAGTCATGCCTGTTGTATTTGGGAAATGCCAATCATTGCACAAATGGGGAGACTGAGGCCCATAGAGAAGGGCACACCCTGATGAAGGGCCAGTCATAGTCACGACCAGGCTGGAATCTGCAGCCACCAGCCTCTGGATGTGCCTCACCCCAGGGGTCACAAGAGGCCCAGCAAGGAGTTAATGCCACTGGGAGGACAGTGAGGCGCCCCCTGGATCTTGCCCCCCAACTCCAGGAAAGAGGGTAAAGGTGAAGGAAGAAATGGCTGGTTGCCTCCACACTGTGTGCCCTCAGCCCATCTGGGTTGGGCACCAGGGACTGGGCAGGTGTACAGACTTTACTTCCTGCAGACCCCAGGAGGGCTGTGGCATCGGGAGGGAGACTGAGGCTGCCTGGCCGAGGGGAAGTGGGATGGTGACAGTGGCCGCGTTGACGGCTCGGCCCCAGGCGCTGCGCCTGAGCTCGTCTCAGCCAAACGTCTAACACTCATAGAGACACAGGCTGGGAAACCAGAGCTCAGAGAGAAGTCACTTGCAAGTCAGGGGCAGAGATGGGATTCGAACCCAGATCTGTGACTCCGGGCCCTGCGGGCAAGTGCCTAGGAAGATGGTGGGGGCCCGTGAGGAATCATCGCAACCAAACCAGCTTCCCTTCTGGCCCCGCACTGAAGCCATGTGAGCTTTCTGGAACACAATTGCATGTTATTCCTCCCTCTCTTGCCTGAGCTGAAAGCTTCCTGGGGCTCTTTAAAGTGTGACGCTGGTCCCTGGCCACCTCTGGAGCCCTGTCCCCACCTGTCTGGACTCCCTTTGGATTTTGTCCCTCAGCTAGACTGACCCATTTGCAGTCCCTCAAAAGCTCTGCCACCTGCAAACCGGGCCACCTGGGCCCAGGCTGAGCCCAGTCTTCCCCACCATCAAAGTCTGCACCCGCAAGGACAGAACATGCAGCGCGTACGGTGCACACTGTAAAGTGCGGTGCCCCCGCTACATGACGACAAGGGAGAGCAGATCAAACCCAGCCTGGCTGCAGCTGGCGAACGCTAAGAATCCAGCCGCTCAGACCGTGGTCTCTCACTTCCCTGGCATGCCCTTCACTGCCTCCTCCCGCCCCGTCCTCACTGTCCCCACTGTCCCCAGGGGAGGCAGGTCCACCCTCAGATTTACCAGGGCATGTTAAGACACAGTTTGAAGCCATCTCCGAGGTCATGAGGTCATGGCAGTTTCCCATCGATCTATTTGTCCCTCCCTTGCCTGACGCCCTTTGCCCCCATGGGCCCCCAGAGCCATATCAAACTTCAGCAGTTTCTCCCAAGGTCCAAGGAGCCAAAACACAGGGCAGGGCCTTAAAACACAGCCAGCGGGCGATTTACCAGCTGGGCTGCCCAACCCCTGACCTCCGGAGGAGATGTAATGCATCTCCCTGGTTTAGCCGGATCAATGGTGCTGTGAAAAACAGCCCCATGTGGGCCAGTTGGGACAGGAGGGAGACACCCCTGCCGCCAGAAATCCCACCCGGACAGCCGCGGAGTCAGCCTCCGTGCACACGCACGGCCCCAGGACCTCGCTGGGCTCGCCGACTGTCTCAGGCAGGAGCTGGGATTGCTGAGACCAGCCCCTAGAATTCGGATGGGGAAACTGAGGCTGGGGGGCTTCTCAAGGTCACAGAGTAAGTTCAAGGAAGCCTCCAGTTTCCCCAGGGGGAACTCTCCCTGCTCAGCTTCGGCCTTCTCCTGTGGGCGAAGGTGGCAGTGGCCAGCCAGTCTGGTGGGGCAGTCGTGGTATTGGGGGTATCATAGGTCCCTGGAAGGCCAAGCTTGGCTGTCCCACAGCCTCTGGGCAGGACCAGTGGACCCAGTGTGCCTCCAAGGTGGGACTTCCTGCCTTTGACTCTGTGTGGGGCAGAAACTCCACCTTCAACAGAGTGTCCTGCCTGAGTCACAACATCCCAACGAGGGCAGAGGCCAGAGGCAGCAAGCCACCCCATGCTGGGACCCCCTTGCTCCCCAGAAAGCACAGTAGCCCATATTTAGGGAGGAAGGTTAACAAGAGCAGGAGGGCTCTGCTTCCAAATTCTCCTCGGTCCTCGTGTGACCCTCTACCCCTAGCCTGAGCCAGCAGGAAGAGCAGGCGGCTCTACAGCCTCCCGCCTTCAAGCAGGGGCCATAGACCCACAGGGGCCCCTGGGAGCTCACTAGAAAGGCAGAATCTGGGCCCCTTTGCTCCAGACCTACTGACCACAGTCTGCATTTTAACAGCTGATACATGCGCGCGCCAAGGCTGAGAGTGCTGGTGTTTAGAACCTCCCGGAGTGAAATGAGAAGGGGCGAGTGTGCATGTGTGTGTTAAGATCTTTACCCTAAAGAAAGGGCCTGAGATGAGGAGGGAAGGTGGGAAGGGAGTTAGGTAAAAAGGAAGGTAGAATGGAAGGGAGGAAAAAAAAGATACCCTCCAGATGTCCAAAAAGTATCTGAAGTAACTTCATTCACCTCCCATTCCTTCACTGCATATTTATTGAGCATCAGAGACATGCTAAGCACTGAGCTGAGCGCTGGGGTAGAGCAGCGAGCAAAATGGGCGAGACCTCAGCCCCATGCGCCCCACCACCCCACAGCTTACGGTCTCAAGCTGTGCTGTCCGGAACAGTAGCCCCACCACGTGTGAGCGCGTGAACTGTGGCCGGTCCCCATTGAGATGCGCTGTGAGTGTTAAATACACACTGGATTTCAAAGACAGTGCAAACTGGCCAGGCGCAGTGGCTCACACCAGTAATCCCAACACTTTGGGAGGCCGAGGCAGGAGGATTTCCTAAGCTCAGAAGTTTCAGACCAGCCTGAGCAACATGGCAAAACTCTGCCTCTACAAAAATACAAACATCAGCCCGGCCTGTACTCCCAGCTACTCGGGAGGCTGAGGTGAGAGGATCACGTGAGCCCAGGAGGTCGAGGCTGCAGTGAGCTATGATCACACTGCCACTGCACTCCAGCCTGGGTAACAGAGCAAGACCCTGTCTCAAAAAACAGTGCAAGCAAAAGAATGTAAAATATCTCAATTTTAAAAATATTCACTACATGCCGACATGATCATACTGTGAATATATTGCATTAAACAAATTCACGTATTTCTTTTTTTTTTAATGCAGCTACTAGAAAACTTTCAATTATGAGGCTTACATTTCTGTTGTACAACACTGCTCTAGAGGATGAGACAGAAAACAAACTAATAAGCAAACAAAAAGTTACAAGCAAACAAAAATGTAAGAAGATTACATGTGATGAAAAGCCCTGGGAAGGAAACCAGCAGGATGAGATGCAGGACTGGAGATGAGGAGCGAGGTCTCTTCAAATAAAGACATATGAGCTGGCACAGTGGCTCACACCTGTAATCCCAGCACTTTGGGAGGCTGAGGCGGGGGGATCACTTGAGCCCAGAAGTTTGAGACTAACCTGGGCAAATGGCGAGACCCCATCTCTACAAAAAATTTAAAAATTATCCAGGTGTGGTGGCATGCACCTGTAGTCCCAGTTACTTAGGAGGCTGAAGTGGAAGGATCACTTTAGCCTGGGTGTAAGTTACATATAGTCAACTGCACAAATCTGAACTGCACCTCAGGAGTGTTCCATGCCGCTCCCAGTCACTATGGCTGTGGTGGTGCATTAGCTACCTATTGCTTCAAACAACACACGTTGATCATCTCACAGTGGCTGTGGCTCGGGAGTCTGGGCACAGTTGAATGGGTCTTGTCTTCAGGGTCTCATCAGGCTGCAGTCAACAGACACACACACGCACATACGCACACTCCCCACTTCTCATTTCACTCCGGGAGGTTCTAAACACCAGCACTCCCAACCTTGGCATGCACATGGATCAGCTGTTGAAATGCAGTCAAGGTGTCAGCCGGGCTGCATCTTCTTTCAGAGCTCAGGTCGTCTTCCAAGGTCTTGCATTGGTCGGCAGAATTCAGTTCCTTGCACCAGTAGAACTGAGCTCCCTGTTTTCTGGCTGGCTGTCAGCCAGTGGCCCCCTGGTGCCACGTGGCCATCTCTAAGGCAGTTCACACCATAGAAGCTTGCTTCTGCAAGTCTCTCTTCAGCTTTTTTTGTTTGTTTCATTTTCTTTGAGATGGAGTCTCGCTCTGTCACCCAGGCTGGAGTGCAGTGGCGTGATCTCAGCTCACTGCAATCTTAGTCTCCAGGGCTCAAGGGATCCTCCCACCTCAGCCTCCCAAGTAGCTGGGATTACAGGCATGCACCACCACGCCAGACTAATTTTTGTATTTTGGTAGAGATGGGGTTTCGCCATGTTGTCCAGGCTGGTCTCAAACTCCTGGACTCAAGTGATTCACCCACCTCAGCCTCCCAAAGTGCTGGGATTACAGGCGTGAGCCACTGGGCCCAGACTTAAGGTTTTACCTAATTAAGTCCAGCCTAACCCTTTCAATGAACTCAAAATGAACTGCCTTGAGATCTAAATTACACCTGCAAAACTCCTTCAGCTTTATCATCTCAGCCAAAAGCACATCCCTAGTCCCACCCACAGTCAAAAGGAGGGGTTACAAAGAGTGTACATACCAAAGGTTAAAAATCAGTGGGAGTCAGCCAGGGATGGTGGCTCATGCCTACAGTCCTAGCTACTTGGGAGGCTGAGGCGGGAGGATCTCTTGAGCCCAGGAGTTCAAGACCAGCCTGGGCAACATAGCAAGACTCCATTCTTTTAAACAAAAATTACAGGGGTCACTTTAGGGTCTGTCTGCCACAAATGGTAATGACAATTCTAACCTCTTCAACCCCAATTAAAAATTAATCATTTACTAAAAACTTACGAATTCATTAATTAATTGTGTCAGACTCCTTTTATCTTTTTTCTTTTTTCTTTTTTTTTTTTTGAGATGGAGTCTCGCTCTGTCACCCAGGCTGGAGTGCTGTGGTGCGATCTCAGCTCACTGCAACCTCTGCCTCCCGGGTTCAAGCGATTCTTCTGCCTCAGCCTCCTGAGTATCTGGGATTACAGGCACAGCCACCATGCCCGGCTAATTTTTGTATTTTTGGTAAAGATGGGGTTTTACCATGTTGACCAGGCTAGTCTCAAACTCCTGATCTCAAATGACCCGCCCGCCTAGGCCTCCCAAAGTGCTGGGATCACAGGCATGAGCCGCCGCGCCCGGCCTGCATCATATTTCATTATGGGAATGCACCACGATTTATTTCACAACTTCTGTTGACAGATATTTGGGTTGCTCCCAGTTTCTGGCTATTGAAATAGAGCTGCTAGCACGTGGGATTCTGGATCAGATTTTAGACAATCCAAAGACATTAATGAAAAAACTGATGAAATCAAAGTCTGTAGTTTAATTAGTAATATTGCACCCATGTTAATTTCTTAGTTTTGACAAATGGGCCATGGTTATAGAAGATGTTAACTGTAGAAGAAAGTGAATGATGAGTATACAGGGGCTCTCGGCACTATCCTTGCAACTTTTCTATAAAGCTAAAATTATTCTGGGCCCAGGCGTGGTGGCTCACATCTGTAATCCCAGCACTTTAGGAGCCAAGGTTGGAAGATCACTTGAGGCCAGGAGTTCAAGGCCAGCTTGGTCAACAGAGGGAGACCCTGTCTGTACAGAACAAATAATAATAAAAATAATTCCAAAATAAAAATTTTTATAAAAATAAGTAAATAAAGCTAATAGCAAACATCTGCTACAGGCCACGGAGGAGTAGTGGGTATACAACTAGCCCTTGATGGAATCTATGAGGCTACTCTGTTCGGTGCAAGACCATAGATTCAGACTGTGCAAGACCACAATCCCTGAGAGAAGGGAAACCCATGAAGTGAGCCCCACAATCACCAGATCTCTGCCTGGGGCCAATTTCCCAGCCACAGACCAGAGAGCAGGGATCCAAGCTGCAGTCATCCTGCTGAGCTGGGAGGCAGAGATAAGGACACGGAGCTACTGAGGCCGCAGGGTCTGCAGGGCTGGAGGAAAGGATGATGCCAGGGCTGGGTTTCTTTTTTTTTTTCCTTTCTTTCTTTCTTTCTTTCTTTTTTTTTTTTTTTTTTTTGAGACAGAGTTTCGCTCTTGTTGCCCAGGCTGGAGTGCAATGGCGCGATCTCGGCTCACCGTAACCTCCACCTCCAGGATACAAGCAATTCTCCTGCCTCAGCCTCCCGAGTAGCTGGGATTACAGGTATGTGCCACCACATTCAGCTAATTTTGTAATTTTTAATAAAGACGGGGCTTCTCCATGCTAGTCAAGCTGGTCTCGAACTCCCAACCTCAGGTGATCCACCCACCTCGGCCTCCTAACGTGCTAGGATTACAGATGTGAGCCACCATACCTGGATCTTTTTTTTTTTTTTTTTTTTTTTTTTTTTTGAGACAGAGTCTTGCTCTGTCACCCAGGCTGGAATGCAGTGGCACCATCCCAGCTCACTGCAACCTCCGCCTCCCAGGTTCAGGCGATTCTCCTGCCTCAGCCTCCCAAGAAGCTGGGACTATAGGCATGTGCCAAACCTGGCTAATTTTTGGATTTTTAGTAGAGATAGGGTTTTGTTATGCTGGCCAGTCTGGATTCAAACGCCTGAGCTCAGGCAATCCGCCCACCTTGGCCTACCAAAGTGGTAGGATTACAGGCATGAGCCAGCATGCCCAGCCTCAGGCTGGGTTTCTAAGCAAGTCTTTGACTATGGCCTGGGGGGCACACACTCAGGACAAGACGACTTGAGGCTTTCCAGAGAGCAGCTGCTGTGAGTGCAGTGTGGGACCAGATCCTTGAAGACCCCCTGGGGGAAAAGAGGCGGGATGGCAGAGGAAAGGGTGGGAGCGGATCACACAGGTCCCTGAGGGCTGAGAGGAGGGTTTGGCTTTTGCTCCAAGCAAAGTGAAGACACCAAATGGTTTGGGCAGAGGAGTGCCCTGCCCTGCCATTGATAAAGGGCCCCGCTGGCTGCTGAGTGAAGAGCCTGTTAGATCTGTGGTGGGGGCTCGGGTCAGAGCCGAGGGTGGAGGTGGCTGTCAGTGTCAGAGCGGAAGCCACTCCAAAGGTGGAGCCCATCAACTGGACCTGGGGGTGGGAGGAAGACAGGAGCCAGGAGGGCTCCAAAGTTCTGGCCTGTTGATTTCCGAGACACTTGGCTTTTCCTTTTTTCTCCTTTTG
This sequence comes from Homo sapiens, assembly GCF_000001405.40. Classification (NCBI taxonomy): domain Eukaryota; kingdom Metazoa; phylum Chordata; class Mammalia; order Primates; family Hominidae; genus Homo; species Homo sapiens. The sequence continues at coordinate 130,533,099 of NC_000009.12, forward strand.
AAAACCAGTTAATAGACGCTTGGCTTTTTCTTACAGCAGGTGTGCATTACCATTGCAATGAGAAAACCCCAAAAAGACATACCTTTTACTGGAGGGGGAGAAGGCATTCTCCATGTTGAAAGCATTCTCCACTCCTTTCCCGAGGGGAGCCATGAAGGAGACACGCGTCTTTCCCAGGTGCCCCCCATTGCCCAGTGGTCTGCCCCGTCTGCTGCACAAGGTTTGTCTCTGTCTCTTGCTCCTTCTTCCCGCTATGTGTGTCCCTCCTGTCCTCCAGCCCCTGAACAGGTGCTGCAGGGATGGACAATGGGGAAGAGCCAGCACTGGGGCTGGGTGGGGGTGGATGAGGGGTGCAAGAAGTTCAATGAAAGACTTGCCTTTGGTTAAAACAAATTTTTTTTTTTAAAAGAGCATCTTTCTCCCCTATCCGAGCAAGGATGGCCTTTGGGACCACCAATGCTTGTGACTACGACTTGCAGAACAGAGACCTCTCTTGGTCTCACTCCTGCGCCCAGCCTCTTGTGGCCTCACTGGCCCTGGCTGTGGTCCCTCCTGCCCCTCAGGGGTCCCTTCCCACCTCAGAACCTTCCTTTTTTTTTTTTAGACGGAGTCTTGCTCTGTCGCCCAGGCTGGAATGCAGTGGCGCCATCTCGGCTTACAGCAACCTCCACTTCCCGGGTTCAAGAGATTCTCCTGCCTCACCCTCCTGAGTACCTGGGATTACAGGCGTGTGCCACCATACACCGCTAATTTTTTTTTCATATTTTTAGTAGAAACAGGGTGGCCGGGTGCGGTGGCTCAAGCCTGTAATCCCAATACTTTGGGAGGCCGAGGCAGGCAGATCACGAGGTCAAGAGATTGAGACCATCCTGGCCAACATGGTGAAACCCCGTCTCTACTAAAAATACAAAAATTAACTGGGCGTGAAGGCGCGCGCCTGTAGTCCCAGCTACTTGGGAAGCTCAGGGAGGAGAATCACTTGAACCCAGGAGGCAGAGGCTTCAGTGAGCCGAGATCGCGCCACTGCACTCCAGCCTGGCAACAGAGCGAGACTCCACTCCGTCTCAAAAAAAAAAAAAAAAAGAAAAAGAAACAGAGTTTCATCATATTGTCCAAACTGGTCTCAAACTCCTGACCTCAAGTGATCTGCTCACTCGGCCTCCAAAAGTGCTGGGATTACAGGTGAGAGCCATTGCCTGGATGTCCCAGAACCTTCTCCCTGTTCTGTTACCCAGACTCCTCCTTTCCCTCTCTCTCTGCCCACCTGGGGCTCGGCCTCCTTCAGGGCTCAGTGTTCCGGGGCCCCTCATCCCCCTCCCCCAACAGTCTCCCCACCCATAGGGTCTCTGCCTCCAGGAGACCTCCAGACCTTCCAGCCAGCGTGAGGCCTGTTACAGGCTTGTGTGACTTCCCCTCAGAGCAGTGTCAAGGCTGTAATGAATGATGATTTCTGGGATTTTTCATTCACTGTCTATCCCCCGTGCTAACCTGGGAGCTTCTCGTTCACCTCAGTATTCTCAGCCCCTAGCAGAAGACCTAACCCATAACTGATGCTCAAAAGATACTTATTAAATCAAATGATATATAACTCAGACAGAGATGAGTACATCTGAACAAGTGGCGCCCAGGAGCTAGCACGCAGAATGGGCTTTGAAAGTGGATACAATTTCACTAAGTGAAGATGGAAGAATGGAGGTTTCCAGGGGGGAGAGCTCACCATGAACGAAGAAAGGGAAGCAGGAAAGTGTGTGTCAACTTCAGTGCCCGGAAGTGCATGCACAGCAAAAAACAAATATTTTTAACCTTTTTACAAAAAATACTGGGAGTCTCTCTCAACCTATTCTGGTCTGGGGGCTGCCCAATTCATGAATCACCAGAATAAGTAAATAAATGTATAAATAAAATACTTATGGCAGGGTGTGGTGGCTCACACCTGTAATCCCAGCACTTTGAGAGGCCGAGGCAGACAGATCACTTGAGGTCAGGAGTTTGAGACCAGCCTAGCTAACATGGGGAAACCCTATCTCTACTAAAAATACAAAACTTAGCTGGGTGGGGTGGCACATGTCTGTTATCTCAGCTACTCAGGAGGCTGAGGCAGGAGAATCACTTGAACCTGGGAGGTGAGGCCGCAGTGAGCCCAGATCATGCCACTGCATTCCAGCCTGGGCAACAGAGTGAGACTCTGTCTCAAAAAAAAAAAAAAAAAAAAAAAGACAAAAACTTACCAAACGAATGACTATTTGGAAGGGTGGATGGACGGACAAGCAGATGGGCAACAGGTTAAAGCAAAGCTCCTCCTTTTAAGGAAACAGAAACCGAGGGCTGGAGAGAAAGGGGGCTCCTGAAGATGACTGCGTTGCATTGAGGCAAAAGGAAAGCCGTTGTACCTTCAGACCATCTCTCGCCATCCACCCTGCGTGACCATTGCCTACGCCAGTCTTCCCTCCTCCCAGGACCCCTGCCCCCCACCCCCAGCATCCTCTCCAGTGCCCCCTCAAAGGTAGCTACTTTCCTGCTCATTACTTTTTACCAAACCTGGAGCCGAAGCCCTGAGTGAGCAGCTGGAGGCGGGGATGGGCCCTTTGTCCAAGCCTCAGCCCGAGGGTGGGGGTGGGGAATGAAGCTGGGGGGCTCCGTCCTCCCCGCTCTCTCTGCCATCTCCCTCGCTGACTTTTGTCCTTGGATCGCCTGCGTGATCAGAAGAGGTTTCATTCTCTGGCAACTGTGCAGCCATTAGCGAGAGGCAGACGCATTACCCTCTCACCGCACAATCGTTGGCTACTTCAGTTATTCTATTTCACCTGAAGACTTTATTTGCAGCCGAGCCTCCCCTCCGGAGCAGGGCAGGCCCCATCTGTCGGACAGTTTGCTCCAGCGTCTCCGGCCATTATGCCTCCACTTGGAGGACGGGATGGATGGCATGCGTGCAAGGGAGCAGGGGAGAGAGCGAGCTGGGGAGAGAGCGTGCGTGTCTGCCTGCCTGCACTCCCTCCCACTTGTCTCTTTATCATTCTCCCAGGGCCGAACAGAACTTGCTTTGAAGAGTGATGTCAGACGTGTACAAAACAGAGCGATAAAACCTAATGCACTCGCGCCCCTTTGTCTGCCTGATTCTCCTCCCGAACATTTCCCACTCAGAAAGCCACTTAAAACACATCAGCAGTAACTCCACAAAACAGCCACTTGTTGGCTAATTGAGCTAAGCAGCTGCCAGCAGGGCTAGGGGAGGGGTGGGGAAGGAAGCTGGAGGCCCCTCCACTCCCCCAGCCAGAGCCTGGCTCCTGGGGAGGGTGCCCGGCCCAGCCATTGCCTCCCTCCCGTACCTCTGCACCGCAAGGCTCTGCAAGGAGAGAAGACGCAGCTCTGCTCACTGGGTGGAGGGCGGGGAGGCAAGGAACTCGCGCCTGGGGGGCCGGGTTGGGGAGCCAGGTGGGCAGGATTCTCTGCCAGCTCCCTGGGAGTCACTGGCCATCTCTGGGCCTCAGTTTCCCCACCCACCCCATAAGCGGGTTGGACTGTGGCTTCTGGGGTCTCTTCCAGTTCCCAAAGGCTGCCTGTTGTTACGCACTGGGAGCTTCCGACAGACCTGGGTTCAAATCCCAGCTCTGCCTTTTGACCTGTAGCCTCAGGCTCTCTGAGTGTGTTTCCTCATCAGGAAAACGAGATACCAGCAGCGCCTGTCATGATTAGCACAAGGTGAGGTGGTGCCTGGTTAGTCCTTGGAGCCAGTCAGCACAAGACAGGGTTGCTGGGGCTCATAACAGGGCAGCCCCTGGCCCAGACTTGGAAACTAGGGTGAGCTAAGCTGAGATCAGAAAGATAAGAACCTCACCAGACTAGGGTGTGGGCACAGGCAGGGGCCAGTGAACAGCATATGTAAGAGTCCTGAGGCAGAGCTGAATTGGAGGACCAGAAAGAAGGCCAGCGTGAGTGGAGTCCCAAGGGAGGAGACAGAGAAGTGGCCAGGGCCAGGTGAGAAGGACCCAGTAGACTGTGGTAAGGAGCTTGGCTTTATCCTGAGGGCATAGGGAGCCATGGAGGGAGGGGAGCAGCCAGGTACCTTTTTTAAAGACCCTTCCTGGTTTTAGATGGAGAAGAAGCTGGTGGTCAGGGTTCAAGAGCAGAAAAGACACTCTTCCTACCCTGTTCCAACAGCCCAGCCTGGATGGCAAAAGCGACAGACCCTCCCTCAGAGGGACAAGGATGAGACGGCCGAACCAGTGCTCCTGCCCGGGCTCCACAGGCCCCTTTCCTCGCTGGCCCCACTGGAGAGGCAGGGGTTAAGCTCCATGGCCTGTCCCCTCTGTCACACATGTACCCTGCCATCTCTGGGCTCAACTGTCGCTGCGCTGTATCGGGACTCCATCAGAGAGGCTCAGGCAGCAGCTTGCAGTGTTCAGGCCGGCGGTCTCGAGGGTGGCGAGTTCTTGCACTCCTACAACAGCGCTTGAGGACGGCTCTGTCCGCTGGCCTATGCTGCAGCCTCCTCCTGCCCCTGCGGCAGAGGAGGGAGAGCCGTGGGCACAGCTAGCACTAGCACGTGTGGGTTCAGAGGTCTGAGCGGCCACTTCCCGCTTCCAGACCTCGGATGCGACGCTCATCTGCACGGTGTGGGCAGAGATAACATCCTCCCCAGAACAGCATGGAAATGTTTCAGCAGGGTGCTCGGCTTAGATAAGTGCTCGGCAAACCAGAGTTGCCATCATGATTCCCCCACGGCCCTCAATCCTCTCCTCCCTGCAAAGCGTGCATCCTTTTTTACCCCATCTTCCACCCCTCCCAATTTCCCTTTTGGCCTCATCTTGGAGGCTGTAAGTCAGGGTGAATCATTCATCAAAATATCTCACTCTTCCTCTTCCAGGGTTCCTGATATAATTACCTCCCTCTTCGGTTTTGCTCCTGATCCCTCTTCTGTTTTTTTCTGTGTGAACTTTATTTTAACCATCCTTTGTGTCTGTGAATGTTTTTTTTTTTTTTAAATCTTGCCAATGAAAATAACTTAATTGCTTTTTCTGGTTTTTAAAGTAACACACGCTCATTACCAAAAACATCCAGACAACGCAGAAAGGTAGAACGAGGGGAAAAACAGTGAGGTTGTTTTTAAGCAGCCTGCAGTAGTTTGTAGCAGGGTTGGGATAAGGAGGCCCCCTCTTTATAAAACTGGGGTGCTCCCCACCTGCCCCCAGCCCTCAGCCACCAACATCTTGCCCACTGCCTAAATGCCAGCTCAGGTTCTTGCTCCCCCAATAGGCTTCCTAGACTCCCACAGCCCAGGGCGATCTTTCTGTCCACTGACTTCAATTCTTTTCATTTCTTTTTCCTTTCTTTCTTTCCTTTTTGTACAATGGCTTGCAATCATGGCTCACTGCAGCCTCGACCTCACGGGCTCAAGCAATCTTGATCCTCCCACCTTAGCCTCCTGAGTAGCTAGAACGAAAGGTGTGTGCCACCATGCCTGGCTAATTTTTGTATTTTTTTGTGGAGACAGGGTTTTGCCATGTTACTTGGGCTGGTCTCAAACTCCTGAGCTCAAGCGATCCACCTGCCTCGGCCTCTCAAAGTGCTGACAGGCATGAACCACCATGCCCAGCAATCCTTTTCATTTCAACAAACATTTATTGAGCCTCTACTTTGAGCCAAGACACAGGATCTGGCCATCTGGATTCATCCCCTTCTGCCTGCGTTTCATTGGTTTTTCGTTATTTTTCTGCCTGGTGTGTAGACTCCTGCTCCCCCGCCTGGACTGTAAGGTCCCCACGGGCAGACCTACAGCTCTGTTTTTGTATCCCCATCCCTAGCACATATTGTTCCTGAGAGGGACCTCGCAGCTGCCTACAGGGAGGGCAGGTGCTGTGGATTGCATGTGCTGGACACCACGCCAAGCCTCTGGCACCAATGATCTTGTGTGATCCTCACCTTGACGACGGGAGGTGGGTGTTGTTATTAGCTTGACTTTTCAGGTACAGAAACTGAGTTTATACACAATTGCCCAAGGAACCACGATGGGTGAGCTGAGAGTCAAGAATTGAACCTGAGTCTCTGAGACCGAGGCTTGAGTTCTGAGCTGCTACAGGGGATTGCTTCCTTGTACAGCTCAGTAGTGGCACAGGGCGGGGGACAAATGCTCTCAGCAAGGAATGCCTGGGACAGGAAGGACAGTGTCATCGTCCTGGGCTGATGCTTGACCATGTTACTTTCTTTTTTTTTTTTTTTTTTTTTGAGACAGAGTCTCTCTCTGTCACCCAGGCTGGAGTGCAGTGACACGGTCTCGGCTCACTGCAATCTCTGCCTCCTGAGTTCAAGCGATTCTCCTGCCTCAGCCTCCCAAGTAGCTGGGATTACAGGTGCCCATCGCTACGCCCAGCTAATTTTTGTATTTTTAGTAGAGATGGAGTTTCACCATCATGGCCAGGCTGGTCTCAAACTCCTGACCTCAGGTGATCCACCCGCTTCAGCCTCCCAAAGTGCTGGGATTACAGGCATGAGTCACCGTGCCCGGCCTCTGCCAAGTTTTTTGAAGAACAAATGAATCATAAAATGCTGGTCATGTCACTTCTGGCTTAAGACTTCTCCCAGCTTGCAGGAGCAGTTTCCAATGCATTTGCTGCAAACCCTTCAAATGAAATCTTACACTGAAAATCTAAATGAACAACCAATGAAAGTGCAGCTTCCCTGAGACCTGGGGTGGGGCTGGGTGCAGAACCTGCATCATCTCGTCCGTTCCCTCCCTCTGGTTCACCTTCCTCCAGGTGCCAGTGGGGCTCTGAGGATTCCAGGGAGCTCAGTTTGAACCACTGGCCTAAAGCTCAGGTCCAAATGCTTGGTTAGAGCGTATAAGGCACACCATGGTGCCGCCAGCTGGCCAGCCCTCTCCCCTACCTCTCTGCCCTGCTCTGTGTGTACCTGCACCTTCCACTCAGAATGGCCAGTGGTTCTCCCACCACAACTGATTCACAGCTTTGGCTTGATCACAGGCTGTTGCCTCCTCTTCGGTGCTTTCCACTTACTTTCCACTGGGTTAACTCTTATGCAGCCTTTGAAACTTGGTCAAGTTCAAGACCAGCCTGGCCAACATGGTGAAACCCCATCTCCACTAAAAGTACAAAAATTAGCCAGGCGTGTGGGCGGGTACCTGTAATCCCGGCTGCTGGGGAGACTGAGGCGGGAGAATCGCTTGAAGCTGGGAGGCGGAGGTTGCAGTGAGCCAAGATTGCACCACTGCACTGCAGCCTGGGTGACAGAGTGAGACTCCATCAGAAAGAGAGAGAGAGAAAGAAAGAGGAAGAGAGAGGAAGAAGGAAGGGAGGGAGGGAGGGAGGGAGGGAGGGAGGGAAAGAGAGAGAAAAAAAGAAAGAGAGAGAGAAGGGAGGAAGGGAGGGAGGGAGGAAGGAAGGAGCGCCCATCTTCATTTGTCATGAAAAACGTGACTACTGCTCACTTCTGCAGCTAGGGTGAAACGAGGGGGCCAGGAGAGCAGGTTCTACAATTTTTCTTTAATCTGCTCCTTTAGCAAGTAAGTGTTGAGCTCCTGCAGTGTGCTTGGAGTATAAATTTGAAAAAGGCAGAAGCAGGCACCAGCCTGGGGGAACTCACAGGCTAGAGGAGAAACAGGTCATGAGTCCCCTTGTGACTGGCAAGCCCCGCATGGGGGAGCATGAAGGTGGGGCTGCTTCACAGCCTCAGGGAGCTCATTCCTGGGGAGGGGAAGTCTAGCCAAGACCTGAAGGAGGAGGATTAGCCATGCAAAGAGGAAGGGAAGGGTGTTCTGGGCACAAGGAACAGCACATGCCAAGGCTTGGAGGTAAGAGAGAGCAGATCGGTCTGGGGACGGGAAGGACCAGTGTGGCTGGAAGGAGACACCCAGCCAGGGTGATGGGGCTCAAGGCACACAGGAGGCAGCAGATGAAGGTGGGGTCAGACTTGCAGAACCCTTGGGCTGAGCCTAGGAGTTTGGAGGCCACTGAGGAGGATTATGCAAAGAAATGACCCAATCTGAAATGCACTTAGAAAAGTTTCTCTGGGCCGGGCGCGATGGTTCACGCCTGTAATCCCAGCACTTTGGGAGGCCAAGGCGGGTGGGTCATGAGGTCAGGAGTTCAAGACCAGCCTGGCCAAGATGGTGAACCCCGTCTCTACTAAAAATACAAAAATTAGCCAGGCGTGGTGGCAGGTGCCTGTAATCCCAGCTACTCAGGAGGCTGAAGCAGGAGAATTGCTTGAACCCGGGAGGCAGAGGTTGCAGTGAGCCAAGATCACACCACTGCACTCCAGCCTGGGTGACAGAGCGAGACTCCGTCTCAAAAGAAAAGAAAAAGAAAAAAATGAAAAATCTTTCTGGAGAAGCATTACCATTATAGATTAGCAGTTGAGGCCAGGTGTGTTGGCTCATGTGTGTAATCCCAGCACCTTGGGAGTCTGAGGTGAGAGGATTGCTTGAGCCCAGGAGTTCGAGACCAGCCTAGGCAATAAAGTGAAACTCCATCTCAATTAAAAAAAAAAAAAAAAAAAAAGATCAGAAGTTGAAAGTTCAGGTTCTGGCATCCCAAGGGCTTGAGTTCAAGTCCTGGTTCTGCCAGTAAGTGAATGATCTTGGGGAAATTGATCAAGTCTTCTGAGCCTCAGTTTCTCCAGCTGTAAGATGGGGACAATAATAGTCTCTACTGCCAAGAGCCGTGGGAGGAGTCAGTGAGACATTGCAGGAAGTGGATCCCTCAGAATGGCAGCTGTCAGGGGCAGGCTTTCCATCTGAGTCATTCACTGCTGTATCTCCATACCTGGAAAATGATAGAAACTCCATAAAATATGTACCCAGTGAATGCAGAAATGGTTGTTGAGTGCATGATGGATTCGAGGGGCAAACAGGGATCCCTCTTGACTCTGGAAGGCAAGAGGACAATAAATATAGCTAATTCAATAATCATGCAGGCTCAAGACACAAGGCGTTCAGCAATGTACATACATTAGTCCCCCTCAAACCCAATATCTCCCTCATTTACAAGTGAGGGCACTGAGGCTCGGAGGAGCTGGACGCATTGGCCAAAATCACCCAGCAAGAGAGCACTGAGCTTGGAATTTGTACCCAGCCCTTTGCCTCAGAAGCCTTTGAAGTAAACCACAATGCCAGGGGCCCCACCAATGCCATGCACCGCACTGGTTTTCTTGCTCTGTTGGCAGCTGCCTGTAGCTAAGGCGCCTGCAGGTGCAACATAGGTGGGGGCTGGTGGGCATAGAATTTAGTGGTCCCCAGAAAGGGCCTGGTCCCAGGGCTTTTGCATCCATCACCAGCTATTTATTGAGCACCTATGATGTGTGCCCTTTATAGCTACAAACTTGTGAGGTGGGGTGGGGGCTTGCAGGCTAGTGGAGGTGCCTGCCACCAAATTGAGAATTACTGGGGGGTGGAGGCACACGGACAGGGATAGACAGGCTGATGGCCACTGGCAGCCATGGTGATTAAAACACAACTGGAGTCCCAGCTACTCAGGAAGCTGAGACATGAGGATTCCTTGAGCCCAGGAGTTCAAGCCTGCAGTGAGCCATGATTGGGTCACTTCACTCCAGGCTGGGCAACATAGCAAGACCCCATCTCAAAAAAATAGAGTAAACTCAATAAACATTGGATGCTTCCTGTGTCCATTTCCCTCACCTGGGTCCTGCTGCACCTGCCTCACCATGGCCTCCAGGATCCTGCAGCTGGGCTCTGATTGGCTGTTCCCTGTCCCCATGCAGGTGCTATGAAAGCCTGACCTGATGGGTGGGGAAGGCTGCTTGAGGAGGTGACGGTTCAGTGATGCTCAGTGAGGGTTAAGTGGGTGGAGCGAGCGAGAGAGAGAGAGAGAGAGAGAGAGAGAGAGAGCAGGGCAGGGGAGGACCTACAGCTGCAAGGCCCAAGGCAGGAGGGAGCTGTGAGTTGGGAGAGAGAATTCGTGATGAAGCTGGAGAGGAGGTGGGGCTGGTCCACAGGGCCCTGTGGGCCATGGGGAGAGATTTGGGTTTGATCCGAGGCCAATGAGGGGTTGTATCCCAAGGTCGATGAGTCATGGAGGTTCTAAGCAAGGGAGGGGTGTGGCCTGGTGGGAGGGGCCCAAGGGGGGCAGGGAGGTAGTGGATGGCACTACCCAGGGCAGAGGTGGATGAGGATGGCACAGAGGCCAGGACGGTGGGATGGAGAGTGGTGCATAAGAGGTAACTCGGACTGGCAGGAGCCCCCTCCTCTGCATGTCCCCAGCATCGAGGCCCAGGACCTCATGCTCAGACACCATTCCTCCCAGTCCTAGTGCTCCCAGAGACCATTCTGGAGCCTGTGGCAGGTTGCTAGGCTGGGACCCCTCATCTGGCAGAGCGGGCAAGAGTGAGAGCTGCAGCCTCCAGCCCTGGCTCCCCAGAGTGCCAATTCTGAAAATGACAAACGGAGAGCCAATAAGAAGGTTGGAAAATGGGTACCTCCGTGCCTCCCTGTGTCTATTGTAGGGTTTGGAAATAGCTGAGATGAGACGAGAGCTGCTAGGAGGGGTGCCCGCTGGGCAGAGGAGAGGCCCAAAGCTGCTGCTGCTGCTGCTGCTGCTGCAGGAAGTAAGAGGAGAGACTGGAGGGGAGCGGAGGGGAGGAAAGGAACAGCAGAAGACAGAAAGGACAAATGTCAAAACGGACGCACAAAAAAGACCAGTTGTGGTGTGTGGCCTAGGATTGTGGGAGGGGTGTGTGTGTGTGTGTGTGTGTGTGTGTGTGTGTGTGTGTGTGTGTGATGCGGGCTTTGAGGAGCAATTCAAAAGCCCCTGGCCCCTGAGCCCATCTGAACACCCCCCTTCTCTCTTCACCCCACCAACCACCAAAAAAAAAGAGAGAGAGAGAGCGAGAGAGAAAGAAGGAAAACAAAATATCTACAGTTGTCGAGACAAGAGGAGAAAAATAGAGGCAAACATCCGTAATTTTCTCTGTGGGGCTTTGCGGTAATTGAGCCATTTGGATAAAAATAAAGGCAGCAGGCCCCTTAGGTAAGAAGAGCTTTTGCAATCTAAGAAGCTTGAATTATGCGTCTTGTGTCACTTGAAATCCCCCATTCTCCCCCTTCCTTGGGTGACCCAAACCACTTTCCCTTTTCTTATTATTTTTTTAAGTACCCTGTCAAAATGTCGACTGTAGAGTAGAGAATTTCAGCTGTCACAACTAATTTCAATTTTTCCACGTGCTTTCCCCCTTGGGGAGGGGGCCTGGCAGAGCCCCCTTTCCCTCCCTCTTGCATCTGCTCACTCTTTTTATTTCTCATTATTGTTATTATTTTAAAACCAGATTTACATCATCAGTGTGTTTGGGGAGTGTTTAAGGACTGTGGTTTGCTCCTGAGGAAGGCTGGGCCTGGCGCTGTTGGTTTCTGGCTCCCACCCCGCCTGCACCCCCTCCTGCACGCTCCCACCTCCACCCGCCTGAGCCCCTGGGACTCCCACCTCTCTCTTCCTGGTCCCAAGCTGCCAGCCGCCATCGACCACCCACTGGGGAAAATCCAGACTTCAAAAGAGTCTTGAGGTTCTAGGAGAGCCGTGGGAACCATGCTCATTTCCCTACCAAAGGGAAGTTCCGGGGCAGGCGAGATCCAGAGGAGCTTTTCCATCTTTTAAAAAATTGTGTAATTTGTTTGTGTAGAGACAAGGTCTCACTCTATTGCCCAGGCGGGTCCTGAACTCCTGGACTCAAATAATCCTCCCGCCTCGGCCTCCCAAAGTGCTGGGATTACAGGCGTGAGCCACCGCGCCCAGCCTCAGCTATTCTACCTTTTGCCTCATCTTTCTTGCCTCCTCAGTGCATTCATTCCATGGGCTTCAGTCCAGGGCCATCTCCTATGAGCTGGCCCTGCCAAGCTGCTGGGCACACCGAGGTGAGTAAGACACAATCCTTGCCCCTGAGGAGATGACAACCTAGTGGGCTCTAGGAGACAAAAAGGCAGGCGGACGGTGCAGAGTATCTGATGATGTGCTGGTCAGCACTGTGCAAGGACAGGGGGGCACAGGGGAGGGACGGGCCCTTCTAGCCCAGCTACTGAGAGGTCTTCTATGGTTTTTATTGTTTTTTGTTTTTTGGAGACGGAGTTTCACTCTTGTTGCCCAGGCTGGAGTGCAATGGCGCGATCTCAGCTCACTGCAACATCCGCCTCCTGAGTTCAAGCGATTAACTTTCCTCAGCCTCCAGAGTAGCTGGGATTGCAGGCACCCGCCACCATGCCCAGCTGATTTTTGTATTTTTTGTAGAGAAGGGGTTTCACCATGTTGGCCAGGCTGGTCTCGAACTCCTGACCTCAGGTGATCCACCCACCTTGGTCTCCCAAAGTGCTGGGATTACAAGCGTGAGCCACCACACCCAGCCTCTGCCATAATTTGAATGGGTCTCCTCCAAGATTCAGGTGTTGCCAATGTGGCAGTATCAGGAAGTGGGGCCATTAAGAGGTGACGAGGCCACGAGGGCTCCTCCCTTGTGAAGGGAGGTGCCCTTCTGTAAAGGGGCTTGACAGAGGAGGATCACGCCCTTTTGCCCTCCTGCCTTCTACCGTGTGAGGATGCAGCAAGAAGGCCCTCACCAAGCCAGGCGTGGTAGCTCACACCTATAGTTCCAGCACTTTGGGAGGCCGAGGCAGGAGGATCACTTGAGCCCAGGAGGTGGAGGCCGCAGTGAGCTGTGACTGCACCGTGGCACTCCAGCCTGGGTAACAGAGAGAGACCTTATCTCAAAAAAAGAAAAAAAATCTTAAAAATTAGCTGAGCATAAAGGCAGCCAACTAAATGCTTGTAGTCCCAGCTACTCAGCAGGCTGAGGCAGGAAGAACGCTTGCGCCCAGGAGTTTGAGATCAGCCGGTCCACATTCTACACAGGTCTCTCGTGTAGAGACTCTATCTCTACACAAAACAAATATTAAAAAAAAAAAAAAAAGAAGGCCTTCACCAGATGCCAGCACCAGAACTTGGACTTCTCAGCCTCCAGAACTATGGAAAGTACATTTCTATGTTTTATAAATTACCCAGTCTGAGGTATTTTGTTAGAGCTGCAGAAGCAGATGAAGATAAAGTCTTCGCCGAGGAGTGGTGCCCCAGCTTTTCACAAGCAAATGGATGCTGTCTCTACTTAAAAAATACAAAAATTAGCCGGGCATGGTAGCACACACCTGTAATCCCAGCTACTTGGGAGGCTGAGGCTGGAGAATCGCTTGAACCCAGGCAGCAGAGGTTGCAGTGAGCCAAGATCGCGCCACTGCCCTCCAGCCTGTGCAACAGAGTGAGATCCTGTCTCCAATAAAAAGGGGGGGTGGGTGGATTTGGACACAGACACACACACGGAGGCAGAAAACTGTGTGGAGATGAAGGCAGAGATCAGGATGATGCCTTCACAAGTCAAGGAATGCCAAAGATGGCCAGCAAACCACCAGAAGCTTGGGGCTTGGGGAGAGGCAGGGAACAGACTCTCCCTCACTGCCCTCAGAAGAAACCAACTCCGCCAACACCTTGATCTCAGATCCTGTAGATCTCAGAACTGCGAGACAAGAAAGCTCTGCTGTTTAAGCCCCCAGCAGGTGTACTTTATGACAGCAGCCCTAGCAAACGAACACACGTGGAGACACCAAACAGCATGTCTGAGAATTGCTGTAATTGAGCAAGGCGGGTGCATGGAGTTTGAAAGTGGCAGCAGTTGGGGTGGAGTATGTAGAATCGGGGACATTACCTGCAGGGCGGTGGAGAGTGGGGGAGGACATCCATAGAGGGATTTCTTTTTTTCTTTTCTTTTTTTTTGAGACAGAGTCTGGCTCTGTTGCCTAGCCAGGCTGGAGTGCTGTGGCGCAATCGGCTCACTGCAACCTCCACCTCCCAGGTTCAAACGATTCTCCTGCCTCAGCCTCCCGAGTAGCTGGGATTACAGGCACCTGCCACCACACCCGGGTAATTTATTGTATTTTTAGTAGAGACAGGGTTTTGCCATGTTGGCCAGGCTGGTCTCAAACTCCTGACCTCATGATCGGTCCCCCTCAGCCTCTCAAAGTGCTGGGATTACAGGCATGAGCCATCGCGCCCGGCCCATGCAGGGATTTCAAGCAGGAAAGAGATGGGATGAGATGCGCTTTGTAAAAGGCACACCCTGGTTACAGAGAAAGCAGCAGAAGGGCTGAGACACCTTTCTCCTCCCATTCCTGGCTCCCCTTCCCACTCTCTCTCCCACTCCTTCTAGCACTCTCTGGGGATGGGCCTGGCTTTACTCACCTGTGGGTTTTGGGGCCCAGGACAGGGCCTGCTCCTCATGGACCTCCTTGACCAGTTTGTTGAGTGACAAAACGGGCCCATCAGCACCTGGTTTCTCAGCTCTTTCTCCTTGGTTAACGGCCCTCATGGAGCACGCTGGTGTTCAGAAAACGGGATCAAGGACTGGAGGAGGAGCTGCGGGCAGGTGGCAGGAGCCAGAGGTACCAGCCCCTCCCCGCTGAGAAGCCACTGGATTTTTTTTTTGTTTGCTTGTTTTATTTGGTTTGTTTGATTTGAGACAGAGTCTCACTCTGTCACCCAGGCTAGAGTGCAGTGGCGCAATCTTGGCTCACTGAAACCTCTGCCTCCCGGGTTCCAGCAATTCTCCTGCCTCAGGCTCCTGAGTAGCTGGGATTACAGGCGTGCACCACCAAACCCAGCTAATTTTTGTATTTTTAGTAGAGGCGGTGTTTCACCATATTGGCCAGGTTGGTCTCGAACTCCTGACCTCAGGCCTGCTTCAGCCTCCCAAAGTGCTGGGATTACAGGTGTGAGCCACCACGCTCGGCCAGCAAGTGCTGTTTAAATGAGGAGGTGAGCGACAACACGTCCACACTGGGACAGAGGCAGAAGGAGAAGCAGTCACCTTGGGGCTGGCATCACCAAACGAGGGCTCCCATGGACAAGGTAGAGAACTGGGCCCCTGCTTCTCAGTGTACCTCCTCCTTGGTCCAAGTGGGTTCCCAGTGAGATCAGCTTGGCTGTCTCCTATTGTAGCAGGATGAGCCGTGGACAAAATCCCTCAGACACCGGGTTAAAGAAGGAAGTGGCTTTACTATGTTGCCCTGCTTTCTTCCCCTGCCCCTGCCGTCCCTGGGAGAGAGAAGGGACAGGCTTAGAAAAGGCCAGGACTCTTCTCTAGGAGTGGAGGAGTCTGACCAGTGAGTGACATTACCTGGGAGGAGTCAGGCTGGGTCACTCCTGTGTCCCCAGTGTCTGCCATAAAACCACACTGCGAATGGTCCAATTGCCATCTGCCAGGCCCTGCCCCCAGGGCTCTGTATGGATTCTCACAGCAGCACTGTGTGATAGGTACTTTATTGTCCGCATTTTACAGAAGGGAAAACTGTGGCACAGAGCGGTCACCTGACCTGCCCAAAATCCCACTGCTGGTAAGAGGCAGAGTTGAGGACACAACCCAGGAAGTTTGGATCTGACCTCCTCACTCTGAAAACATACATGCTGCCCCCATGAGGGCCCCAATGGGCATTCAATACCTATTTATCCAATTCAGCACTCACTTCCAGAGAGGCAGCGTAGCCCAGTGGTTAAGGGCATGCTCTCCGGAGTCAGAGAGCCTGAAGCTGAACTCCAGAACTACCCCCTCCCAGCTGGGCCACTGAACTTCTCCAAGCCTCAGTTTCCTCACCTGCAAAATCGAAATATTAAGTTGGTGCAAAAGTAATTCTGGGTTTTGTCATTACTTGTAATACTAATGGTTGGCCAGGTGCAGTGGCTCATGCCTGTAATCCCAGCACTTTGGGAGGCCGAGGTGGGCAGATCAGTTGAGCTCAGGAGTTCAAGACCAGCTTGAGCAACATGGCGAAGCACCGTCTGTACAAAAAATACAAAAATTAGCTGGTCATGATGGCACGCATCTGTAGTCCCAGCTACTCAGGAGGCTGAGGCAGGAGAATCAATTGTTTGGGCCTGGGAAGAGGAGGTTGCAGTGAACCAAGAT
The DNA here is from genome assembly GCF_000001405.40 of Homo sapiens. Taxonomy (NCBI): domain Eukaryota; kingdom Metazoa; phylum Chordata; class Mammalia; order Primates; family Hominidae; genus Homo; species Homo sapiens. The sequence goes on from NC_000009.12 coordinate 130,549,059, forward strand.
CGTGCCATCACACTCCAGCCAGGTCAACAGGAGTGAAGCCCTGTCTCAAAGAAAAAAGAAAGAAAGAAAGAAATACTAATGGTTCCTACCAGCGGCGAGTCCTGGCTGCTTTTCATCAAAAGGTCTCCTTTTCCTCCCAGGTACACAACTAGACTGCATTTCCCAGGATCCCTTGCAAGCAGGTAGGGCCATGTGACTGAGTTCTGGCCAATGAAAGATAAGGAGGAAGTGATGTCACCACTTCTGGTCCTGGCTCCTAAAACATCCTGCACCATCCTTCATGCTCTGGACCCTGGGTCCGTGCATGACTTCATGGAGCAGATCCCATACCCAACACTTCTCCTCATACTGGACTGTGATGTGAGCAGGAAACAAGCTCTTACTGTGGGATTACTTGTGTTAAACCAAGTTAGCCTAAAGCTGCCTCCTTACATATTTTAAGTTCAGCCTAAAGGTTTCTCTGTACATCATAAAGTATAACCTAAATGGAATTATAAACAGACAGTAGCCTACACTCGTACCAATCACCAAGTTTTGGCCAATCAAATGTGGCCCACTGTTCAAACCGTGTTCAAATAAGGCAAACACCAAGCTATAACCAATCTGGCATTTTCTTGGCCTCCAAAAGTGCTGGGATTACAGGCATGAGCCACCATGCCTGGCCTATCTCTATAAATTTTATAACTCCAAAGACCTCACGTTAGTGAGGTCATAGTATTTGTCATTTTATGTGTGACATGTCATTTAGTATAATGTCTTTAAGGTTCATGTGTCAGAATTTCCTTCCTTTTTAAGGCCGAAAATCATATTCCTTTGTATGGATGGACCACATATCATTCATCCGTTCATCCATCAGTGAACACTGGGTTGCTTCCACCTTTTTGCTATGTGAGTCATACTGCTATGGACATAGGTATACACCTACAGAAGATGGATTTTGATGCCATGACTGAGATACGGGAAAAAAAAAAAACAAAACTTTTTTTTTTTTTGAGATGGAGTCTTGCTCTGCCACCCAGGCTGGAGTGCAGTGGTGCGATCTCGGCTCATTGCAACCTCTGCCTCCTGAGTTCAAGCGTTTCTCCTGCCTCAGCCTCCCTAGTAGCTGGGATTACAGGTGCCTACCACCATGCCCAGCTAATTTTTGTATTTTTAGTAGATACGGGGTTTCACCATGTTGGCCAGGGTAGTCTTGGACATTCTCCTGACCTTAGCTGATCTGCCTGCCTCGGCCTCCCAAAGTGCTGGGATTACAGGCATGAGCCACCATGCCTGGCCAAAAAAAAAAAAAAAAATGTTTTTAAGAAGCTGACATTTTTGAAAATTTGAGACAGAGTCTCACTCTGTCACCCAAGCTGGAGTGCAATGATCATGGCGGCTCACTGCAGCCTTGACCTCCTGGGCTCAAGCAATCCTCCTGCTTCAGCCTCCTGGGTAGCTGGGAATACAAGTGTGTTCCACCACGCCCAACTAATTTTTTGTGTTTTATGTAGAGATGAAGTTTTGCTGTGTTGCCCAGGCTGGTCTCAAACTCCTGGGCTCAAGTGATCCTCCTACCTCAGCCCCCCAAAGTGCTGGGATGTGAGCCACTGTGCCTGGCCAGAAGCTGATATTTGAAGTCAATGTCATAAAAAGGGGGCAAACCAGGAACTCCCCTGACTGGTTTCTTGCTGGGAAGAAGCCTGGGGGAGCCATTGGTTGGCAAAGACTTTACTATCTCTTGCACAGATGAGGAAATGAGGCACAAAGAGGAAGGACGAGCAACGTGCTGAAAGTCAAACTGCCCAGAAGTGGAGGAGGGAGGATTTGAACCCAGGGCCTCTCTGTGAGGCTGTGCCATCCAGCCACCCGGCCACTGTGTTCATCCCTTCTTATTTTTATTTTTATTTTTATTTTTTTGAGGTGGAGTTTTACTCTGTCGCCCAGGCTGGAGTGCAGTGGTGCAATCTTGGCTCACTGCAAACTCTGCCTCCCGGGTTCAAGCCATTCTCCTGCCTCAGCCTCCTGAGTAGCTGGGATTACAGGTGTGTGCCACCATGCCCGGCTAATTTTTGTATTTTTAGTAGAGATGGGGGTCTCATCATGTTGGCCAGGCTGGTCTCAAACTCCTGACCTCAGGTGATCTGCCCACCTCAGCCTCCCAAAGTGCTGGGATTATGGCGTGAGCCACCGCGCCCGGCCTTGTTCATCCCTTCTTTCAGGCAGATGGCACAGGTTTCTGGCTCACGCTGGTGCCAGCTCAGCGACAGCCCTGTCAGTGACCCAAAGCCTTCTTGGAGACGGTGGTTCCTCAGTGCCCGGTGGCCGGCTGTGGGAGTCTGAGACCTATTTTGTTCATTATGAATGAAAAGCAGACGTGATTTTAAATGTCGTGCTTTGGCTGCTAGTGCCGGGTGGAGCAGGGCCCCAGCGAGCAGTCACACCAGATAAAACATATTATTTAGGAGTGATTGGAAGGCAGACAAGCTGAAACATTGTGCACGGAAGGGCTACCGCAATTCGCTCATGAGCATCATAGTCACTTTCCCCGGGCTCGTAGGTGGATTCACATTTAGGGCAATTTCCCTCGCGGTAGCTCAGCTCCGTGAGTGGGCTCGGGCTTGAGGCTTGAGGACAAGCGATTTCCCAGCCGAGTGACTTCCAGCCTCCACATAGAGCGCGGGGCTCGGTGAGGCATGGCTTCCCTGAATCAAATCCACGCTGCCCACTGAGATATGATCTCAGAAGTAGCTCCTTGGCTCTCAAGACTCACGAGAAGGGTGGGCCGAGCCCTGACCCCATGGCTGAGCACCTGCTGTATATCATAACCAGCAGGCCGGGCCCAGGATTGGTAAAGCAGGAAACAGGCTTAAAGAGGTTAAGGTGTGCATCCAAAGTCACACAGCTGTTCCCCAAGGAGCTTCTAAATGTTAGGAAGGCACGGCTGTCTAGCAGGTGCAAATTTTTGTGGTACTGGTACTTGCACAGAAATTTAGACAGAGGAGGCAGTGTAGCACCATCCAGATGATGGCACTTAGGTGATTCTCCGGCCCTCTGAAGCCAAATCCTAGGAGGGCTCCTCAGACCCCTGCGTAAGAAATCTGAACGTAGGGTCTGGGGCATCACCACAGGCTGAGGATCCCTGTGGGGGAAGTGGAATGTCTTTTTCACACTGGGGTTGGAGGCGGGGCTGAGGCTGCAGCTACAGCGAGGAGGAAGGCCATGGAGCCCAAGAGCCACTAGCCACAGTATTTCATGACAGGAGACCAACAGGAGCCAGTGTTTAGAGACTGAAGTTCTGGGATGGGAACACTGGCCCCAACTCCAGACACAGGGCAATGAGGCATCCGGCATTTACTGAACACCCAGCAGGTACAAGACCCTTGGGGTTTAGCGGGAGGGAGCTGTGGGACAATGATGACAGATCACTACCGGGGGCTCTCCAAGCACCCAGCGCTGGGCCGAGCCCTCGGGGAGACTTACTCTCTGTGGGTAGCGTGTTCCTTAGCATACGCCGACTACCTTAGCAAGTGTTAAAAGAAAAACTTTAGCCAAATTAGGTTTACAAGAGTTCAGCTGGGTGCAGTGACTCACACCTGTAATCCTAGCACTTTGGGAGGCCGAGGCGGGAGCATCACTTGAGGTCAGGAGTTTGAGACCATCCTGGCCTACATGGTGAAACCCCATCTCTACTAAAAATACAAAAAATTAGCCAGGCGTGGTGGCAGGCGCCTGTAGTCCCAGCTACTTGGGAGCCTGAGGCAGGAGAATGGCTTGAACCCGGGAGGCGAAGGTTGCAGTGAGCTGAGATCACACTGCTGCACTTCAGCCTGGGTGACAGAGCGAGACTCCATCTCAAAAAAAAAAAAAAAACTCATTTTGAAAGAAACTGGAAAATTTTTTCAGCACGTTCACCTGGAAAGCATTGGAGGAAGATAAAAATGGGAACTACTGAGTTTCTGTAATTATTCATCTGGTGTAGAAGCTGGCGCTGCTGTTGAGGTACCTTCCGGCTCAGAGGTAAAGCCAAGGCCACGTCAGATAAACCAGAGAATAAATGGATAGACTTGCCTTCTTTGTAGGCATTAAATGTGGAGACCTCCAGAGAGAAGGAGAGGTTGTGTGGGCTGGGCTGCCTCAGAGAAGTCTGTATTTATTTACTCATACATTTATTTATTCACATGTGAAACAGTCAAGCACCTACTTCATCCTTTGCTGAAAAGAATTTTTCTCTTTTTTTTTTTTTTGAGACGGAGTTTTGCTCTTGTTGCCCAGGCTGGAATACAATGGCATGATCTCGACTCACTGCAACCTCTGCCTCCCAGATTCAAGCGATTCTTCTGCCTCAGCCTCCCGAGTAGCTGGGATTACAGGCATGCACCACCACGTCCAGCTAATCTTGTATTTTTAGTAGAGATGGGGTTTCTCCATGTTGGTCAGGCTCATCTTGAACTCCCGACCTCAGGTGATCATCCACCCGCCTTGGCCTCTCAAAGTGCTGGGATTACAGGCGTGAGCCACCACGCCCAGCCTGCTGAAAAGAATTTACAGAGCACTTACAGAGAGTAGGGTGTCACAACTGCAGAGGTGAACAAGACAGGCAGAGAACTGCCAGCTGGATGCTAGAGGCAGGGCTGCTAGCTGGGCACCAGGAGGGTCCCCAGGAATGGAAGCCCCCACTCCTGTCCCACCAGGAGGCTCTGGTTTGGTAGGGGAGACAGACATGGGGCAAATATGCAAAGCATATCCTGGAATATGACCTTGGTCTGCTTCCTGCTTTCTGCTTAGGCAGGGATTGGAATAGATACTGACCGGCCATGGATGGGAAAAGGGAGGCCCCAGGATGTGCTGGTGGACCGCCTGGTCCTTGAGCATTGATACATGTCACAGGGTCAGGTGTAAAGGCTCATGCCTGTAATCCCAGCACTTTGGGAGGCCGAGGCTGGTGGATCACTTAAGCCCAGGAGTTTGAGACCAGCCGGGGCAACATGGTGAAACCCCATCTATACAAAAAATATAAAAATTCGGCTGGGGGCTGTGGCTCAAGCCTGTAATCCCAGCACTTTGGGAGGCCGAGGCGGGTGGATCATGAGGTCAGGAGTTCGAGACCAGCCTGGCCAACATGGTGAAACCCCGTCTCTACTAAAGATACAAAAAATTAGCCTGGTGTGGTGGCACGCACATGTAATCCTAGCTACTTGGGAGGCTGAGGCAGGAGAATTGCTTGAACCCGGGAGGCGGAGGTTGCAGTGAGCCGAGATAGTGCCATTGCACTCCAGCCTGGGCGACAGGGCAAGACTCCATCTAAAAAAAAGAAAAAAAATTTTGAAAATTAGCTGGTTGTGGTGGCAGGCACCTGTAATCCCAGCTACTCGGTGTTGGGGTGGGGGCTGAGGAAGGAGCATCTCTTGAGCCCAGGAAGTCGAGGCTGCAGTGAGCCAAGACAGCACCACTGCACTCTAGCCTGGGTGACAGAGCAAGACCTTGTCTCAAAAAAAAAAAAAAAAAAAAAAAGATGTCCCAAAACCACTCTGACCTGAGTCCGGAGTCTTCTCCCCTATCTGGGTTTCTGGGGCCTCTCATTGTCCCCAGAGAAGTTCAAAGGCAACACTGGGCTCCATTGAGGCAGGGGATGCAGGGTTCAAACCCTGACCTCATCCCTGTGCAGCCTCTGTTTCACCCGACCCTACCAGCTTAGCCACCTCCGGAGGTTATCCACAAGATAGGTCCCATGCCTGCTCGGCGGGGGGTTCCTTCCCTTCTCTGCCTGGGGCAGGCATGCATGGCCCACATGAGGGGCCAGCCCGAAATGCCAGCAAATTAGTGTCCCAGGAGTGACCCTCAATCAGTGAGAGGGAGGAGGTGGGCAGTTCTTAGGGGTGCCCCCACACAGTAGCTCAGAGGTCCCCCACAAAAACTGAGCCCTAGTTGCACCCTGTTCCAAGGACTATTGTAGCAACCATTTTACTATGCCTGCGGATTTACAGATCCAAAATTCAGACCAAGCACACGGGGGAACGCTTGGCTCTGCCCCGCAGTGTCTGAGAATCCAGCTGGGAATACTGGAATGGTTGGCGGGCAACTTCAATGCCTAGAGATAAAAAAAACCCTGTGGTGGCATCTTTCCCTGAATGCCAGGCACTAAGCTGGGATGGTCTGAATCCTCAGCTCAGCTGGGGCAGATGACTGAAGTGCCCACACATGGCCTCGTCACGTAGCTTGGGCTTCCTCACTGCATGGCGGCCTCCAGTAGTCAGATTTCCAATAGGGCAGCTCAGGGGCTCCAGTGGACAAGGCAGGAAGCTGCATTGCCTTTTATGACCTCATCAGGGATGGAAGTTACACACTGTCACGTTTGCTTTGCTATATTGGCTGAAGTTGTCACAAGTCCACCCAGATTCAATGGAAGGGGGTGTAGACTCTACCTCTTCATGGGAATTTGTGGCCATTTTAAAACTTCCCCCACCCCAGCTGCTGGCAGGGCATCCTCGATTGGCTCTCCTCCCCTCCTGGTCTCTCTGCCCCTCACCCACACTGCCTGCACCCAGGTGTTTGTCTCAGCCACTCACTAACTGTGAGTCCCTAATCTCTCCCAGCCTTGGTTTCCTTAGCTATAAAATGGGGATACTAATGGTCCTGCCTCCCAGCGTCAGTGTGAGGAGTAACCGAGATGCACACATGCAGTGTTTGTAGCTGAGTGCTTAGTATAGAGATTAGCCTTTTTTTTCTTTTTTCTTTTTTTTAGACAGAATCTTGCTCTGTCGCCCAAGCAGGCTGGAGTTCAGTGGTGGGATCTTGGCTCACAGCAACCTCCACCTTCCGAGTTCAAGCGATTCTCCTACCTCAGCCTCCGGAGTAGCTGGGACTATGGTGTGCGCTACCATGTCCCGCTAATTTTTGTATTTTTTGTAGAGATGGGGTTTCACCATGTTGGCCAGGCTGGTTTCAAACTCCTGACCTCAGGTGATTCGCCCACTTTGGCCTTCCAAAGTGCTGGGATTACAGGTGTGAGTCACCCACCATGCCCGGCTGGAGGTTTGCCATTTTTATGAACTATTTCCTCATGATTGTGGCTAAAGCCAGCTCTTGTATCCAGTAACTTCACTCCGAAAAATTGGTGGTGCTTCACTCACAGTCCTGGGTCCCAAATCTCTCTTATGCAGGCTGCCCACTCCCTTGAGGATGACAGCAACCCAGAGGGCAGCTAAGGTTACGGCTTAGGAATTTGGCAGGTGTGAGCAATTGCATTTTCAAATAACTGCAACAGCGTCTCCCTCCTATCCCACGGGCTTACCCACAAGGTGACTGATTCTCCTGCCATCAAAAAGCAATGTCTGTGTCCCCTCCTCTTGAATCAGAATGGGCTTTTGTTGTCTGTTGCAACCAATACAGGAAGACAGAGGTGATTTCCCAAGCAAGGTCCAAGAGGCAGGCAGTGTCTACCTTGCTGGCCAGACTATCTCTCTTGAAGAAGCCTTGAGCCACCATGTGAGCAGTCCAAGGCCCTGAGACTGCTGCGTGGTGAGGCCACAGGAAGAGGACCTGACATTCATAAAGACAGACAGAGGCTCACTTAGCCCCCGGTGGTCCCAGACGCCCCGCCAACAGCAGCTTCTGCCCGCCCCTGCTATTCCGGCTCCAGTATCTGATTGTAGCCCCACACACGAGATGCTCCCCTGCCAGAAACACCCAGCTAAGCTCTCCCAAATTCCTCACCCACAAAGTAAGCATAATAGAATGCTTGTTTTATGGTGCTAAAGTTTGGGGTAATTTATTACTTAGTAAGAGTAACCAGCTGGGTGCGGTGGCTCACACCTATAATCCCAGCACTTTAGGAGGATGAGGCAGGCGGATCACCCGAGATCAGGAGCTTGAGACCAGCCTGGTCAACATGGCGAAACCCCGTCTCTAATAAAAATACAAAAATTAGCCAGGCGTGGTGATGGGCGCCTGTAATGCCAGCTACTCTGGAGGCTGAGGCTGGAAAATCGCTTGAACCCAGGAGGCAGAGTTTGCAGCGAGCCGAGATGACGCCACTGCACTCCAGCCTGGGTGACAGAGTGAGATTTTGTCTCAAAAAAAAAAAAAAAAAAAAATAGTAACCGGAGCACCAATTTAGGAAGCATCCTGTAGCAGGTAGCAGTGTAACTGGGCAACAAAACCTGTTCCCACTTAGCTTGCCGCTCTCTCTCCTGAGCCAGTCATGCCTGCAGGAACATCTCAAAGGTCGCCCTCCCATGCCAGCCTGGCACCTCAATGCTGTATGTTTCCTAAAAGCACAGCTTTGAGGCCTCCAAAGGGGCAAAGTGTGGTGGATTGGCAAAGTGCAGTGGCTCATGCCTATAATCCCAGTGCTTTGGGAAGCTGAGGCTGGAGGATCGCATGAGACCAGGGGTTCAAGACCAGCCTGGGCAACATAGCGAGATCCCGCTTCTATTTCAATTTTTAAATTGTTTAAGTGTGCTGGGTTATCTGACACTTCTGTGACCTCCTAGTGAGAACTAAACACCAGGGATCAGCAACCTGGACCCCTTCACAAGGGTTTCCAAAGGGAATCCTTTGGCCCCATGGCACTTCTATTTATTTATTTAGAGATGGAGTCTTGCTCTGTCGCCCAGGCTGGAGTGCAGAGGCTCACTGCAACCTCCGCCTCCCAAGCTCAAGCAATTCTTCTGCCTCAGCCTCTGAGTAGCTGGGATTACAGGTGCGTGCCACCATGTCCAGCTAATTTTTGAGTTTTTAGTAGAGATGGTGTTTCACCATGTTGGCCAGGCTGGTCTCAAACTCCTGACCTCAAGTGATCTGCCTGCCTTGGCCTCCCAAAGTGCTGGGATTACAGGCGTGAGCCACCATGCCCGGCCCCCATGGCACTTCTGTGACATTGATGGGGAAAGTGCAGCAGAACTAGGCATGGCAGAATCCCTCTTGCCTCTCTTGAAGGATGGTGATACCTGTCTGGGCCCTGGTAGGGTTTGATCTGCCCTCATGGCACCTCCACCTACTCTGAAAATCCTCAGGCGGAGGCTGGGCACGGTGGTTCTTGCCTAAAATCCCAGTACTTTGGGAGGCTGGGGTGGGAGAATTGCTTGAGTACAGGAGTTTGAGGCCAGCCTGGACAACATGGGGAAACCCTGTCGCTACAAAAAAATACAATACTAGCTGGGTGTGGTGGTGCACGCCTGTAGTTCCAACTACTCAGGAGGCTGATGCGGGAGGACTGCTGTAGCCCAGAAGGTCGAGGGCGCAACGAGCCAAGATCACGCCACTGCACTCCAGCCTAGGTCCACAGAGTGAGGAAAAAAAAAAAAAAACCTGTCCCAGCTGGGATGCGAGTGCCCTCCTGCTGAAGGCAGGAGTCAGGCCGAGGCAGCAACAGGAAGAGCAAGATAGAAGCTGCCTGGCCTCACTGTGGTCTCTGCCACTGAGTGGAAATATTTCCAGTTCGGTGGCTTAGTCCTTGCGACGCAGCCCTTGACCCTGTTGGTGATACCAATTCTCAAGCTGGTCTCAAACTCCTGAGCTAAAGCGATCCCCCAGCCTTGGCCTCTCAAAGTGCTAGGATTACAACCGTGAGCCACTGCTCCCAGTCCTGCCCCTACATATTATATACTGTATTTATACAGCAACATTTAACTAGAAAAAAGAAAATGCTATTAAGAAAATTGTCTGGGGATGGGCGCGGTGGCTCACACCTGTAATCCCAGCACTTTGGGAGGCCGAGGTGGGCGGATCACCTGACATCAGGAGTTCGAGACCAGCCTGGCCAACATGGTGAAATGCTGTCTCTACTAAAGATACAAAAATTAGCTGAGCGAGGTGGCAGGTGCCTGTAATCCCAGCTACTCATGACACTGAGGCAGGAGAATCGCTTGAACTCGGGAGGCGGATGTTGCAGTGAGCTGAGGTCGTGCCATTGCACACCAGCCTGGGCAACAAGAGCAAAACTCCACCTTAAAAAGAAAATCATGGGCAGGCACGGTGGCACACACCGTTCGGGAGGCTGAGGCAGGCAGATCACCTGAGGCCGGGAGTTCGAGACCAGCCTGGCCAACATGGTGAAACCCCGTCTCTACTAAAAAACACAAAAATTAGCAGGGCTTGGTGGTACAGACCTGTAATCTCAGCTACTCAGGAGGCTGAGGCAGGAGAATCACTTGAACCAGGGAGGCGGCGGTTGCAGTGAGCCAAGATTGTGCCACTGCACTCCAGGTCAAAAAAAGAAAGAGAAAGAAAGGAAGCAAGGAAGGAAGGAAGGAAGGAAGGAAGGAAGGAAAAAGAGAGAGAAAGAAAGAGAAAGAATATAAAATCACCTGGGCACAGTGGCCCTTTAGGAGTCCGAGGTGGGTGGATTGCTTGAGCCCAGGAGTTCAAGACCAGCCTGGGCAACATGGTGAAACCCCATCTCTACAAAAAATACAAAAATTAGTGTGGTGGTGCGAGCCTGTAGTCCCAGCTACTCGGGAGGCTGAGGCAGGAGGATCAACCACCTGAGCCTGGGAGGTGGAGGTTGCAGTGAGCCGTGATTGGGCCACTGCACTCCAGCCTGGGTGACAGAGCAAGACCCTGTCTCAAAAAAAAAGAGAAAGAAAATCATGAGGAAGAGAAAATATATTTACTATTCACTAAATGGAATCAGATCATCATAAAGGTCTTCATCCTTGTCTTCACGTTGAGTAGGCTAAGGAGGAGGGGAGGAAGGAAAGGGTTGCTCTGGTTGTCTCCTGGGTAGCAGAGGTGAAAGAAACTCCGCATCCCTGCGGACCTGCACAGTTCAACCCGTGGTGTTCAAGGCTCAGCTATTTTCACCCAGCTTTCGTATCCTCATTATGAACTAAAGATTAAACTCTTTTTAAAAATGGATGTTTAGGCTGGGCACAGTGGCTCATGGTTGTAATGCTAGCACTTTGGGAGGCTGACGTGGGTGAATTGCCTGAGCTCAGGAGTTTCAGACCAGCCTGGGCAACATGGTGAAACCCCATCTCTACTAAAAATACAAAAAATTAGCTGGGTGTGGTGGCACCCGCCTGTAGTCCCAGCTACTCAGGAGGCTGAGGCACGAGGATCTCTTGAACCCGGGAGGCGGAGGTTGCAGTGAACCGAGATCACGCCACTGCACTCCAGCCTGGGCAATGGAGCAAGACTCTGTCTCCAAAAAAAAAAAAGAAAAAAAAAAGATTTTTAATCACATAAATAATGCATAAAATATTACTACTTCTTTAAAAAAATTTTAAACATGATTTTAAACTTTAAAAAAAGACATTTTAAACATTTAAACATGACAGTCCTGTGACTGTCTGTTTTGCTCACTGTCTCATCCCCACATCCATTCCCAGCTCTCCAGAGGTTATCTCTGTTATTTTGTGGCAGCTGCCTCGGGTATTTTTCTACGTATTTGCATGCATATACACTTATCCTTTGAAATAAACAGTGTGGTTTGTGTGCATTTGATTTGTTTTCACACAAATGGATCGGACAGATCACATCATTCTACAACTTGCTTTTTTTACTCAATAACACATCTTGTAATTTACCAATGCCAGCAGGAAAAGAAGGAGGGAAGGACCTCAGATCTGAGAGAAGCTGGGCAGACAAACCTCAGGGGTGAAGGCCCTCATTGGACAAACTACTCGTTGGTCACTGGACACTTGTCTTCAGGACACTCCCCTGTGCTCTCCAGAGGCTTATCTGGTTTATCTCTCTTTTTTTTCCTTTTCTTTCTTTCTTTTTTTTTTTTCATCTTTACCACTTCTTCCAGGATAGTTTATCTTGGCAAACAAACCACAATCCGTTCTCTGCATGAAACATCTACAAGTCCCAGGTTCTAACATATGAAAACAGGTCAGGCACAGTGGCAGATGCCTGTAATCCCAGCACTTTGGGAGGCCAAGGTGGGCAGATCACTTGAGGTCAGGAGTTCGAGACCAGCCTGGCCAACATGGCAAAACCCGTCTATACTAAAAATACAAAATTATCCGGGCACTGTGGCACGCGCCTGTAATCCCAGCATCTCGGGAGGCTGAGCCAGGAGAATCGCTTGAACCTGAGAGGCAAAGGCTGCAGTGAGCTGAGATTGTGCCACTGCACTCCAGCCTGGGTGACAGAGCAAGACTTGGTCTCAAGAAAAAAAAAGGAAAGAAAACATCCTTCTCTTTCACTGAAGCATGAAGTGGACTGTGGCTAGTGGGAGGGGGCATCTCTGTGAGGCATGTTTATGAAAAGGCAGTGCAGGCCTGGGCCTGTCCTCAGCACTGGCCCTTGTCAAGGCCTGTTTCCTTGAGCCTGGAGTCCTTTGGGAGCTGTGAGAACCAAAAGAGAAACGGCACACCTGTACATTTACTCATCCTTTTAATTTAGGCAAGGATTCTTCATTCTTCAAGAGATGACAACAAATTTGGGCTTTTTTTTTTCTTTTTTAAGACAGAGTCTTGCTCTGTCACCCAGGCTGGAGTGCAGTGGCACGATCTCGGCTCACTGCAACCTCCACCTCTCGGATTCAAGCAATTCTTCTGCCTCAGCCTCCCAAGTAGCTGGGATTACAGGCATGCGCCACCACGCCCGGCTAATTTTTGTATTTTTAGTACGGCCGGGGTTTCACCATGTTGGTCAGGCTGGTCTCAGACTCCTGACCTTGTGATCCACCCGCATTTTTTTTTTTTTCGAGACAGAATTTCGCTCTTGTTGTCCAGGCTGGAGTGCAGTGGTGCGATCTCAGCTCACAGCAACCTCTGCCTCCTGGGTTCAAGCAATTCTCCTGCCTCAACCTCCCAAGTAGCTGGGATTACAGGCATGAACCACCATGCCCATCTAATTCTGTTTTTTTTGTTTTTGTTTTTGTTTTTTTTTGAGATGGAGTATCACTCTGTCACCCAGGCTGGAGTGCAGTGGCATGATCTCGGCTCACTGCAGCCTCTGCCTCCCAGGTTCAAGCAATTCTCCTGCCTCAGCTTCCTGAGTAGCTGGGATTACAGGCACATGCCACCACGCCCGACTAATTTTTGTATTTTTAGTAGAGACAGGATTTCACAATGTTGGTCAGGCTGCTCTCAAACTCCTGACCTCAGGTGATCCAGCCACCTCGGCCTCCCAAAGTGCTGGGATTACAGGCGTGAGCCACCGCCCCTTTTGTACTTTTAGTACAGATGGGGTTTTGCCATGTTTGCCAGGCTGGTCTGGAACTCCTGACCTCAGGTGATCCGCCCAACTCAGCCTCCAAAAGTGTTAGGATTACAGGCATGAGCCACCGCACCTGGCCTGCCTGGCCTATTTAGTAGCTTTAAGCCACTCCCAAGTGGCTACATCCCAACTTCCATAGGGATACAATCCACATTGTTTTTCGTTTTATGATTCCCCTCACACTTGTTCCCTCCTTTGACATTGCTTTATTGCCCTCTCCAGTTCTCTTCTCTTCCCAAAAGCCCAAAGCAACAATCAGGGATGGCTAAGGTAGCCGGGCTGGTCGTTTTTTTTTTTTTTTTTTTTTTTGAGACAAGGTCTAGTTGTCGCCCAGTGTATTAGTCTGTTCTCAAGCTACTAATAAAGACATACCCAGGACAGGTGATTTATATATATATGAGGTTTAATGGACTCACAGTTCCAGATGGCTAGGGAGGGCTCACAATCATGGCAGAAGGTGAAGGAGGAGCAAAGTCACGTCTTACATGGTGGCAGGCAAGAGAGTGTGTGCAGGGAAACTGCCCTTTGTAAAACCATCAGATCTCACAAGACTCATTCACTATCACGAGAACAGCCTGGGAAAAACCACCTCCATGATTCAATTACCTCCCACCGGTTCCCTCTCATGACACTTGGGGATTATGGGAGCTACAGTTCAAGATGAGATTTGGGTGGGGACACAGCCAAACCATATCACCCAGACTGGGGTGCAGTGGTGCAGTTATGGTTCACTTCCACCTCAGCCTTCCCTGGCTCAGGTGATCCTTCCACCTCAGCCTTCCAAGTAGCTGGGACTACAGGTGTGCCACCATGCCTGGCTAATTTTTTTTTTTCCCCTTTGTAGAGACAGGGTTTTGCCATGTTGCCCAGGCTGGTCTCAAACTCCTAGGCTCCACTGATCCTCCCACCTTGACCTCCCAAGGTGCTGGGATTATAGGCATGAGCCACCATGCCCAGCCATGGGTGGTCTTTTATGGGTCCTTTTTTAGTTTTTGTTTTTGTTTTGAGACAGAGTTTTGCTCTTGTTGCCCAGGCTGGAATGCAATGGTGCAGTCGTGGCTCACTGCAACCTCCACCTCCCGGGTTCAAGTGATTCTCTTACCTCAGCCTCCTGAGTAGCTGGGACTACAGGCATGCACCACCACACCCAGATAATTTTTTTTTTTTTGCATTTTTAGTAGAGACAGGGTTTCACCATGTTGGCCAGGCTGGTCTCAAACTCCCGACCTCAGGTGATTGCCTGCCTCGGCCTCCCAAATTGCTGGGATTACAGGCGTAAGCCACCGCGCCTGGCTGGGTCCTTTTTTTTCTACTCCTTCCTTGACTAACTCATCCCAGTTCTCTCAGGACTTTCCTGGTTTTAGCACTGTAAAGCTCCACACTCCAGGAATCTCTTCCTTCCTGAATGGCTGCTTACCCTACCTACTCCCCCAAGCCCCACCAATCTAATACATCACATGGAAGAGAAATTTTTTTCTTTTTTTGAGATGGACTTGTGCTTTTGTCACCCAGGTGGAGTGCAATGGCGCAATCTTGCCTCACTGCAACCTCCACCTCCCGGGTTCAAGAGATTCAGAAGAGAAACTTCTGTTGGTCCCTGTGGTAGACAGAATTCTAAGACGGCCCCCGGGTTCCTGTCCCCTCGTGTACACGCCCTGCATAACCCTCTCACCTAGAGTGTAGGTGAGATCTGTAAATATGATCGGATCTTGTTCCTGCGGTTAGGTTACTAATCAGTTGATTTTTTACTCCATCAAAAGAAAGATTCTTCTGGATGGGCCTGACCTAATCAGGTGAGCCTTTAAGAGAAGGTGGAGTGTCAGAGGGAAGCATTCACTCCTGCTGCTCCTGAACACCCTGCTCCCATAAATTCTACAGCTGCAAGAAAGGAGTTCTGCCAAAAAACACATACGCTTGGACCCCAAGCCTCAGATGGAACCTCAGCCCCAGAAACACATTTATTTCAGCCTTGTAAGCCCTCAAGAAGAGAGTCCAGCTACACTCTGGCATGACTTATGACCTACAGAACTGTGAGATAATATACCTGTGTGGTTTTAAGCTGCTAAATTTGTGGTTGTTTGTTACACAACAATAGAAAACTAATATGATATTATTAAGGGCAGCCTTCCATGTAAGAGAAAGCTATGTAACTATGGCTAGTTCCTCAGTGTGCCTGAGCCATTGTGAATAATGCCGACTTCTCTCTCTCTCTCTCTCTCTCTTTCTCTCTCTCTCTGGGTAGGCCAGGCACGGTGGCTCACACCTGTAATCCCAGCACGTGAGAAGGCCAAGGCAGGAGGCTGAGGTGGAAGGATCACTTGAGTCCAGGAGGTCAGGGCTACAGTGAGCCATGATCACACCACTGCACTCCAGCCTGGGTGACAGAGTGAGACCTGTCTTAAAATAAATAAATAAATAAGCCAAGCTCAGTGGCTCATACTTGTAATCCCAGCACTTTGGGAGGCCAAAGTGGACAGATTGTTTGAGGCCAGGAGTTTGAGACCAGCTGGGCCAACATGGAGAAACCCCGTCCAAAAATACAAAAATTAGCTGGGAGGATGTGGAGGTACAAACCTGTATTCCCAGCTTCTTGGGAGGCTGAGGCACAAGAATTGTTTGAACCCAGGAGGCAGAGATTGCAGTGAGCTGAGATCACGCCACTGTACTCCAGCTTGACTAATTCAAGACTCTGTCTCAAAATAATAATAATAATAATTTCTACCAGGAGGCAGAGATTGCAGTGAGCTGAGATCACGCCACTGTACTCCAGCTTGACTAATTCAAGACTCTGTCTCAAAATAATAATAATAATAATTTCTACCAGGATTCTGGATGCGTCACTTGACTTCACTGTGCCTGACTTTCTTTGTTATAAAATGGATCTGATGTTCACCTACTTCGCCTTACAAAGATGATGGAAAGGACAAGAGGATAAGAGAGAGAGAGTAATTCCGCACCTCAAAAGGAAAATGAACAAATTCGAGTCCAATCCTTTCTTTTTGTGTAACTCTGTCATAGACACGGACCGTTTTGTCTGCTGGGTAAACACTGCATCAACACAGTGCATTTGGAGAGAATGGTTCCGTCGTTCCACTCCAACTTCATGGTTGATGGGGCTCCAACCTTGGCCACTCTTGATTGGTTTAGGGATGATACCTGACCTTTCTGAGCCAATCGGAATCTTGCCTTGTGATTCTAGAACTGAGATGGCAAAGTCAGTTTCTTTTCAGTAGCTGAAAATGAAGTCATGTAAACTCCTAAGTTCATCTGAGGCTAAGCAGGGCTGTTTGCTCCAATATTCCATCATCCAGGCTGAGGAACAAAAATAGCAGGTTGGCCACAGGAAAGAAGGATGAGGCCAAAAGAGGTACACAAGGCCGGGCGCCATGGCTCACGCCTGTAATCCTAGCACTTTGGAAGGCCAAGGCGGGTGGATCACTTGGGGTCAGGAGTTCGAGACCAGCATGGCCAACATGGTGAAACCCTGTGTCTACTAAAAATACAAAAATTAGCCAGTCTTGCTGGGGCGTGCTTGTAGTCCCAGCTACTCAGGAGGCTGAGGTGGGAGGATAGCTTGAACCTGGGAGGCAGAGGTTGCAGTGAGCTGAGATCGTGCCACTGTACTCCAGATTGGGTGACAGAGCATGACCCCGTCTCAAAAAAAAAAAAAAGAAAAGAAAAGAAAAAAAAGAGGCACATGAGATTTACCAAGGAGAGAGCTGAAGAGAGCACTTCCTGACTGGCCAGCCTTTCCCATGCACCAACCTCAGACTGTCTGTGGTATGCATTTCACAAGCTTCCCCAGCATCACTACAGCACGTCCCCAGCCTTCTTTCCACTCCTCAAAGTTCTATTTTATTTATATATTTATTTATTCATTTTGAGAAAGTGTCTTGCTCTGTTGCCCAGAGTGATCATGGTTCACCCTAGTCTCCATCTCCTGGGCTCAAGCAATCCTCCCACCTCAGCCTCTGGAGTGGCTGGTACTACAGGTGTGCACTACCACACCCAGCTACTTTTTTTTTTTTTTTAATTTTTTTTAGAGATGGAGTCTCACTATGTTGCCCAAGCTGTTCTCAAACTCCTGGACTCAAGTGATCCTCCCACCTCAGGCTCCCAGGGTGCTGGGATTACAGGCATGAGCCACTGTACCCGGCCAAAGTTTATTTCCTGGGGTGAATACATTTTTCATTGTGGTAAAATATAAATAACATAAAATTGGCCGAGTGCAGTGGCTCATGCCTGTAATCCCAGTACTTTGGGTGGCCAAGGCGGGTGGATCATGTGAGGTCAGGAGTTCAAGACCAGCCTGGCCAACATGGTAAAACCCTATCTCTACTAAAAATACGAAATTAGCTGGGCATGGTGGCACACACCTGTAATCCCAGCTACTTGGGAAGCTGAGGCAGGAGAATTGCTTGAATCCAGGGGGTGGAGGTTGCAGTGACCCAAGATCATGCCATTGCACTCCAGCCTGGGCAACAAAAGTTGAAACTCTGTCTCAAAAAAAAAAAAAAAATCCGCCAGTGCAGTGGTTCACGCCTGTAATCCCAGCACTTTGGGAGGCCAAGGCGAGAGGATCGCAAGGTCAGGAATTCGAGACCAGCCTGGCCAATGTG
The DNA here is from genome assembly GCF_000001405.40 of Homo sapiens. Classification (NCBI taxonomy): domain Eukaryota; kingdom Metazoa; phylum Chordata; class Mammalia; order Primates; family Hominidae; genus Homo; species Homo sapiens. Next base: position 130,566,830 of record NC_000009.12, read on the forward strand.
GTGAAACCCCGTCTCTACTAAAAATACAAAAATTAGCTGGGCATGGTGGTAGGTGCCTCTAATCCCAGCTACTTGGGAGGCTGAGGCAAGAGAATTGCTTCAACCAGGGAGGTGGAGGTTGCAGTGAGCCTAGATCGCGCCATTGCACTCCATCCTGGGCGACAGAGTGAGACTCTAACTCAAAAAAAACAAAAAAAATCGACTGGGCATAGTGGTGGGCACCTGTAGTCCCAGCTACTCGGGAGGCTGAGGGAGGAGAATCGCTAGAACCCAGGAAGCCTGGTCAACAGAGCAAGACTCTATCTCAATAATAATCATCATCATAACAACATAAAATTTATCATTGTAACCATTTTTAAGTGTACAATTCATTGGCATTGTTATGCAACCATCGCCACCATCCATCTCCAGAATTTTTTATCATCACAAACAGGAACTCTCTACCATGAAACAATGACTTACCATTTCCTCCCTCCTCCCAGTCCCTGGTAACCTCTATTCTACCTTCTGTCACTGTGAATTGGACTACTCCAGGTACTTCGTATAAGTGGAATCATGCAACACTTGTTCTATTGTGTCTGGCTTAATTTATTTAGCATAATGTTTTCGAGATGCACCCATGTTATAGCATGTGTATATCAGAATTTCATTCCTTAAGGCCAAATAACATTCCATTGTATCTATATGCCACATTTTATTTATCTGTTCATCTGTTGATGGACATTTGAATTATTTCTACATTTTACCAAATGTGAATAATGCCGCTATGAACATTGGTGTGAGACAAATCCCTGGTTGTTGTTTTGTTGTTGTTGTTGTTGTCGTCGAGACAGAGTCTCGCTCTGTCATCCAGGCACGAGTGCAGTGGTGTGATCTCGACTCACTGCAACCTCTGCCTCCCAGATTCAAATGATTCTCCTGCCTCAGCCTCCCGAGTAGCTGGGATTACAGGCGCCCGCCACCATGTCCAGCTAATTTTTGTATTTTTTTTTCTTTTTTAAGTAGAGATGGGGTTTCGCCATGTTGGCCAGGCTGGTCTTGAACTCCTGACCTCAGGTGATCCACCTGCCTTGCCCTCCCAAAGTACTGGGATTACAGGCACAAGCCACCACACCCAGCCCTGATCCCTTTGTCAATCAGCGATAATTTTTGTTTCAGATGATCATAAGATTTCTATCTAATACAGGAAATGAGAAACTGTAACCCCGAAAGCCAGATGACCTCCTGCCTTCCCAGAATGAATAATCCAACCCTGATGTGTCCCCAGACCCATCTGGAATTCTGAATGGGGAAATCTAGGTAGGAATGAAGTCTGGGAACTGGAAAATGAAGGATACTTTTTGTACGATTCCACCAGGGGCCTGGTAGTCAAGAGAATGAGAGTAGTAATTTAAGATAGTGGGGTTTGGCACGTACAAGCTATTTAGCAAGCAGGCATTATGGAATAAACACGCAAGCAGAAGCTCAAAGAGAAGAAATGTTCAAAACATGACATTGTTTTCATCTTTTTAGCCTCAGAACGTGGTAAATTCATTCACACATGATTTGTTTTTGTCTACATTCACTAAGCATCTAATATATGTCTACCAGGACGGAGACTGTTGTGCTAAGCACACCAGAAATGACCTCTGACATCTTGTAACATCCAGTCTAGCAGGGGCTGCCTCATAGTAAGTGTTCAGTACGTGTGTGTGTGTTTGTTTATTTGTTTGTTTGTTTCGAAAAAGGGGCTGGCTCTGTTGGCCAGGCTGGAGTGCAGTGGCGTGATCTTGGCTCTCTGCAACCTCCACCTCCTGGGCTGAAGCGATCCTCCCACCTCAGCCTCCCAAGTAGCTGGGATTACAGGTGCGCACCACCACACCTGGCTATCAATACATATTTTGCATGAAATATTTAGTAATCATTTCTGTATGCTTCGTGGCATTTAATATGCAGCCAGTTTTTGACAAATGTCATGCTTGAACAAGTTTCTCACAATCCAAAGTGAAAAGTCTCCCAGATCATACACAAAACAAAACCAAAATACAATAGCTGGGGCTGGTCGATCTGAAGGGGATATACCCAATCTTGCAAGGGTTTCTTTGGCTGAGTTTTTCCCACAAGCCAGTGAGCTTTGTATTCACAGGCAAAACCCCGCCTGAGACACCTGTCAGCCACCACCATTACTTGCTGCAATAAAGGTATAGATGAATGTTCTCAGACTTTTTGAGGGTAGATTTGAGAGACCACCTAGAGGCCTAAGGTAGAAAATCAGGCCATATCATATGGTCAGAATTGATCCTATTTATAATAGCCAGTTAAATATATGTGAGTAACTCTTCTGTGTAAAGACCTCATTACAATGAAAGTATCTCCAGGCAATCACAAGGATGAGGGGAAAACAAAATATTAAAAATGAAAGTAAAAATATTAAAGGTTTAAAAGCTACAGTATCAGCCAGGCACGGTGGCTCACACCTCTTATCCCAGCATTTTGGGAGGCCAAGGCAGGCAGATCACTTGAGGTCAGGAGTTTGAAACCAGCCTCGCCAACGTGGTGAAACCCTGTCTCCACTAAAAATATACAAAAGTTAGCTGGGCATGGTGGTACACACCTATAATCCCAGCTACTCGGGAGGCTGAGGCAGGAGAATTGCTTGAACCAGGGAGGCAGAGGCTGCGAGCCGAGATTGGGTCACTGCACTCCAGCCTGGGACACAGGGCGACTCCATTTCAAACAAACAAACAAACAAAAAACTACAGTATTAAAGTGCATGGGAGGGAGAACAACAGCTGACAAGAAGTACTAATACAGATACGTGACTCACGCCTATAATCCCAGCACTTTTGGAGGCCAAGGCAGGAGGATCACTTGAGCTCAGGAATTCAAGACCAGCCCAGGCAACATGGTAAGACCCTCATCTCTATGAAAAAACATTATTAAAAAACAATTTCTGGCCGGGCGCGGTGGCTCACACCTGTAATCCCAGCACTTTGGGAGGCCGAGGCAGGTGGATCACGAGGTCAGGAGATCGAGACCATCCTGGCTAACACGGTGAAACCCCATCTCTACTAAAAATACCAAAAATTAGCCAGGCGTGGTGGCGGGCGCCTGTAGTCCCAGCTACTCGGGAGGCTGAGGCAGGATAACGGCGTGAACCCGGGAGGCAGAGCTTGCAGTGAGCAGAGATCGCGCTACTGCACTCCAGCCTGGGGGACATAGCGAGACTCCGTCTCAAAAAAAAAAAAAAAAAATTTTCTATGCCGGGTGCAGTGGCTCATGCCTGTAATCCCAGCACTTTGAGAGACCAAGGCGAGTGGATCACTTGAGGTTGAGAGTTCGAGACCAGCCTGGCCAACATGTTGAAACCCCGTCTCTACTGAAAGTACAAAAGTTAGCCGGGAACTGTGGCAGGTGCCTGTAATCCCAGCTACTCAGGAAGCTGAGGCTGGAGAATCCCTTGAACCTGGGAGGCAGAGAGTGCAGTGAGCTGAGATCACATGACTTCACTCCAGCCTGGGCAACGGAGCGAGACTCTATCTCAAAAAAAAAAAAAACAATCCTAGAAGGCACAAATCACAAATTGGATGGCAGAGTAGCCATAAAGCAGAGCAGAAGCCAAGAATCTTTGCAGGCCGGACGTGATGACTCACACCTGTAATCCTAGCACTTTGGGAGGCCGAGGCGAAAGACACTTGAGCCCAGGAGTTTGAGACCAGGCTGGAAAACATGGCGAGACTTTATTGCTACCGAAATTTAAAAAATTAGCTGAGCATGGTGGCGTGCACCTGTGCTTCCAGCTACTCAGGAGGATGAGGTGGGAGGGGGATTTCCTGAGCTCAGGATGCCAAGGCTGCAGTGAGCTGTGTCCACATCACTGCACTCCAGCCTGGGCGACAGTGAGACCTGTGTCAAAAAAAAAAAAAAAGGCTGGGTGAGGTGGCTCACTCCTGTAATCCCAGCACTTTGGGAGGCCGAGGCGGGCAGATGGTTTGAGGTCAGGAGTTCGAGACAAGCCTGGATAACATGGTGAAACCCCATCTCTACTAAAAATACAAAAATTAGCTGGGTGTGGTGGCAGGCGCCTGTAATCCCAGCTACTTGGCAAGCAGAGGCGGGAGAATCGCTTAAACCCAGGAGGCTGCAGTGAGCCAAGATGGCGCCACTGCACTCCAGCCTCGGTGACAAGAGCGAAACTCCATCTCAAAAAAAGAAAAAAATTCAGGAAATCGACCCAAAAAGGCTACTAGAACTAATAAGTGAGTTTAGCAAGTTTTAGGGATAAAAGTTCTATCTAAAAAGCAATTAGGCTGGGTGTGGTGGCTCATGCCTATAATCCAGCATTTTAGGAGGCTCAAGCAGGATAATTGGTTGAGCCCATGAGTTTGATGGGCAATATAGTGAGACCCTGTCTCTACTAAAAAATAAAAAACTAACCATTGCATGGTGACATGGGGCTGTAGTCCCAGCCACTCCGGAAGCTGAGATGGGAGGATTACTTGAGCCGGGGAGGTTGAGGCTATCGTGAGCTGTGTTTGCACTACTGCACTCCAGGCTGGGTGACAGAGCGAGACTCTGTCTCAAAACCAAAAACAAAACAATTAATTTCTGTACATCAGTAATAAATAATTGAAAATCAAAATGTTAAAACATATCATTTACAACAGCACCAAAAGCCATGAAATATTTAGGTATAAATCCAACAAAATATGTGCAGGATCTGTACACTAAAAACTATAAAACACTGGGCCAGAAATTAAAGACCAAAATTAATAGAGTGATATATAATGTTAATAGATTGGAAGACACACTATTGTTAAGATGTCAGTTTTCTCCAAATTGATCTATAGATTCATGATTTCAATCAAAATCCCAACAGATATTTATTTATTTATTTATTTATTTTAGAGAACAAGTCTCGCTCTGTCGCCCAGGCTGGAGTGCAGTGGTGTGATCTCGGCTCACTGCAACCTCCGCCTCCCAGGTTCAAGCGATTCTCCTGCCTCGGCGTCCGAGGTAGCTGGGATTACAGGCTCACCCCACCACGATCTGCTAATTTTTGTATTTTTAGTAGAGATGGAGTTTCGCCATGTTGGTTGGCCAAGCTGGTCTCGAACCCCTGACCTCAGGTGATCCACCTGCCTCAGCCTCCCAAAGTGCTGGGATTACAGGCGTGAGCCACCACACCCGGCCTAGATTTTTTTTTTTTTTAAGATATCAACAAGATAATTCTAAAATTTATTTGCTAAGACAAAGGAACTTGAGTAGCCAAAACAATTTTGAAAAAGAAGAACAAAGTTGAAGGACTTACACTACCTGATTTTAAGATTTACTGTAAAGCTACAGTAATCAAGACAGTATGGTGTTGGGGAAAAGATAGCTACATATGTCAATGGAACAGTATAGAGAGTCCAGAAATAGACCTACACGTTTGTGGCTAATTCATTTTTTTTTTAAATGAAGGTACAAAGGCAATTCAATGAAGAAAGAATAGTCCCTTTTACAATTGGTACTGAAACAATCAGACACCCTTATGATAACAAAATGAAGCCAGGTGTGGTGGCTCATGCCTGTAATCCCAGCACTTTGGGAGGCTGAGGCGGGAGGACTGCTTGAACTCAGGAGTTCAAGACCAGCCTGGGCAAGATGGTGAGACCTCATTTCTACTAAAAAAAGAAAAAAAAAAATAGCCAGGTGTAGTGGTGCATGCCTGTACTCCCAGCTACTGGGTAGGCTGAGATGGGAGGATTGCTTGAGCCCCAGAGATTGAGGCTGCAGTGAGCCATGTTTGTGCCACTGCACTCCAGCCTGGACAACAGAGCAAGACCCTGTCTCAAAACAACAACAACAACAACAAAGAATCTTGACCCGTACCTCACACTTGATGCAAAACTTAACTCAAAATGGATCATAGGCCTAAATGTAAAACCTAAAACTATAAAACTTCTAGAAGAAAACATAGGAGAAAATCTTTGTGACCTTAGGCTAGACAGTTCTCTTATTAGATAAGATACCAAAAGTACAATCCATAGAACAAAACATTGATAAATTGGGCATCATTGAAATGAAGAACTTCTTCTATTCAAAAGACAAAATAACAGAAAGACAAGCCACAGACTGAAAGAAAATATTTGCAAATCATGTATTTTATAAAAGACTTGTATACAGTATATAAAGAACCTTCAACGTCCCCAAATTTTTTAAAAACCCAACTTCTAAAATGGGCAAAACTTTTGAACAGACAGTTCATCAGAGAACATCTACAAATGGCAAATAAATTAGCAGAGTTGTTTGCTGAAACCAAAGCAAAACAAAATATCAAATGGCAAATAAGCATAGAAAAAGATATTCAACTTCATTAGTTATTAATTAAATGCAAATTCAGGCCAGGTGCGGTGGCTCACGCCTATAATCCAAGCACTTTGGGAGGCCGAGGCAGGTGGATCACCTGAGGTCAGGAGTTCGAGATCAGCCTGATCAACCTGGTGAAACCCTGTCTCTACAAAAAAATACACACACACACAAAATTAGCCAGGCGTGGTGGCACGTGCCTGTAATCCCAGCTACTTGGGAGGCCGAGGTAGGAGAACTGTGCGAACCTGGGATGCAGAGGTTGCAGTGAGCTGAGATTTTGCCATTGCACTCCAGCCTTGGCAACAAGAGTGAAACTCTGTCTTGGAAAAATAAATAAATAATAAATAAATAAATGAACTTCAAACCACAATGAGATGCTACAACACACCTATTAGAATGGCTAAAGTTGGCCAGGCGTGGTAGCTCACGCCTGTAATCCCAGCACTTTGGGAGGCCGAGGTGGGCAGGTCACGAGGTCAGGAGTTCGGGACCAGCCTGGCCAACATGGTGAAACCTCGTCTCTACTAAAAATACAAAAATTAGCCGGGCATGGTGGCACACGCCTGTAGTCCTAGCTACTCAGGAGGCTGAGGCAGACGAATCGCTTGAACCCAGGAGGCGGAGGTTGTAGTGAGCCAAGATTGCGCCACTGCACTCCAGCCTGGGTGACAGAACGAGACCCCGTCTCAAAAAAAAAAAAAAAAAAAAAGGCTAAAGTTTAAAATGCTGACCAGACTCAAATGTTGTCAAGTAGGTAAAGAAACTGGAAAACTGGAATGTTCACATGTTGCTTACAAGAATGAAAAAAACTGAAAAATGGTACAAGCACTTTGTTGTTTCTGTTTGTTTTGTTTTGTTTTTTAGAGACAGGGTCTCACGATGTTGCCCAGGCTGGTCTCAAACTCCTGAGCTCAAGGGATCTTCCCTCCTTGGCCTCCCAAAGTGCTGGGATTACAGGCGTGAGCCACCACGCCCAGCAATAAAACTGTTTAAAGAAATATTGGAGCCAGGCGAGGTGGCTCATGCCTGTAATCCTAGCACTTTGGGAGGCTAAGGTGGGTGGATCATCTGAGGTCAGGGGTTGGAGACCAGCCTGGCCAACATGGCAAAACCCCGTCTCTACTAAAAATACAAAAATCAGCCATGCATCGTGGTGCATGCCTGTAATCTTAGCTACTTGGGAGGCTGAGGTAGTAGAATCATTTGAACCCAGAAGGAGGAGGTTGCAGTGTGCCAAGATTGCACCACTGCACTCCAGCCTGGGTGACAGAGTGAGACTCAATATCAAAAAAAAAAAAAAAAAGAAAAAAATATATGTATGTGTATATATATGTATGTATATATATGTATATATGTATATGAGATGCTAGAAGACAATAAGAGATGCCTTCGGTCTTCTAAAGGAGAATTATTTACAATCCAGAGCTCTATAACTAGCTACATCATTAATTTTGAGGGGCCAGCTGAGTTGGCTCATGCCTATAATCCCAGCACTTTGGGAGGCCAAGACAGAAGGATTGCCTGAGCCCAGGAGTTCAAGACCAGCCTGGGCAACATAGTAAGGCCCTGTCTCTATTAAAAAATAACGTTTTTTTTTAAAGTGTGAAGGCCGAATAGATTGTTTTGGAAAAGTGTGGTACCAAAAAATTTACTAGCCAAATTTACTAAGTTTCTTTGAACTTACTTGAGAGTGTAGCACTACTCTATGGTACCAGCAGGGTGGTACGAGGCCAAAGGTGGAATCGGGGAGATATACAGTCACTTTCCTGTCAACAATGGACAGCATATTTGACGGTGGTTCCATGAAATTATAACACTGGGCCGAGCTTGGTGGCTCACACCTGTAATCCCAGCACTTTGGGAGGCTGAGGAGCGTGGATCACCTGAGGTTAGGAGTTCAAGACTAGCCTGGCCAACATGGCGAAACCCCATCTGTATTACAAATACAAAAATTAGCTGGGTGTGGTGGTGGGCGCCTGTAATCCCAGCTACCTGGGAGGCTGAGGTAGAGACAATTGCTTGAAGCCGGGAGGTGGAGGTTGCAGCGAGCCACAATCATGCCACTGCGCTCCAGCCTGGAAGACAGAGCAAGACTCGGTCTAAAAAAAAAAAAAAAAAGATTATAACACTGTATTTTTACTGTATCTTTTCTATGTTTAGATACATGAATACCTACCACTGTGTTACAACTGCCTACAGTAGTCCATATAGTACCATGCTGTACAGGTTTGTGACCTAGGAGCAATAGCCTACCCCATATAGCCTAGGTGTTGTAGTAGGCTATACTATCTTGGTTTGTGTAAGTATGCTTTGAGATGTTCACATCATGATCCATTTCTCAGAACATAGTCCCATCACTAAGTGACAATTACATATATACATATACATATGCATTCCCTATTAAAGGTAGATTCTAATTTACTCTCAGATGCTAAGACAAAGAGAACTATTCCAATCATTGGATCACTCCTATTGCTCCAAGGCATGCCTGTATCCCTCAGTCAGTGTTGGAGAGTCTTAATAATTCTATTTTTAAATTTTCAGATTTCATGCTGACATGCTCCTTAGTCTGCACTTGAAATTCCAGTGGACACTTGACATTGGAAAAGGTCTGCTCTGGGGACCTGTGAAAATCTCTAAATGGAGAATTCTCTCACTCACGATTTATCGCTATAAGCTATTTCTGCCTCAGAGATATAAACAACGCAGATCTTGGGATGGCAAGGCAAAGCTTCCCCAAATTACAAATGACCAGATGCTGAGGGTCTTTAGGGTAGTTAACGAATTCTGGAAACCACCCATGTTATATCCTTTAAAATCTACTGTACAACATTCTCCATGCTTATTTTTTTCTCTTGATGTATTTGAAAAATCATGTTACTATTCAAACATATTTGCTGTTTCTCCCTGGAGATGGACTATATTTCTCTGCCACTTGATCAGTGCTTGGCCACGGCTTGCTTTGGCCAATTAAATGTGAGCAGAAGTGCCATATGCCACCAACTTCTAGGCAAAAGCTTTAAAAGCCAATGTATGCTTCATACTTCTGCATCTTATTGACAACAGGCAAACATTCTTCAACCAATAAAACATGAACAAAAGTAGTGCCTAGCATTTGAGGAAGAAGCTTTAAAAACCAGTTCGTGCTTTGTCACTCGCTTCTTCCTCTGCCCTGATAAAGTTTAATGTTCCAGACAGAGGCTGCTATCAGCCTTGGCTGAAGAGTAAACAGGACACGTAGTGGAGGCAACACCATGTTCATGTATCCAGTGAGAAATAACCTGTATTGTTGTAAGCTACTGAGGTTTTAAGGCTTGTTACTGTAGCATAACCTAGACTCTCCTCATTGATACAGTTTCATTTTAGCGTGGCTTCTAGTTGGTAATATCTAGAGGCATTGCAATGTTATCAATAGGAATGGTTTGCAAAACTAGTCACAACCACAGTATGTGGATTTTTCTTTTCTTTTTTTTTTTTTTAGACTGAGTCTTGCTCTGTTGCCCAGGCTGGAGTGCAGTGGCACGATCTCGGCTCACTGCAACCTCCACCTCCCAGGTTCAAGTGATTCTCCCACCTCAGCCTCCCGAGTAGCTGGGATTACAGGCACCCGCTACCAAGCCTGGCTAATTTTGTGTGTGTGTATTTTTTTGTAGAGACAGGGTTTCACTATGTTGACCAGGCTGGTCTTCAACTCCTGACCTCAGGTGATCCGCCTGTGAGCCACTGCACCCGGCTTTTTTTTTTTTTTTTTTCGAGACAAGGTTTTGCTCTTCTTGCCCAGGCTGGAGTGCAATGGCACATTCTCAGCTCACTGCAACCTCCGCCTCCTGGGTTCAAGCGATTCTCCTGTCTCAGCCTCCCAAGTAGCTGGGATTACAGGTGCCCTCCACACGCCTTGCTACTTTTTGTATTTTTAGTAGAGATGGGGTTTCACCATGTTGGTCAGGCTGGTCTTGAACTCCTGACATCGGGTAATCTGCCCGCCTCGGCCTCCCAAAGTGCTGGGATTACAGGTGTGAGCCACCACACCCGGCCGAATTTTTCTTTTTTAACCTCTAAGAATCTTTCCCTGTCTTCTTTGGACAAGATCATCTCATTCATTCATTTCACAAATACTGAGAGCCAACCAAATGCCAGGCATTGGTGCTAGGTGGTAGGGAGAGCAATTAACAAGACAAACATAGACCTTATGTCAGCAGAGGCTTTATTCTAGTGGAAAAGGCAGACAATAAACATATAACTGCATGATGATTTAAAAGCAACTGTGATAAGTGCTATAACAAGATGATGAAGTCTAGGGTGTTAGTAGAACAATTAACAGTGAACATGACAAGCTCAGGGTCATCTTCATCTTCTGTGCCCCCAAATATAAGTGACCTGCTCAAAGTTAACCAGTAAAAGAGGGGAAAACAAAACTGTCTTCCTACTTAGGGATTCTCTGGTCTTTGGACCAAACCTTGGAATACAACTTACATTTGGGCCAATAGCCTTGTTTTCCCTATTTATACTCATAGGGAAAGCCAGCTGGAATATGCATGAATCAACATTCTAACCTCAGAGATATATTTCTAAAATTCAAAACAGAAGTTATCACTGATACTTGGTTCAGCTGAACGACTGTGTTCATGAAAGTTGATACCATTGCCATTCCTTGATTTTTACAAGCATAGCAAACTTAAAACGCTCAACACACCCAGAATGGGCAATAAATGGATGTGTTGGCATGGTCCTCCTCGTGCTGGCACTTCAACAACACAGCAAGCTATGTACTTTTGAACAGGGGTTGGAACATTTTTTCTGAAAGCAATCTTCAATCTTGCAATTTTGCCAAATTCTTTTATTTTGCCATAATCTATGAATTATTCTACTTGGCATTATTGAATGCAAAATAAGTTTACTAAGCACCTACTATGTGCCACACCCTAGGGATACAGGGAAAAATAAGTCTCTGCTCTAAAGTAACTCACAGTCTAGGAAAGAAGTCATTAACAAATAAATAACTATACTTTGGTTATTGGTCAAGTATTCCTCATACTTCTTTAGAATGCCCAAAGCTCTCTTGGCATAATGACACAGTGAGGGGTGAGGGTGGGGTCATCAAGGAAAGTTATATGGGACTTTTTTCCCCAAGAAAGGGTCTTGCTCTGTCACCCACGCTGTACTGCAGTGGCGTGATCATAGCTCACTGCAGCCTTGACCTCCAGGGCTCAGGTGATCCTCCCACTCCAGCCTCCCAAGTAGCTGGGACTACAGGTGTTTGCCACCACGCCCAGCTAATTATATTTTTTGTAGAGACGGGGTCTCACTATGCTGCCTAGGCTGGTCTTGAATTTCTGGGCTCAAGAGTTCTGCCTGCCTTGGCCTCCCAAACTGCTAAGATTACAGGCGTGAGCTACCGCACCCGGCCCGTATTGGATTTTATTTATTTCCTTTTCTTGGTGCTCATCCTCCTTCACAACTTCAAGATGGGCATAAGATGTTTGACAACATGGTTCTTCATTAAGTCCAACTCCTTATCATAATAGGGCTTGGGAAATATTAAACACGAGGGCAATCGTGCTAACACAAAAATGGGCGCCCCCTAAACCTTGTTACTTGTTTGCTCACTTATAAGAAGAGCCAACTCAAAGGCTCAACTGAATTCTAGCACTAAGATTCCTTCCTTGCTGTAGAAGATCTGTACCTGGTCACTTCCATTAAAGTTACATAGGCGTTCCAAGAAGCCTCCTGCAATACAGTTGTGACTCAGCCGGTATGGGAGTAATGACGGTCCTGTGGTATTTCCTGCACCCCCAGAGTCCCAGAGTTTGTTAAGGACCGTGTAAGAGGACACCACGCTGGCTTTTCAGTGGGCGCGTCTCTCCTGGGGGCATCACCAGACAACCCCAGGCGGAAGTGGCGGTGGCCCATCCTCATGCAAACTGCAGTGTAAGAACTGGGGCCCGGGACTCCTCGCAAATGTGGGACACTGACATTCTGTGATGCTGTCCCAATGCCCTTTCAAAGCGCTCAGCCCCCAAATTCCCAACCAACAGCCATTTCAGGGAGGGGCTACCCAGGACCAGGCTTTTGATGAACCACGACTGTTCGGGGTGCCGTCTTGGGAGAGCCACGTCAGTCCCTCTGAGATTCCAAACGGCCGACAGCGGACACCTCGGGACCACATCCAAGCCTCGGGGACCTGTCAAGACGCCATCGACGGTCCTGGACCAAATCCCGCCCGGGAAGGGAAGGGTCGCGACCGGACCCTGGAGACCCACGGCTGCCTGGCGATCTGAGCCCACCCCGGCGCTGCCGTCCCGCCCCCACTTCCGATCGGTCGAAGGTCACGTGCCCTGACCCCGCCCCGCAGACGCGACTCCTCCAGCTGCGAGCGTCCCGGCTTTCCCTTCCGCCGGAAGTAGGGCGACTTTCCTTTTCCGGCTACGGGTCCCCAAGCGGAGCGGGAGGCCGGACCGGGGAGCCGAGCGGCGGCGTCGGCGGCGTCGGCGGCGGCGGCGACGGCGGCGGGGGCGGTAATGGCGGAGCTGGTGCAGGGGCAGAGCGCTCCTGTGGGGATGAAGGCCGAGGGCTTCGTGGATGCCCTGCACCGGGTCCGGCAGGTACGGGCGCAGCCGGCTGGCAGGAGCACGAGATCCCGAGGCGGGGCCTGGCGGGCGGGGAAGAGGGGTTCGGGCCTGGGGGGCGGGAGGCAGCCTGAACCGACGTCTCAGCCGGGCCGGGCCGTTCCGTGGAGTTCCTACAGCCGGGAGGAGCCGGGGGGATAAGGCGCCACTGCGAGGCCCAGGCCCGGCCTGTCGGGCGGGTCTCCCAGGTGCCTGAAGTCGCTGGGAAAGGGTTTGCTTAGAGCGTCTGGCCCCATCGTGCCCCAGCGGCCAGCCTGGACCCACAGTGTAGCTAGCGCGGGGTTCTGAACCTCGCGAGGGGAGGGGTCCGGGAAGCCCACGGGGAGGATCTGGGTGTAGACATAAAGCAGCTGTCTGACGCCCAGTAGCTTGTTAAAACTTGGGGAACATCGTCTTTAGACTTTCTGTTGAGTAGAAGGAACTCGAGGGCATCTTATATGTGAGGGTGCTCTTTGGAGAGGTGAGAGAGGGAGGTGTTACATGTGTGGGGGTGGTCCCCAAGATGTAGAAATTTCTCATGGCAAGCTTGCCTCTACTGGGGAGAATGATATGGCCTCATTCCGACATTGAAACTTTACTGTCTGACAATGTCGTGCATTTAATCAAAGTTAAATTAACTGGGTTTTAGAAGGCTCCAGGCTTCCCCAGAGAGTGAATATGGGACCTGCCAAAAATACTTACTGGCTTCTGGCATGGTACTTAGAACAGAACGTGTTCTTCATTTGTATCTAAAACTTACTTACAAGTCAGCCCTAACACTTCAGCTTCCTCGGTTAAGTGTCTTATGTCCTCCTCTCTTCTTATGTAATTGTAAGCGCACTGATACTTTAAAAGTTGGGCTATAACTAATTACTGCTTGATTCCTAACAGAAAGCCACAGGAGTCATTGTATTAGAAGAAGGTCTTCACTCGGGCGCTTGAAGATATGGTCTTTACATCTCTTTCCAGTATTCCAGGGGAGGGAACCCTACCTGTTTCCCTGATAACTGACTTTTCATGTTATATATTGATGCTCCTATAGACATTATATTGGATCCCAGAACTTTCCAAACCTGTGGTTCCACCTAAAATTTTATCTGATGAATTGTTACTTTACTGCCTAGCTGCCAACCAGTACAGTAGTGAGTATCCATCTTACTTAGACTTCAGATCCACCCATGGCTGTAATGGATGAACATGCCACCCAGCTCCCCTTCCACCACTCTGCTTGCTGGCGTGTTACAGTGCTCTCCTCTACAGTACAGGGTCCTGAACCTTGTTTCTCACTGGCTACTAATATGTAATGGCTTTCGCTCTGTGCTGATGTGTGACAGTCACCTTGTTGGCCTTCTATGTCCGGGAAGAATTATAGTCACTGCCCTAAAGGGCTCAGATCCTCAGTTTGCAGAAGGCCTGTAGTTGAACATAAAGTGAATTTTGAACCATTGAGAAGACATTCCGCTTCTCTTGAGCCAGTGGTTGAACTCATATTCTTGGACAACCTGCTCCAGAGGGAGACCCTCTGGTAAATGCTGACCTAATGTGGATTGTTGAAGCAGTGGTGTTTACTACTAGCAGTGAAAACTTCATTGGAATTGTTCTCAGCTCTGAAATGCACCATTGACTGGAGCAGTAATAAGCCCAATGGAGACAGGGCTGTAAGTGTGTTCCTTCTGAATGTTAACAGCTGGAGGTCCATACTATCTCCAAGGATTTGATGGCCTTTAAAAACTAAAGAAAAACCAGGTTGGTGGGTAATTTTAGGTTTATTGTATATAGATTTGCATTGGGCAAGAACGGAATGTTAGAAATCTGTAATACTGTATGCTGATGGTAAACTTACTGTAAGGATCTCATTTGGGTATCTGGAAGGTGATAGTTCTGTTTCTTTGTTATATACACAGCATGTTACAGAGATGTGATTTTTCTCCCCATTAAACAGAACTAAAAGACAGTATATTTATTTAAACGCAAAGCTTTTTCCCCTTTTATGTCTCCTCATAAACTCCAGAGACAGTCTGGAAGGCCCTCTTAAATTTGTCAAAGAGCAGTAAAGTGTCTCACGCTCAGTTTTTCTAGCAGATCGTAATACTCTCAGTTGACCCTGCTGGGATTTGAACCTGCAGTTTCTATTAAGTTTGGTGTGTGAAGTCCAACACCTTATCAACTAGGCTTTCCCTCTGACATCTTGAAGCCTCCGTGTATATCCTTTGGACTCTGCAGCAAAGTGCATCAGTTGTTAGTTTACTCTGAGCATGGTATTCTTAGATTGAAAAGAAGTCTCTGAAGATGTCAAATAAAATGTAAACATTTTCTCCAGCAGTGTGAAGTCTAGTGAGTTAATGTTTGGCACAAGCAGGTAATTTACATCCATTCTATAGGGTAGTAGAAATGTGATCTGGGCAAGTCACAGTGGCTCATGCTTGTAATCTCAGCACTTTGGGAGGCTGAGGTAGGAGGATGGCTTGAGCTCAGGGGTTTGATACCAGCCTGGGCAACATAGCGAGACCTTGTCTCTACTAAAAATTAAAAAAATTAGCTGGATGTGGTGGCCCACCCCTGCAGTCTCAGCTGTTTGGGAGGCTGAAGCAAGAGGCTAGCTTGAGCATGGAGATCAAGGCTGCAGTGAGCTGTGATTGCTCCGCTGCATTCCAGCCTGAGTGACAGAGTGAGACACTGTCTCAAAAAAAAAAAAAGAAAAAGAAAAAGAAAGAAATGTGATCTCATTCAGTTCCATGGATGAAGATCTAAAAACTGCTGGATATTAAAAAACATCTGTCTACTTTTCCCAAGTCATTGGCTGGTTAGCAGAAGTAGTGTTTCTTCAACTAGTTCAGATAAGACAAAATCCTGAGTAGTTCATCCTGTTCCACAGCCGTCCTCTGCACTTCTATACTGACTGTCTGCCTAGGTTACAAGGGGACCTCTGGATGAGTAGATCCAAGTCTGGTTTATGTTGTTCCATTCTCCTAAAAATATTTTTAAATGTTCCTAGAAGGTCTACCATTGATAACTTAGTAGCACCTGTCATCACCCGTGAGCAATCCCTTGTTAGGAGAGTGTGATGCCACAGTGCATTATAGGTTGACAGCAGCCTTCCACAAGCTGGACCAGCTAGCTGTCTGCCAGTCGTCGCCTAAATAGAAATTGTTCTCCGAGAAACTACTAATACTTTTTAGGACTTTAAAAAGCATTAGATCTGTTTTGATCTAGATAGACCCACTCAATGCCTCTGGATTGTATAACTACAGCATATAATGTTGATACAGAATGCAGTCTAAATGGTGCTTCATAGAGTTCGTTCGGCATCACGGTAGCACTACACTTAAATGAGTGTGACCAAGCCATTGTAGAATCAGTAGAAAGTAACCTTTTGACAGATTTTTAGGCCCGAACCTCTTCTTCACTGGCACCTATTTTGGGGAAATGTTGATTGGTGTGGGGCCTCAGAAGTTCCACAGTCCTCCTGAAAATCTCTCCCAGTGCTGCTGTTTCACAGTTTAAGCCTGAGCAGTAGGTAATTTGGGATGTGTGTTGTATACCCTGGGCTGATTTAGAACTTTAATGCTTTAAGATTCTGACTTCTTAGAACAAGCACTAGGTTTCCTTTTAAGAGAACACTGTACATCTACCATTAAAAGAAAAAGCCTCCATTCATTGGCCAGTGGGTTCGCCCTGCGAGGCTCATTTAACACATGGTTTTGACTCCCGGCTCAGTCAAGTGTGCTGAACACTCAAGAGATCTAAGTGGTACTCCACTGAGACTGTCTTGTACATGTCCAGTGATTGAATAGCTCAAGTCATCATTTCACAAGGGACTAACTCCTGCCTGTACACTCATTTTAGCTTTCATAAACACTTGAAGGAAACTAGTGTCTGCAGGAAATCCACGGGCTGCTCCTGTAGCTTTACATTGTTGGGACCCAGTAGAGTACCTGGCGGAGTGAGTCTTCCTTAAAGGGTTTTGGTGATGTCACTGAGTGTGTGTGCGCCACCACATGTTAATGGAAGTGCTGAACTTCATACTGGGTATTGGAAAGTAGATAGTAAATAAACTATATATTCCACTGTATGTCTCTAAGGCTTTTCTCATTTGCAGATGAGAACATTTATAATGTGATAATTTATCATATAATATAATTATTTTGGGGTAGAGACAGGGTCTCACTATGTTGCCCAGGCTGGTCTCGAACTCCTGGCCTCAAGCAATCCTCCCACCTCAGTCTTTCAAAGTGCTGGGATGGGTGTGAGGCACCGTGCCCCCATGCCTGGCTGTCTTTATTTTAAAATCTGATAGCCCATGTGTATTACCAAACTTTGGTTTCTTCTGAAGTACCAGTTATTTCATAAATAGAAATTTACTTAGACCACAGTTCTCAAACTTGTGGCCTGTGAGCTATAGAAGACTTACTATGGGCCTGCAGGCATGCTTTGTTTGACCCACCCAGCACCAACACTTAAAAACTAGAGTGATTTTTGGCTGGGCACGGTGGCTTACACCCGTAATCCCAGCACTTTGGGAGGCCGAGGTGGGCGGATCACTTGAACTCAGGAGTTCGAGACCAGCCTGGTCAACGTGGCAAAACCCCATCTCTGCTAAAAATACAAAAATTAGCTGGGTGTGGTGGCAGGTGCCTGTAATCCCAGCTACTCAGGAAGCTGAGGTGGGAGAATAGCTTGAACCTGGGAGGCAGAGGTTGCAGTGAGCCGAGATCGTGCCATTGCATTCAAGCCTGAGTGAAAAGAGCAAAACTTTGTCTCAAAAAACAAAAGAAACTAGAGTGATTTTGCATTAAAAAAAAGAGAGAGCAAGATTTCGGGCTGGGCATGGTGGCTAATGCCTGTAATCCCAGCACTTTGGGAGGCTGAGGCAGGTGGATCACTTGAGGTCAGGAGTTTGAGACCAGCCTGGCCAACATGGCAAAACCCCGTCTCTACTAAAAATACAAAAATTAGCTGGGCGTGGTGGCACATGTCTGTAATCCCAGCTACTCTGGAGGCTGAGGCAGGAGAATTGCTTAAACCCAGGAGGTGGAGGTTGCAGTGAGCCGGGATGGTGCCACTGCACTCCAGCCTGGGCAACAGAGCAAGCCTCCATCCCAAAAAAAGTTTCGGTCAGGCACTGTGGCTCATGCCTGTAATCCCAGCACTTTGGGAGGCCGAGGCAGGGAGATCACTTGAGGTCAGGATGAGACCAACCTGGCCAACATGGTGAAACCCTGCCTCCACTTAAAATACAAAAATGAGTCAGGTGTGGTGGCACGCACCTGTAATCCCAGCTACTCGAGAGGCTGAACCACGATAATTGCTTGAACCTGGGAGACAGAGGTTGCAGTGAGTGGAGATTGCATCATTGCACTCCAGCCTGGGCGACAAAGTGAGACTCTGTCTCAAAAGAAAAAAAAAGATTTCTGGTTTCCCTAGAAAAGATCTGGCCACACTGCTCCCACAGCCTGCACAGCGATAATCAGCAGGAGCTGAGTAGCTGCTGCGTTTTTGACATGAGGCATTCACACTCTCCGGGTTGTCTTCATTCCCGCCATCTTGCTATTGTTTTATACTGTTCTTTGGGATGCCTAATTGACAGTTTTTTACTTATCTTTTTGTAAATTGTGAGTCAGTCGCCTCTGGTTTTTATTTGAAATTTCTAATGGAAAGCTCTGGATTGAGAGTTAGGAGGTCTGAGTTGCCTGTAAGCCGATGCATGACCTTGGGCTGGGTTGGGCTTTCCTAGCATTTGATCTATAGGCTGTTTAAAGATCTTCCGTGGAAAAGAGATCATGGGCAGTTAAGTTTGGGGAATGCAGGATTAAATAAAGGTGAATTGGCTTCTTTACTGTAGGACTTCTCAGAACCTTTAACATGCTTATGTGCATTAACTCCTACAGGGTTTAGGGTGTGTTTCGTAAATGTCCTGAAGTTAGATCACTTCGTGCCCTCTTTCCATGGAACCAAATCACATTCTGTGCATCAAACGTCAGGAAATGTGGAGCTAGATAATTTCAGCAGTCCCTTCAAACCCTTAGACATTCAGAGCATCCATCTAACTGGATCTGGAAAAAGCTCACCATGTTATTTTGGTTCTTGTGCTTTCTTATGTTATGTCTGCTGTCTATTCATACTCCCTTCTCTCTCCTTTTCTGTGTAGTCTTTATTCTGATAACTTTATCTTAGAATCATCCCAATTGAAAATGTTCTGCATTTGGAGTTTTATTATAAAGATTTTGTTTGTTGGTTTTGGGTTTTCTTGAGACAAGGTCTTGTTACGTTGTCCAGGCTGGAATGCAGTGGCACGATCACAGCTCAGTGCAGCCTGGATCTCCTGGGCTCAAGGGATCCTTGCACCTCAGCCTCCCAAGTAGCTGGCATGCACCGCCACTCCCAGCCTACATTTTTATTCTAATACCAGATGGTTACAAATCACTTGCAAGACTGAGTAGTGTGATTGGAAGTAGTGATTTGATTTAGATTACTTACCATTAATTGAAGATCTGCTGAGTCCAAGGCCCCTTGCTGGATGCTGGGCCAGTGCAAAGATAAGTAAGACAAGTTTGTAAGTGGTTTTATCTTATTGCGGAATTCAGTCTTTACAACCATCAGGTAAGATAGGACCAGGGCTATTAATTCTCTCTCTCTCTTTTTTTTGTAAATTGAGACAGGATCTCTCTGTGTCACCCAGGCTGGAGCGCAGTGGCGCAGTCTCAGCTCACTGCAACCTCTGCTTCTCGGGCTCAAGCAATCCTCCTTCCTCAGCCTCCCCAGTAGCTGCCACCACACCCAGCTAATAAGGGCTATTAATTCTCATTTTATATTTGAAAATAATGAGCCAGAGGGAGATAAAGCAGTTTTCTCAGAGGTGCACATGGGTAATATATGCAGCAGTTCTTGGACCCATGCCCTCTGCATTTTAGGAAGGACTTGGTTCCTTAGCAGAGGTGGTTGGGTGGTTTTTCATCTCAATGAGGTGGCTGAAGCAGCAATCTTTTTTTTTTTTTTTTTTTCAGACGGAGTCTCGCTCTGTCACCCAGGCTGGAGTGCAGTGATGTGATCTCAGCTCACTGCAAGCTCAGCCTCCCAGGTTCACACCATTCTCCTGCTCAGCCTCCTGAGTAGCTGGGACTACAGGTGCCTGCCACCACACCTGGCTGATTTTTTGTATTTTTAGTGAAGACGGGGTTTCACCGTGCTAGCCAGAATGGTCTCAAACTCCTGACCTTGTGATCCACCTGCCTCGGCCTCCCAAAGTGCTAGGATTACAGGCGTGAGCCACTGCACCCGGCGTTTTTTGTTTTTTTTTTTTGTTTGTTTGTTTTTTTGAGATGGAGTCTCACTCTGTCACCAGGCTGGAAGGCAGTGGCATGATCTCGGCTCACTGCAACCTCCGCCTCCTGAGTTCAAGTGATTCTCCTGCCTCAGCCTCCCAAGTAGCTGGGACTGCAGGCGTGCACCATCACGCCTAGCTAATTTTTGTATTTTCTGTAGAGATGCGGTTTCACCATGTTGGCCATGATGGTCTCAATCTCCTGACCTCATGATTCACCTGCCTTGGCCTCCCAAAGTGCTGGGATTACAGGTGTGAGCCACCCAGCCCAGCCTGTCAGTCTTTAAACAGATCACTGGAGGATTGTTGGTGGAATTCGATGGAATGGAAGGGGAAAGCCAATGGGAGTGTCACATTTAGGGCCTTTGGTGGGAGTGACCCACCTGGAACAGTATTTCAGCATAGAGCCTCACCTGATCATCTTAGCATTCTGCCTACAAGTGGGCCTCTCCATACCCACTTTAAATGTAGCAGGTGTTTAATGAGCACCTTCTCTGTGCCAAGCATTTTGCTATGCATTAGGAAAGTTCTTTAACTTTTTCAGAACGTGGACCTTTTTGAGACTCTTGAAACTTTGAACCACTCCCTAGAAATATTTAAATAGTTTGGGATGTAATTTTGGGAAGTCATGAATTCTCTAAAACTAAACCCTGGGGCTCCTAATTAAGGACTCTTTGTCTTAAGGGTACCAAGATGATGGAGACAGATCCAGTCCTCAGCTCTCATAGTGGGGAGACAGTGTAACCAACATAACATACTCGGTGAGAGTATGCTATTTAGATGTAGTTTGTAAGGTGATCTGCTAACACAAATGTGGCAGTATTTAATTCTGCCTAAGCATAGGAGAGATGAGGTTGTCAGGAAAACCTCCCAAGAAGAGCTGCATCTTATTCAATTGTCATAGAATTCTTTATTTCAATTATTGCAAGTAAGCAGGGCAGGATCAGCCGGGGCCCCATCTCTGATGACAACAATAGTTCTCATTCATCGAGCCCATGTTGTGCTGGGTGCCAGGCAAGGATTCTTATATATGTTCTTTCATTTGATGGTCACAAAACTCCCGGGGAGTGGCATTGTGATGTGATTATTAAGAGACAAACTTGAGCTTCAGACAGTATGAGTTCAAGTTCTGGTTCTGCCACTTAACTAGTTTGGCTTTGGACAAGTTATTTAACTTCTTTCAGTCTTAGTTTTCTCATCTGTAATACAGAAATAGTTGATGATAGTAATAATTTTAAAAACAATATTGTTAGAAATTAGGAGGTTACCCTGGTTGGTGGGGTGGGTAGTGACTGAAGGGGGCATGAGGCAGACTTCTGGGGTCCTGGTGATGTTTCTTGATCTAGGTGCTAGTTACATAGGTATTTTAGTGTCCGAAAGTTCAGTGAGCTATAAACTTATGATCCATGTATTTTTCTGTGTCATTGTTCTGCAATAAGAGGTTAAAATAGCAAGCATTTCTGGTTCCTTACTGTGCACCCGGCATTGTTTCTAGTGCTTTACATTTGTTATCTTGTTATCCCTGTGGATACAATTCCAGGCAAACTGGTTCCAAGTCCCACGGTAAGGAGAATAGTAGCTACTTTAGAAGGTCACTGTGACAATTAAATGAGGGCACTGTCAGGCACTTAGTAGGCAGTATGTTTGATGCACTGTCTTCTTTGTAACATTAGGTAGTGGGATGCAGGACTGGGACCTGCCCCTGCGGCCCATGACTCCAAACCTGTCTTAGGAACTTGTTCTTTGCCACAGGGCTACTTCCCTGGCTGCATACTGTTTCCTCCCACTGTGGGGAGTAGAGTCTTGCAGTCCAACCTACCTTTCTCCCAGGCAGGACCTCTCTGGGTGGCTGTGCCGCGCAGGCTCTGGGGAAGCAAGTTGGGTCCCACACCCTCGATGCTGGTGTGAGCCTTCACCTCTGCTTGCTGTATCCATGCCAATCAACAGGATCCCTGTTGAGTAGCAGGGACACATATGTGGATGGCATTCAGGTGGCTTTGCCTGTTTCTAATTGGTATAGAGTTCTAGTAAGTATGAAGTTGTGGGGCTATGTGCAACTTTTTATTTGGATTTATAAGGTGACCTACTTTGGTTATGAAACTTGTCAGAGAATTTTAGTCTTGAAAATGTGTACTGGGAATAATTAATTGTCATGTTTTCTAACTTTAGTGATTTGTGTACCACCTTTATGATTTTTTCCGTATCATTGAACCTTCAATACATTATTTAATATTCTTAAATTTACATTATTTATTTATTTATTTATTTATTTTGAGATGGAGTCTCGCTCTTGTCCCCAGGCTGGAGTGCAATGGCTCGATCTCGGCTCATTGCAAGCTCCACCTCCTGGGTTCAAGCAATTCTTCTGCCTCAGCCTCCTGAGTAGCTGGGATTATTGGCATGCACCACTATGCCCAGCTAATTTTTGTATTTTTAGTAGAGACGGGGTTTCACCATGTTGGCCAGGCTGGTCTTGAACTCCTGAGCTCAAGTGATCCACCAGCCTTGGCCTCCCAAAGTGCTGGGATTACAGGCATGAACCCCTGCACCCAGCCAGATTTATTTTAAATATGTATGTATGTGTGTGTATATATATATATATATATATATATATATATTTTTTTTTTTTTTTTTTTTTTTAAGAGACAGGGTCTTGTACCTGCACAGGCTATGGTGTGGTGGCTTAACCATAGCTCACTGTAACTTTGAACTCCTGGGCTCAAGGGATCCTCCTGCCTCAGCCTCCCAAGAAGCTAAGGCTACAGGCTCACGCCACCACACTCAGCTAGGTTTTTTTGTTTTTGTTTTTGTAGAGATAAAGCCTCACTATGTTGCCCAGGCTGATGTCAAACTTTGGGCTCAAACGATCCTCCTACCCCAGCCTTCCAAGTGCTGGGATTACAGATATGAGCCACCACACCCGGCCTATTTAATTTTTTTTTTTTTTTTTTTTTTTTTTTTTTGCCTGTGACATACCCCCAAGGAGATCCTGAGAACACATGCCCCTAAAATGTTTTTTAAAAGGGAACTAAGTCAGTATCATAAGTGGAAAACTTTGTCATGCATAGAAGGTAATTGTGAGAACAATGGAACTTTAAAAACATTCATCCGTGTATCTCCCAAGATCACCTTGTGCATTTTTCTTGGGAAAACACTGGTTTAGTTTGCCTCTGCATTTTACAGGTGAAGACACCAAGGAGCAAGGCTCTTAAAGGTCTTGCCCAAGGTCACATGCGGGAAGAACTGGCTGGAAAATCAG
Organism: Homo sapiens; assembly: GCF_000001405.40. Classification (NCBI taxonomy): domain Eukaryota; kingdom Metazoa; phylum Chordata; class Mammalia; order Primates; family Hominidae; genus Homo; species Homo sapiens. The sequence continues at coordinate 130,590,348 of NC_000009.12, forward strand.
GACTGTTGACTGATTCCTGGTCCAGTGCTCTCCTTCTCTGAGTTTCCACTAACTACTGGTAGTTAAGTGTCTGTGACGTTGATTTGTTTTTCATTTATCACTGTGCTTAAAATAGCATGGGTAGTGAGATAACCCATTTGCCTCCCCCTGAAAAGGGGGAAAATAACTTGTGTGGTAGAAAATTGGTAGCAGAGTCCTCTCAGGGTCACGCTTGCAGATAAGGAGGAGAGTGGCCTTGGTTTTGTGGACCATCCTGGCTTTTATCTCCTGGCCTACAGCATTATGAACTGAGGACTGTACCTCACTTCCCTTAAGTAACTACTGTTTAAAATGATCAATTATGTGAAGAATTGCTTGGGCTCTGTGCACTGGAAGTCAGGCTTTATTTAAGTCCTTGGGAACTGAGATATGTTTAAGAAAATATTAAGTGGAGGGAAGGGAGCAGCCAAGTGGTCAGAGAATTTTAGTCTTGAAAATGTGCACTGAGAATAATTAATTGAAAATAGGAAATTAATGTTTTCTAACTTTAATGATTTGTGTACCTCCTTTATGGTTTTTGCCATATCATTGAATCTTCGACATACCATTTACTTGGACTCCAGAGTCAGGCAGACCTGGGTTTGAATACTGTTTCTGCCACTTTTTATTTTTGTTTTTGTTTGTTTTTGTTTTTTTTTTGGTAAACTGAAAGCAAGTTTATTAAGAAAGGAATAAAATAGAGCAGGCTGTTTCTGCCGCTTATAAGATGGGTGACTTTGGGCAGGTCACTCCATGTCTGAGCCCCAGTTTTTATTGTCTTAAAATGGAAATAATAAGGCCGGGCACGGTGGCTCACGCCTGTAATCCCAGCATTTTGGGAGGCTGAGGTGGGCGGATCACGAGGGCAGGAGTTTGAGACCAGCCTGGCCAACATGGTGAAACCCCATTTCTACTAAAAATACAAAAATTATCCAGGCATGGTGGCGCATGCCTGTAACCCCAGCTACTCGGGAGGCTGAGGCAGGAGAATCTCTTGAATCCAGGAGGCAGAGGTTGCAGTGAGCCAAGAACCTCCTAGAGAATCATGGTGAGGAATAAATGAGATAGCATATTTAAAGTGGTTTTAGCAGAGTAGCACGCATTACAGTTTAATTCTATTAGGCATTTAAAATCATTTTTTGGAACAAGGTAGTATGTGGAAGAATGAAGGAGTATATTGCTTCTTTACAGAATAATGTAACATAGCCTACACCGTAGTATAAATGTAATTTATACATTGTAATGTTGAACTCATACCCAGCATTTGTTTAACCAGGGTTCAAATGCAGTTTCCTCACTTCAGAGCTGTATCCCAGCTGTTATTCTGTACTACTACTCTCATAGTGGAAATTTCCCAAATTGTAGGTAATGAAGTGAGCATGAATTAAGAAGAAACCTGAAAGGCTCAGTCACATTTTGGAAGAACACTTGTTGATTTAATCTAAATTAGGAATAGGAAGCTGTCGAAACAACTTTTATCATGGCGGCTTTGGAGGAAAAAATGACATGAAACTACTACATACGTTAGAAGGCTGGCCAAGGACTCAGGAATACAGTTTAGCTACTTTAGAAGGAAGAGAAAAGGGCCAGGCGCAGTGGCTTACGCCTGTAATCTCAGCACTTTGGGAGGCCGAAGCAGGTGGATCACCTGAGGTCAGGAGTTCGAGACCAGCCTGCCCAACATGGTGAAACTCCGTCTCTGCTAAAAATATAAAAATGAGCTAGGCATGGTGGCACATACCTGGAATCCCAGCTACTCAAGAGGCTGAGGCAGGAGAATTGCTTGAACCCAGGAGACGGAGGTTGCAGTGAGCCAAGATTGCGCCACCGCACTCCAGCCTGGGCAACAGAGCAAGACTCCATCTCAAAAATAAAATGAGGAAGGTAAAAGATCTGGAAGCCCAGAGGCATCATTTAAAGGGAACCGGGATAATTTCATATAGAGCTTGTCTTTTTGTTTTGTTTTGTTTTTGAGTCAAGAGTCTCACTCTGAGATGAGTGTGGCTGTGTTCTAACAAAACTCTAATTACAAAGGCAAGTGGTTCACCAGTGGTAGATTGCCAAGCCCTGGCCTAGGCTACAGTAATATCTCCTAAGGCTGAGTCTGGCTTAGACTATCTTTTCCTTCCTTCCTTCTTCCTATCTTGTCTCCTAGCAGTCAAGGGGATCTTGTTTGTTGTTTTCTGTTGTTGTTTTAAAGAGATGGGGTCTCGCTCCATCTTCCAGCTGGAGTTCAGTGGCTCGATCGTAGCTCACTGTAACCTCAAACCCCGGCTCAAGCAGTCCTCCTGCCTCAGCCTCCTGAGTAGCCGGGACTACAGGAATGCACCACCACGCACAGCTACTTTTTTATTTTTTGTAGAGATGGGGGTCTTGCTGTGTTGCCCAGGCTGGTCTAGAACTCCTGGCCTCAAGCAGTCATCCCGCTTTGACCTCCCAAAGTGCTGGAGTTACCTTTGCTAGCCACCATGCTTTTGGCTGGGGTGTTTTAGAAGCAGAAATCAGCATGTTACTCTCCTGCTTAAGACTTGCAGTAGCTGCCCATCAGCCTTCCTATAAAGTCCAAGCTCCTCACCATGACCTGAAAGGGTCCAGTGTGAACTACCCACCTTTGGAACATATCTAGTTCCTTCCATGCTGGCAAGATTGACTTCTTTTCCAGGCTCATACCTACCAAGCTTGCTCCTGCCTCAGGGTCTTTGTACAAGTTCCTCTGCCTAGAACATGCTTTCTCAATTTTTATGTAGCCAGCTCCTCATCATCACGTAGGACTCAGATGTCACTCCTCACAATGGCCTGCCCATTCACCCCATTTAAAGCAGCTTCCTAAGCACGCTCTGTGTGACATTATCTTCTCTTACTGTGGTAATGCTTATCACCTGCTGAAATGATCAGTTTATTGATTACCTGGTTTACCTTTAACTTCCCCCAGCTGCTGACTCTTAAGTGCCAGGCCTGGTAGTTCTCCTTCACCACAAAAGCTCCAGTGCCTCAAAAAGCCCATCACACAGTAGGTACTTAACATTTGTTGGGTGAATTGCCTTGTTTTACAACCCTAGTATTTGTGGTGTGTTCAAGTATTCCTCCGCCTTCAGGAATCTTATTATCTTTTCAAAAACTATGAAATATATGGTATTACCCTGGGGCATCATGCAGAGAGGAGGGAGGCTTGCCTCAACATCACAGAACTCGTAAATGTAAGGGATGATGTCTGCTGTTTAAATCCTGTATTTGGTTTTCAGTATCATGATTGTCTTTGGTTGTTTATTTGTTTCAGGTAATTTCTGTTGGTCCCAATAGGTGTGAGACTTCTGGGAACATTTGGACTAGCTCAGAACTACCACTGAAGACTTTGCTCTGGGGCACAGCTGTGCTAGCTGCCCCCAATAGACCCCTGTTTATTAACTTTAACTGAGGGACTAACATCAAGAGCAGTTGCTGTAAATATTCCTTTGGTTAAATGAAAGAGTTGCTTTATTATGAAGATCACATATAATTTCCTGCTGAGAACAAAGTAGATAAGTAAGAAGTTCTGCATACCATTTGTTTCTGGGGGGAAATTTTTAACAGCTATGTTCTGTCCTTTCACTGATAATAAATATTAAAAGTTGAAATAGCTCTTAGAGGTCATCTCCCTTTCTCTGCTGCAGGAATCCTTCTGAGATTGTCTGGACACTTCCAGTAAAGACAAGCTTATGTTACATCTCTTTAGATCACACATCAGTTTATAGACATTAAAGTTTATAGGATGGGTGTATTCCTAAAGAATTGTCAGGCTGGGTACCATGACTCACACCTTTGAGCCATGGGATTAGCCAAAGTGCTAATTCCAGCACTTTGCGAGACTGAGGCAGGAGGATTGCTTGAGCTCAGGAGTTCGAGACCAGCCTGGGCAACATATTGAGTCCTCATCTCTATTAAAAATTAAAAAAATAGGCCAGGCGCTGTGGCTCATGCTTGTAATCCCAGCACTTTGGGAGGCCGAGGCAGGCAGATCACCTGAGGTCAGGAGTTCGAGACCAGCCTGGCCAACGTGGTGAAATCCTGTCTCTACTAAAAATACAAAAATTAGCCGGGCGTGGTGGTGCATGCCTGTAATCCCAGCTACTCAGGAGGCTGAGGCAGGAGAATCGCTTGAACCCAGGAGGCAGAGGTTACAGTGAGCTGAGATCGTGCCATTGCACTCCAGCCTGGGCAACAAGAGCAAAACTCCATATCAAAAAAAATAATAAATTTTAAAAAATTTAGCTGGACGTGGTGGTGCGTACTTGTAGTCTCAGCTGCTTGGGAGGCTGAGGCGGGAGGATGACTTGAGCTTGGAAAATTGAGGGTACAGTGAACAATGATCACATCACTGCACTCCAGCCTGGATGACAGAGTGAGACCCGTTTGTCACATTTGAGCACATGAGGCCTTTCAAATATTCTTGGGGAATTTGTTGCATAAGCGAACCCTGTGAGAAAAGTTAAACTTTTTGAAGAAAGTTCTTCAATTGTTGGCTTGCTTTTTTTTTTTTTTTTTTCTTCTTAAGATGGGATGTGCCTATATATTAAGTGGTGACTTAAAAATACTAATTTGCGGCCGGGCGCAGTGGCTCACGCCTATAATCCCAGCACTTTGAGAGGCCAAGGGGGGCAGATCACCCGAGGTTGGGCGTTCGAGGCCAGCCTGACCAACATGGAGAAACCCTGTCTCTACTGAAAATACAAAATTAGCTGGGCGTGGTGGCGCATGCCTGTAATCCCAGCTACTTGGGAAGTCGAGACAGGAGAATCGCTTGAACCCGGGAGGCAAAGGTTGCGGTGAGCCAAGATCATGCCATTGCACTCCAGCCTGGGCAACAAGAGCGAAACTCCGTCTCAAAAAAAAAAAAAAAAAAAGGATACTAATTTTCTGGTAGAGACACATTTTTGAAAGTACTAAAGACAAGTTATTATTAAGACCAAAAGAAAACTCACTTAACAGTGAAAAGTATTTGTGCTCTTGCGGTGCTGCCTTCCATTAATCAAGGTCAGGGGAGAAATGGGATAATAGCCCTTTAAAGAGGACACTTGTCTTTCTCCCTCAGATAGAGCCATGGTTTGTTACTGAGTGTTTAAATCTGATTCTCTCTGTAGATTGCTGCTAAAATTGATTCAATTCCTCACTTGAATAATTCCACACCTCTAGTGGACCCCTCAGTATATGGATACGGAGTACAAAAACGGCCCTTGGATGATGGAGGTAAGTTGCCAGAAATATCTTTGCCTTTCAGGTGGTAGTGAACCTGCCAGTTAAGTTTGAATTTGTCAGCCATTACCTTAACGACTCTCTGAAGTGTCACTCTGTTGAGAAGAAAGGTTGAAGGGAAGTATTTAGGATGATTTTTCTCAGCAGTTCTTCAGCATTTGAGTTCCTATTTGCCTTGATAATACAGAAATCTTTTCGCTGGGCTCTGAGATAAAGACTTGGCCCCTGAGCATCAGCTTGGAAGTAATTTGACCTATTTGAGAATTTTGTTTGATTTAGCCTAACTCCCTTCTTCAGTGCGCATGGGAATTGAAGTTCCCACTTTCTCCACAGAAAAGCTACGATTTGGTGCATGGCTCTAGGGAAGCTGTGGCTACATCTTGACCTTAAAGAAAGAGAAGAATGGTGACCTTTCTGCAGTCTAGCTGCCAGCTTTTTCACCATTCCCATTTATGTCAGGCTTTTTCTAGAAGCATCCCTTTTCTTTAATTCGTTTATTTGTTGTTTTGTTGGCTGGTTTATATACCCTACTCCATCCCAAAAAGAATTTGAGAACACTTAGAAGTGCCAATCCCCAGCACTCTGGCAGAGTATCTATCAGATGTGTTTCTGTAGAGAGCTTGGACATCTTTATCATATTTTGTCTCCTGTTACTATAGAAGAGATAGTGAAGTACACTAGATTGACATGAATTTGCATGTAGTCGAGTGAGTCGGTGTCTTCTCTGTGTTCTTTTTCTGTCGCTATGTACCCAATCATTTATGTTTGTACATATTTCTGTGATGTATTATTATGTGAAAAATGAAGATGTAGAACAGTATGTATTATATAATCTTTTCTCCCAAAAGTGCATATTTTTATATACATAGAAAAATATAATTTGCCATGACTCATTTCTCTGGTCTCTAGGAATTCTTGTTTTTTTTTTTAATCCCTCCTTAGCGATGGGATCACACTCTGCTCAGGCTAGAGTGCAGTGGCGCCGTTGAACTCCTGGGCTCGAGTGATCCTCCCACCTCGGCTTCCCAAGTAGCTGGGACTACAGGCATGAGCCACCATGCCTCCTAGTACGTTTTTAAATCCTCCAGTTCATAGACTTGTTTGCAAATCTCAATGTCCTGAATAAACCCTATGTTAAGGTTCTTTTTAGTTAACTTAAGAGTTGAAGTATTTTATTTTATTTGTAATTTTTGTGAGTGCATAGGTGTATATATTTATGGGGTACATGAGATGTTTTGATGCAGGCCTGCAATGTGAAATAAGCACCTCGTGGAAAACGGGGGTATCCATCCCCTCAAGCATTTATCTTTTGAGTTACAAACAATCCAGTTACTCTCTTTATTTTAAAATGTACAATTAAGTTATTGTTGGCTATAGTCACCCTGTTGTGCTATCAAATAGTAGGTCTTATTCGTACCCATTAACCCCCCTCCCCCCTGAGTCCCCTTAGCCCCCTACTACCCTTCCCAGCCTCTGGTAACCATCCTTCTACTCTCTATGTCCATGAGTTCAACTGTTTTGATTTTTATATTGCATAAATAAGTGAGAACATGTAATTTTTGTCTTTCTCCGCCTGGCTTATTTCACTTAACATAATGATCTCCAGCTCCATCCATGTTGTTGCAAATGACTGGATCTCATTCTTTTTTATGGCTGAGTTGAAGTGTTTTTAAATAGACCCAAATAACACCTCCAAAAAGTTCTAGAGGACTGAACTTTAACCTCGTAAAGGTTAACCCTGCTTCAAGGGAAAGTTAGAAAGTTCATGTTGCTAAAGAAGTGATCTGGTAGCCTCTGTCAAAGAAAACCCAAGCCAAACCAAACAAACAGCTACACAGCCTTTGGAAATCTTTATTGCTAAGAAAAATGTGCCAGAATTCCGGCCGCTTGGTCTGCCTCTGCTTTTCTAAACTTTTCATCACGCCATCAGCAAGACTGTGAGCCTAGAAGGTGGCCAGGTAAACATGAACATCACTTCCCTTCACAGGATCTGCTTATTCACATTCTTTGTCTCTTAAGAGAGTGGCCCAGTGACCTTACCCCTACCAGAAGACAACTGACAAAAAGGGGCTGTGGCAGTCCCCAGACGCTGAGATCAACACAGAACTCAAATTCTACACGTGGAGAACAGCTTGGAGAAAAAAACAATATGTGTAATCCTGTTATTTAAACAGTGCTCAACAGAAGACACGATTAATTTTATCGAGCTGTAATACAGAATGTAAGAAGCCTGAGGGAAATTCCTTGTTCTTCAAATACAGCCTGTTGTTACCTAAGACCGGGTGTTCAGGGAGGATGAGAGATTCAGCACGACACAGAAACTTTCCTTCTTGCTATAGGAGGGCTTCATATTTAGAGGGAAGAAAAAGATAAACCATGGTCATTTTCTGTTTGTGAAGACTTATTCCCCAAAAGGTAGACATGGAAAAAAATATGGTTATCAAAACAAGTAAGTGAAAATACGCAATATAAATGAACCCGAGGTTTTAAGTGAGATTCTGGACCTACTGGGTGATCTTTGGCCAAGTCAGCTAACATCTGCCTGTGACCCAGTTCTCTTTATCAATACTGATAATCTCTTTATTAGTGCTAATTTCTTTCAAATGTATGTGCAATGGACTAATGGGAGAAAAATGTCTGCAAAATGCTAGAGGGTTTCATTTGCAAATATTTAGGTATTCCTTATGCAGAGGACGCAGCAGATACCTGCTCACTGCAAGCACAAGTTTTAACCCTTCAGCGCCAGGCAGTGGGTGAAAAAAACAAGGCTGAATTGTGAAATTGTTGTGAAAGGCTGAATGAGTTGTGAAATATATTGATCTCAATTTCTGGAAACACTGGGCCAAAGAGACACTGTCCGTTAGTGAGGTGTGTGCACAGAGGCAGACAACTTAGTTTTGTTTTTACGTTGCTGTCTCAAGAGGAACCAAAGTATGATTGCCTCGAAAAGGTAAAGAGGTTACTTTGCATTACAGCTTTCTGCTAAGGCAAAAATGCAGTTAATGCAATCATCCCTATTTGGCCTAGGGAATCACTAACACCAGTCAAATATAAAAAGATCACAGCGTACTATTTTGGATAAGTAGTTTAAATGGTTATCTTAGTTCCAGTGGCCCTGGGGTGGATTTTCTGTTTTGTGGTCATAAACACTTTGTAAATACACACGAATTTTTACAATCAAGTGAGTGCCATCCCCTTAAAATCTTCAGTGTGAGTCTAAAGAATTTTCCCCCAAAGGCTCCCACATCTAAAAACAGTGGCCATCTCCTCTTAGAATTCCTAGAGATGCCCAGCATGGTGGCTCACACCTGTAATCCCAGCTACCCAGGAGGCTGAGGTGGTGGGAAAGCTTGAGCCCAGACATTCGAGGCCAGCCTGGGCAACATAGCAAAACCGTATTTCCGAAAAATAAATAAGGCCGGGCACTGTGGCTCACGCCTGTAATCCCAGCACTTTGGGAGGCCAAGGCAGGCAAATCACGAGGTCAGGAGATTGAGACCATCCTGGCTGACACGGTGAAACCCCGTCTCTACTAAAAATACAAAAAATTAGCTGGATGTCATGGCACGCGCCTGTAGTCCCAGCTGCTTGGGAGGCTGAGGCAGGAGAATCACTTGAACCTGGGAGACGGAGGTTGCAGTGAGCCAAGATCGCACCACTGCACTCCAGCCTGGGCAACAGAGTGAGACTCCATCTCAAAAAATACATATATACATATATAGATACACATATATACACACATATATACACATATATATAAGTATATGTGTGTGTGTGTGTGTGTGTGTGTATATATATATATATGTAAAGTTTTTTTTAATATGCTAGGCAGTGGAACAAGGGAAAGGATTTGTTCCTGATATAGAAAGGGATTTGGGTTAGTTGTGTTTCAGAGAGTGGCAGTTTTGAGCCACTTGTCAGAACGCTGTTCATGAGTCTGCTTAGAACCCAGAGCAGAATTTAGAGCTCAGTTTGAAAGCTTGCCTGAATGCCTGTCCGTGGGAAGAGCAGTCACCAGTCACTCCACCGCCCTCCAGCTTTGGATCAGGCCATTTTAACCTTCACTGTCTTCAATCTTGATACCCACATGTTCCAGCAGTCTTTGATATGCATCCTTGGCACCCCACCAGTTCAGGAATCTGCCTTCTGGTCTCAGTTGTGGCACCTTTTTCATCCAGTACTTCTCTCATGTTTCAACTGGAGCCTCTCCCTGCAGTCAGTCCAACCAGTTTCATTCCTCCAGTAACCAGGGAGGTGCAGATCTTGCAACCTGGCCATTGCCTGCCCTCCCGCTTGGCTCCTCCCGTGCACCTCCTGTGCTCCTCCTGTGTAGCAGCCTGGCTGCCTGTCTCCTCTCTCCCCTCACCCAGCTCTTAACCTGCCCAACTCCTGCTCAGCCAACTTCTTCCTAGAAACCTGTCCTCTTCCTTATCTTTTGACTTTCTTCGGGGCTCAGCCCACATGCCACCTAGCCTCTTGGTCTTCTCTCTACCTTTTCCTTCCTTCCTCCCTCCCTCCCTCCCTCCCTCCCTCTTTCCCCCTCTTTTCCCTTTTTCACACACCCACCTGACCAGTGAATATTAAGTCATATCCTTCTCTGAATTTCTAAAGCAGTGTATTTGCCCTCTGCTCAGGGCAGACCTTCCTTCCGCGGTTACTGGGTCCCGCTGTGCACCTCTCCTAGCAGAGCCTACGTGATGTGGCCATAAAGACTGGCTTCATTTCCCATGGACTCTTCATGCTCAAGTTCTCCCATGTTTTTCATGCTCAAGTTCTCCCGTGTTTCCTACGATTTGCATTTTTAAATTTTGGGAAAAGTAAGTTCCAAATTTAAGACAATAGTATTAGCTAAGTGATTTAGAAGTGCGAATTTAAATGTAATCTAAATTAGAGGTTGGCAAGCTTTTCTTTCTTTTTTTTAAAGACAGGGTCTCACTCTTGCTGAGGCTGGAGTGCAGTGGGGCAGTCATGGTTCACTGCAGCCTCTATCCCCCAGGCTCAGGTGATCCTCCCACCTCAGCCTCCTGGGTAGCTGGGACTGCACTGCACCTGGCAACAAGCTTTTTTATAAAGGACCTGATAGTAAGCATTTTAGGGGCCAGGCATGGTGGCTTATGCCTATAATCCCAGCACTTTGGGAGGCCGAGGTGGGAGGATTGCTTGCGTCCAGGAGTTTGAGACCAGCCTGGGCAATATAGCAAGACCCCATCTCTACAAAAAAATGAAAGAAGATTAGCTGGGTGTGGTGGTGCATGCCTGCAGCCCCAGCTACTCAGGAGGCTGAGGTGGGAGGATTGCCTGAGCCTGGGAGGTCAAGACCACAGTAAGCAGTGATCGCACCACTGCACTCCGCTTGGGTGACATAGTGATCTCAGAACAAACAAAAATAAATTTAAGCTTGCAGGCTATGTATCCCACCTACTAAGCTACGCTATTGGAGTTCAAAAACAGCTGTAGCATCTACATAAACAAAGAGCATGGCTGTGAGCCAATAAGATATTTCACCGAAACAGGCAGCTGGCCCTCAAGCTTAATTTGCCAGCCCTCAACTAAAATCAGCCTCATCAGTTGATGAAAACATTTTCTTCATCTTTAGTTAGGGAAGTATATAGAGAGTACCCCTCCCCCAGTTTCTTTAAACAAGTCTCCCGTCTCATGGTTCACTGTCCAACTGCCCTAACCACCTGAAACAAGTGCTTTCTCATGTTTGCCCAGAGCTGATGGACAGACAGAGAAGTCACTTCCCATTTGTCCCTCTGTATCTCTCCTGATCAAAGATCAAAGCCTTTCCAGTTTTCTTCCTCAGGAGCATTTTTAGGAGCTTTTTTAGTTGAACTAAGCAGGCCTCATACTCCCCCTGCATTCTGTGTAGTGGGTGGCACCAAAACCAGGACTTCAGGAGAGTACAGCACTGTCCTCACCACTGGGGTGGCGGGGGTAAGGCCATGCAAGGGGCTTTGAAACTATGCCTGCCTCTTCACTCAAAGACTCGTCTTTGCTATTTATGTAGCACCTTTTTTTTTGTCCTTTTTATTCTTTTTACTTCATGACCTGCTGAAGAACAGCACCTTTTATAGTACCACACTTTCTACTTTTGATAATACAGTTGTTCCCCATTTATTCATGACTTCGTTTTCCACGGTTTCAGTTACCCACGGTCAACCACTGCCGAAATTATTAAATGGAAATTTTAGAAATAATTCCTAATTTTTTTTTTTTTTTTTTGAGATGGAGTCTTGCTCTGTCACCCAGGCTGGAGTGTAGTGGTGCGATCTTGGCTCACTGCAACCTCTGCCTCCCAGGTTCAAGTGATTCTCCTGCCTCAGCCTCCCAATTAGCTGGGATTACAGGCGTGCGCCACCACAACTAGCTAATTTTTGTATTTTTAGTAGAGATGGGGTTTCACCATGTTGGCCAGGCTGGTCTTGAACTCCTGACCTCGTGATCCACCTGCCTCGGCCTCCCAGAGGGCTGGGATTACAGGCGTGAGCCACCGCACCCAGCCAATTCCTAATTTTTAAATTGTACACCATTCTGAGTAGCATGTGTATCCACACTGTATACACTACCCACTCACCAATGTATAGGAAAAAATGTAGCGTATACAGGGTTCGGTACTCTCCATGGCTTCAGCCACCTACCAGGGGTCTTGGAACATATCCCTCATGGATGAGGGGGAACTGCTGTATTCTTACGGGGTAAAGGACGAATTCTTGGGCGTTCTGTCAAATGAATTATTTGCAGGAAGAGTGAAATAGACTATTTCTGTGATCCTTTCCAAGCTTTGTTTCAGTACTTGTGGCATAGGGCAAGGACAGAAAAGGAAGACAGGAGGGAGGAAAAGACGTTTGAAAATCCCAGACCTCAAGGAGAGACAGGAGATAGGAGGTACAAGTGCTAGCGGTGGTGAGAGCCATGATGCCCGGACCCCTGCCTGTGACCTGCACCCCAGGCAGGTGCTGAGGCCACCAGTCTCCACTCTGGAAAGAGGGAAGTGAATCTCAGAAGTGTTGATACTTTCCCTGAATGGGGGATGATGACAGATATTGGAGGGATGAAAAGCCAAGACCAAAACCTAGTTCCTGAGAGTAGGAGGGGTTAGGAGGAAGGTTTGCCTTTTGTGAAGAGGGAAGAGGTAAAGTGAGGCTGGGATGTGGTTGGGCAGTCATCATCAAGGGCAGATGAAGGCTTTCCAGGGGCGGTGGACATGGGCAGGCTTCCCAGGTTCCTTTTTCAGCTCCTTACCTCCTGTCTGCCCTCTTCCCTAAAATGGGCCTTTCTGAGAGTCACGTCTGCCCCTGAAGGTTATGCCCTTCCTGCCACGCCCCTTCTCCCGTTCCCCACTTTTGGTGTACAGTGGGCGGTCACCTGGGGTGGAAAAATCCCCAAGCAGTGGGGCCAGGCAAGAATTCTGAATGGAGAATCCCAAGGTAACAAAGGGTAGAGCCTTGGTAAGAAACAGTGAAGGGAGGCTGGGCATGGTAGCTCACGCCTGTAATCCCAGCACTTTGGGAGGCTGAAGCGGGAGGATCACCTGAGGTCAAGAGTTCAAGACCAGCCTGGCCAACATGGTAAAACCCAGTCTCTACTAAAAATACAAAAATTAGCTGGATGTGGTGGCGTGCACCTGTAGTCCCAGCTCTTCGGGAGGCTGAGGTGGGAGAATGGCCTGAACCCGGGAGGCAGAGGTTGCAGTGAGCTGAAACCGTGTCACTGCACTCCAGCCTGGGCGACAGAGCAAGACTCTGTCTCCAAAAAAAAAAAAAAAAAAAAACAAATAGTGAAGGGGACAGGGTCTGATTTTATCCAGTTGACAACTCCTGGCACAGGCTCTGTGCCCTACCCCCCTACCTCAGCCACCTGCATTTGTTTCTTCCTCCCTCCCTTCACCCATCTATGCATTTTAGGATTATAATTCAGAAGTGAGATGATACTCACATGGGTACATACATATGTGTAAGTTGGAAAAAGGCAGTGAGATTTTTCCCCTTGGCAAAGCATCATGTGACTGGTTGGTGGACAGTTGGCTTAGCCAGCTAGGTAAAATAGTATTCATTTTCCACAAAAATGAATGAGCTAAACCTGCAGCATCAATGTTGTGACAAAAATATAACTCGAGCTCATGTACAATGCCTGTTACATTCTTCGCAGCTGTTAATAGGGAAGAAAAGTAGTTGCCAAATTAAAAGAGGATTCATAGGTTTCCAGAGTTCAACTTGATGGTAGAACCTCTCTCGAATACAGTTTGGGAGTGTCACAAAACTAAACATGCACTTACGCACAGTCCACAACTGCACTGTTGGGCATTTATCCCCAAGAAAGGAAAATGTTCACACAAGAGCCTGTTCACATAGCAGCTTTATTCATAATAGTCCCAAACTGAAAACAGCCCACGTGTCCTTCAACTGATGAATGGTTCTGCTTGCGATACAGCCATACCGTGGAATATCACTCAGCGGTAAAACGGAACAAATGCTGAGTACATCCAGCAACTTGGATCAATCTCCAGGGAATTATGCCGAGTGCCAGAAACCAATCCCAAAAAACTACATACTGCATGATCCCCTTTATGTAACCTTTTGGGAACGGAGAACAGATTAGTGGTTGCCAGTGGTTAGGGATTGAGTCGGAGGAGAGGGGGTCACCTAAGATCACAGCTAGAAGGGAACCTGAAGCTTAAACTCCTTATTGTTGTAGATAAGGAAACCAGTGTCTCTGAAGAAGTAAGTGGTTTGACCAAGGCCAGATAGATACATGATAAGTGACAGAAGGGAGGTTGAACCTGGGTCTCTGTCTCATGTGCCATAATAGTATAGTACTTAAACATGTGGACTTCAGAGTCTGACAGATCAAGGTTTGAATCCCAGCTTTGCTAGTCATTAGCTGTTTGACCTTGGGCAAGTTCCTTAACGTCTCTGAGCCTGTGTTTCCTCATCTGTACAATGGACCTGATGATACCTGCCTCATCAGATTATCATGAGGGTTATATCATGTTATTTTCAAGCTTTAAGAAATACTACTCCCGGGCCTGGCATGGTTGCTCATGCTTGTAATCCCCTTTGGGAGGCCAAGGCAGACAGATCAACGAGGTCAGGAGATTGAAACCATCCTGGCCAACAAGGTGAAACCCCGCCTCTATTAAAATACAAAAAAATTAGCTGGGCATGGTGGTGCGCGCCTTTAGTCCCAGCTACTCGGGAGGCTGAGGCAGGGGAATCACTTGAACCCAGGAGGTGGAGATTGCAGTGAGCCGAGATCGTGCCACTGCACTCCAGCCTGGCGACAGAGCAAGACTCTGTCTCAAACAAAAAAAAAAAAAAAGAAAGAAATACCACTCCCAATGTGAGAAAAACTGTTTCCATCAGAACTAGTTAGTACAGACATATTAAAACACATATGTGACTGAAATGAAAGTTTTATGAAATACATTACCCTTATTATATATGGTACATTCTGTTTTCTATTTCATTTTTATTAATAAAGCTGGTTGTGACCCCCTATATTGATTTCATGACACTGGCGTAAATGAAAGTAAAGCTTAGGGCTATGAATATACTATCATAGAATTCTTTTTCCTCTTAGGCTCTTGAGGAGAAGGTGCAGGGCCCAACACGTCCCTGGAGGCTAGGGTAGGCCCCCTCATCTGTTGCCTTCTGCCTTCCCTGCTAGACTGTAAGCTCCCTGAGGGCAAAGGTGGCTTTGTTGACTGTTGTATCCTCAGGTCCTGTCACAGTGCTCAGCACCTGGAAGGCGCTGACTTGTGAGATGAAGAATGATCAAGAGAGTTAATAGCACAAAATTAAACAGTGATAAGTGTTGAAACCCACAAAATTAAAGGACAGGGGAAGATGAAGGGGTACAGAGTTTGCATGGGCACAGGCCCCTCGCCTGCATGCCACTCTGAGGGCTTGGGTGCAGTGTGATCGCACCTTCCTCTTCAGTAAGATGGGAATGGCAGTGACAGTAGCTGCCTCAAAGGTGGGTTCTTGTAGGACCAAGTGGGTTCACGCAGGTGAGGTGCCCAGGAAAGCACCTAGTGTGGCTGGGGGTGGTGGTCTTTCCACTCACAGAAGCTTACAGTAGACTACAAGTAAGAGTGATGTGATTGGCTGGGCACGGTGGCTCACACCTGTAATCCCAGCACTTTGGGAGGCCAAGGCAGGCGGATCACCTGATGTCAGGAGTTTGAGACCAGCTTGGCCAACATGGTAAAACCCCATCTCTACTAAAAGTACAAAAATTAGCCAGGCATGGCGGCACACACCTGTAATCCTGGCTACTTGGTAGGCTGAAGCAGGAGAATCGCACGAACCCGGGAGGCGGAGGTTGCAGTGAGCCGAGATCGCGCCGCTGCACTCCAGCCTGGGAGACAGAGCGAGACTCTGTCTCAAACAACAACAACAACAAAAAAGAGTGACATTATTGAGATAAACTTGAATTTACTTTCACTTTTTAAAAAATAATTTGCAAAATTAATAAATTATGCTTGCCAAAGGACTTTCAGCTGAACTCAGCATGTCAGTGTTTTGTGGCCCTGGAGCAAGAGTTGCTGCCTAGAACACAGGAAGCCTTTGTAGTGTCCCTGGGGGAAAAGCTTTCTAAAAACGCCCTGAATCCTCACCGCTAAGTGTGTGTTACTGACCTGAGCTGGGGTGTGGAAAGCCATTGGTCAGTCAGAGGAGACTGCAAATCCAAAGAAGAGGCAGAGGAGGGGGGATTGTTTTCAAAATCTAAAAAGGAAGATTTGGGTTATTTGTTTTTACAGTTATAAAAACTGGTATTCCTCTCTCCCCACCCCCCCCCAACAGACTCACTCACCTGCCTCTGGCCAGTGGTTCCGTGTGGGTGCCAGCCCGTGCTGGCTGTGCTGTCGTGAAGGAGGAATTGGCATTTTTGTTCCTTGTGCTGGGGTGGGAGTGGGGGTATAACTATTAAAGCTGATGTGGCCGGGCGCGGTGGCTCACGCCTGTAATCCCAGCACTTTGGGAGGCTAAAGTGGGCGGATCACCTGAGGTCGGGAGTTCGAGACCAGCCTGACCAACATGGAGAAACCCCGTCTCTACTAAAAATACAAAATTAGCCGGGCGTAGTGGCGCATGCCTGTAATCCCAGCTACTCGGGAAGCTGAGGTAGGAGAATCGCTTGAACCCAGGAGGCAGAGGTTGTGGTAAGCCGAGATCACGCCTTTGCACTCCAGCCTGGGCAAGAAGAGCGAGACTCTGTCTCAGGAAAAAAAAAAAGCTGATGTGTATTGCAAAGTTGCATGTATTTCCCAGTGCAGTTTTGTTTCTTTTGGAGGAGAAAAAAAAAATGAAATCTTTTTTTCTTCACTAATAGGGAAAAATGTGTCTGATCACCTTTTTTTGTGTTATTGTTTGTTTGATTGATTGATTTTTAAGATTGTTCTGCTCTGTCACCCAGGCTGGAGTGCAATGACACGATCCCAGCTCCCTGCAACTTCCACCTCCCCGGTTCATTGTGCATCAGCCTCCCGAGTAGCTGGGATTACAGATGTGCACCACCACACCCAGCTAATTTGTGTATTTTTTTTTTTTTTACTAGAGACAGGGTTTTGCCATGTTGGCCAGGCAGGTCTCGAACTCCTGGCCTCAAGTTATCTGCCTGCCTTGGCCTCCCAAAGTGCTGGGATTACAGGCATGAGTGACAGCACCTGACCTGACCTCCTTTTTTTTTTTTTTTAAGATTATTATTAAAATTGGCAGAGTATTACTCTTCAGAAAGAATTTATGATATCGTAGGATGACTCACAGCCCAGGCAGTTCGTATTATATAGTGCACAAGGGAAACGAGAACTACACCTGTATATGCTGGAATTGCTCCAACGGGACCTTTAGAAGCAAGAAGATGCATTGTCAACCAGCACACACCATTAGTGGAAACAGGACTGATTTTACCCAGCATTTTTCCTTTTTTACAGGAAAATGAGTGTAGTTCCATTCAATTGAATATGATAGGTGTTCCCATCTGCCTCCTTAGTGTGACCCCTCCTCATTGCGAAGACTGAGGAGAGGTTCCTGTTCCTGGAGTTGGACATAGAAGTTGGCCATATGAGTACCCAGCGCCCCTGATCTAACTGCTGGTTTTCATTTTTAGGCAGCAAATGGGAATGTTCCGAAGGGAATGAAACTGCAATCACATGTTTCAGCCTTGGGTGGACTCCAGCATTTGCATGGAGGAGGGAGATGATTTATCCTTCCTAAGCATCTGCCAGCTCAGAGTTGACTCTGGACTTGAACCTGATTTCCTCTCAGTGATGCGGCTCTCAGCAGCCCATCTATCTGTGGGATGATAGTGTGAACATTTTCATCTCTGGTCATTATGAGTGCCTCCACCGTGGCTGGCAGGAATGGTGTCATGTGCGTGGCACCTGTAACACATACTTTGCCAACAAAAAGGAATTGCCATTTTTGTGATGAGCACAAAATTTCAAATGGCTTTTGAACAGGAGCCCTCTGAATATTCTTGTGAATCTCAGGAAGTTCTTTATGGTAGCACTGCCCTTTGTTTCTGTGGCTTTTCTGGCTGAGACAGAAATTTCTGAAGATCATCGGCCCTTTGACATCCTTTACCAAACAACGCAGTGGACCAGAACCCACGGTGCGGCCTCATTCCCCCAGCTGAGGAATGCTGAGCACCTCTCCTCTGTGTTCTCATCATTTCAAGACATTTTAGTTCTTCTGGCTTCAGTAGATTCTTTACCCACTAAGAGGGGAATTCTGATAGCAATCAGGGAAGCTGAGCTTGACCCATAAATAGGAACAGCTAACCAAGCTCACAGGTACTCTGTCGTTGACATTCTCCTTTGGTGTGTTTCTTTTCCTCCCCACTGCCCTATGTGGCCAACATACCTCCCTCAGGAATGTCTCAGCCCCAACATTATTCAGGGGCTGAGTCTGTGGTGAGGATTTCTTTCCTGACCTGGTGATTGTCCAGTTTTCATGCAGAATGGGAGTTGTGAACACTACCTGTTCCAAGCAAGAATGTTTGTTATATTCAAACAGATAGGCAAAGAGAAAATTTTAAGAGTCAGTAAAAAACAATTCTCTTATCCCTGAGATAAGCAGATTAATAGTGTCTAGTGTCAATATTTTGGCTGTAGACCATTATCTTGTTATTGATCCAGAAGAAATATGGTATTGACTTAGTAGCTTCGTTTGCTTTTTGCTAGCATTGTTTTGCTTTGCTTTTTCTTCTTTTTAAATGTCACGGTCTGCTTTTTTTCCTTTGTCTCTTTACTGTCCAGTCGGAGAATGACAGCAGTGAGTTTGAGCACAAGCAGAGCAGTTGGCTCCCTGTTCTGATTCAGATGGAGTTCAATTGTCAAACCATTTCATTCTCTGTCCTCAAGTGGGTGTAATCGATCCTTTGCGACTTAGCTCATGTCCTTAGAATAACTTTCCCCAAAGACGTATTTCTGAATGCCCTTTTTAGCATGTTGTAAGGTGCATTTGGTTCTTTGTGATATGTTTAGGATTTGTATTTTTTCATTGTCTGCTGACTGTGTTTCCTGAGCTGCATTTTCCAAAAGAGAAACACTACAGAATCATTTTTGCTGATGGCTGGTGAAGGAGAGACACTCATCAATAGCTGAAAGAGGAGAAACTGGAACAAAAAGTGTAGCTAAAGTGGTTTTGTGGGAATGTGATTACAGAGTTGGTTTTAATAATAAGAGGCTGTTTGGCACCGTTGTCTTTGTGAAATGGGCTTGAAAGGCAGTTGCTCATTCTTAGTGTCCGCTGCACATGGACTGCTCTGGTGGGTCCGTGACGAGGCCTGTGGAGGTAGGAGGCTGGATCCTCTCCTTCAGATGCTTATGGTCTTGGGGGTGGGGGGGCCGGCGAGGGGGGCACCAGGGGGCGTCTCCTCCCCCGTGGCCAGGAGGAGCATATGTGCGTGTTCCTCATGACTACAGCTGCTGTGGAGCAGTCCTTAACAATGCATCCAAGGAGGGTAAATCTTCTCATTTGTTTTTAAAAGAGAAAGAAGGATCTCTTTCCATCTTTACATTGAGTTTGGATCCAGAGCAGGAGGGAGGTAGGAAGTTAGAGGGATTTAGGCTAGCAGGATTTTCTCCCAGGCCTCACAGCATGTGGACACACAGATCAATTTCTTATCCTGTGTTCAGCTGGACACTGGGTTACAGACTGTGTTGATCAAGATGTCCCCTCCTGTTTCATATCATATAACGCATTCATTTCAGCCACTGAGCCTAAATTACTGTTTGCTTTCTTTCTGCCTTTCTTTTCCACCCCACCCGAAATGGTAAGAATGGTAAGGATGAAGTTAGTTTATCCGTGCTAATGCTTTGATTTTTTTTTTCTCTTTCTCTTTGCCACAGTAGGTAACCAGTTAGGGGCCTTGGTACATCAAAGGTAAGCAGTGGGTTACGTTTTATTATTTATTGATCATTTCTAATTGTTTATTGATCCACCATCTGTACTAGAGTGCTAGAAAGTCAGAGGTTGAGAATGTGAAAAAGCATGGGTTAGGCTTCTTTAAGACTCGAGTTTTTTGCTAGCCATTTCTAAGATAGTGTCAGCTCAGGGATAAACTAATACAAGGCATTAAAAATCAGCCATTATTGCAGTAACTTAAAATACTTGTAGAAGATTGGAGTTGCTCTTTCTACCAATGTACATTTAATTTAAAAGGAGAGAATGAGATTTTCCCACCTGGTTTTGTGGTGTTGCCAGTATTTTATTAATCCTTAACCCCTTCACCTGAGAAGAGACACCTCGAAGTGTGAGGGTCAGACACTCACAAGAGAATGCTTTGGGTGCCCAGGGAGTATGGGTGGGTGGCTAGTGCGTGGTGAGGAGGCCAGAAGCCAGGGTTCCATCCTTCCGAAGTGGTAGGGACTTGCCAGAGAGCCTCAGCCCAGCTAATTCTCTGTTTCTGTGTCCCCTCATAGCCTTCTGTCAAACGTAGAAGATTTAGAGAGATACAGAAAGAGCCCTGAGTTTTACAAAGGCCAATCTGTAAGATGGGGTATGTGTGGTCATAGTGTATCGCCCTTCAAACAGGGAAAAATATACAAGAAACTGCCACAGTTTCTCTTCTGGAAGGATGAATTTTGTGCTATGTATCTGTTGCTGTAACATATCCTTAACCTTCTATCAGCAAAACAATTCTGTCATCTTGTATTCTGCCTAGGTGTTTGGGAGTTTCTAGAAATCACCGGTCATCAGTTAAACAAAAGTTTTATCCTGGGGTTTTTTTGGTGGTTGTTGTTATTGTTGTTTCTTTGTTTGCTTTGTTTTGTTTGTTGATGAACTGAAAAATTTAAATGAGGTGATCGTTAGTATCAAATGCTGACTTTCCTATAAAGCCATAACTAGTCAGGATTTTCTTTTCCAAGGTGTTTATATTTTGTACCTTGGACAAGTTTCAGCCTTGCATTTAGATTAGAACGTTTTCTTCCTGGAAACCCAGAGCAGTTCGTCTTGGAATGTTTCTTCCTCACAGTTGGCTAAAGTGTTCCTTAGGGCCAAGGGCTGCCTGGGCTTCGTGACATTTTGTATTGCAGTAGTGTTGAAGCCCCTCTAGTCAATTCCCAGGTAATATTTTCTGAGAGTAGACAGAATAGACAGCTCATGCTACACATGGTGTGAGCAGCAGCCTCCTGGCCACACGCACAAGAGCCCTGTCATCCCTCATAACAAGGTCAGGAAGCACATCCTGACAGGGACCTGGCTTCTGCTGCAGGACGTGTTGGGACAGCAGGGCTTGGCATTCACATCCATGGTGTTACTGATTAGGAAGCTGGGAATGAATTGCCTGATTTGGGGAGAACACATACATCGCAAGAGGTGGAGAGAATCCCGTCTTGTTCATAAGCTTGAGGGTGTAAACTCCCTCAAGGAGGGAGGGAGAAGACTGTTTGTTCCCATCAAAATGATACAGTGGCAAGTGCTATTTATGCTATTGCATTTCTTTTAAGTGATGCACTTTCCCTAAAAATATGCACTTATTCAATCCTTTCTGTGATGGGTAAAAACCCAGCTGTGTGAGAGATGTTTAAAAATGCTTGCCTTTTTTTTTTTTTTAAACTACTTGCATTTAGCATCCTCCCAAGGTAAATGTTGAGATTTAATTGCTTTCTGGGGTGTTGGGCAAATTGGACATTGTCCACAATACACTTTATGGCAGATTTGAAGGTTTGTTGAAAAAAGCCAGTGCAGTAGTAGTTTAAAAAAAAAAAAGGCACATAATGGATGGGATAGCATTTAACAGAAGTACCTTGCAGAGTAAGTGAGGTAATTATTCTGTTCTGGTCAACAGTGATTACGCCTCCATCGGATACTGGTTCCATTTGGGGCGTCTCACCGTTAAAAACATCCATAAATTAGAAGGGAGGCCAGAAAACAATAAAAAGATTGGGAAACAAGGGATGTTGAAGAAAAGATGGATATCTCTTCATCTAGAGAGGACTCCACAATAGAAGTCTAAACATCTCCCAAAACCCTGGAGGACCTTTCAGTGACCTGGGATTGATGGCCCATTGGTTAGAGAGCACCTAACCAGGCAGAATGAGGCAACACTGAGAGGTGCTGTATGAAGAAAAGGCAGCTGTTAGAGGAGGTGATGGTTTCATGAAAACCCTGAGGTTTCTTCCTCTGACAAAAGGAGATGAAAGGCTTAGATCTTTGGAAGGAGTGATTGACCAGACGGTTCATTACGTGACACTCTTTGTAGGTGGTGGTGGATTTGTTGGCCAAATTGGCCTGATGTATTTTAAGCTTTTATCATGCAACATTGCCAGTATGGGCAGTTTGGGGACCTAAAATGGCTGCAAAAGTCTGTATTCTGTATTTTTTTCCAAAATGTTCTTTGTTTTTAGGACGGTAATAACGGAAGAATTCAAAGTGCCTGACAAAATGGTTGGATTTAGTAAGTATCCATGTTGTCTACTTTTTCCCTGATTCCTGTCTCTTCTTTTTCTCTCTTTTTTTCTGAGCTGCTTTGCCAGGATGTTCTTTTTGTTTTAATCTCTCTTGTGAGTATCACCTGTAGTAGAATGCTTTGCACATGCCATTCCCCACAGCTCTGAAATGCTGCAGGTCTCTTCAGGCTGAGGGAGAAACCAGAGCACTGGACTGTGGATGTCCCTCCCTTCCCCACCTCTCCCCACCTCAGCTCAGATCCCCTCTGCCTGTAGGCTGTTTCACAAGGGCTTTCTGCTGCCATCATGCCCAAAGAGTGGAGATGGGCTCACGGGGGCCAACTCGATGTGTAGTATTGTGAGCCAAGTGTCACAGTTTGTGGAATTAATTCAGTCATTCCTGCGTGGTGAAATATGGAATAGGGGCGTGTATTCTGACCCTGTTCAATTTGTTTCAGTTATCGGCAGGGGAGGTGAGCAGATTTCACGGATTCAAGCAGAATCTGGTTGCAAAATTCAGATTGCTTCAGGTAAGGGCTTTTTAAAAATAGATATCAATTTTGTAGAAATCAGTATTTTGCAAAACTTTCCAGATTCGGTACTTTGCTTGTTGCTTGGGTAAGTATATGCGATTAGTGTTTTCCTTGCACTTTGGGAGTTGGACTCCTAAATGAGAACCAGAAGGATCAGAGCAAAGGTGGGCCCGGAGATAAGGCCTCCTATCTGGCTTCTGGGGTAAACCCTCCCTCAGCTCTGTGGCCAGACATGGCCCCTTCCCAAACACCTGCCACTCTAGGACCTATGTTTTCTGCACCAGAATGTTATGCCAGACATAGTGGCATAGTGGGGCCTGTAGGAATCCTATGGCTTTGGGGTCACTCCTTGACTACATGCATCAGGGGAGGCTCCCATGGATGAGACTGTCCCTTCCCTTTGTGGGAAGAGGATAGCTGGGGGTCCTGGCTGAATTAGCACTCACTGAACATGTTTTATGACCTTTCCTAGCTGGGTCCATTTTGACCATGCAACATGGAGAGAGATGGAGTGAAGAACAATTTTTTATTTTATTTATGGTTTTGTCATCTAATTTGAGCTTGACCTCTTTCCATTGCAAAGGAAGGGGTTTGAAGGACATTTGACTAGAAAAATGTCCTTTTAAAAGATACTTATTACAGTGTCTTGAAGGCAGTAAGTCCTGTTAGCTATTTCTCTTTCATTTTTTTTGAGGAAGGATTTTAAGAAGCAAATTTTTTCAGGAACAAAATGAGGCATCACATGTGGTGTTAGAAAGTAACGTGTTTCTCTCATTAAATGGCCCAGTTCCACATAGATGTCACTGATCTCTTGGGACATTCATGCAGTAACTGGTATGGTCCTGATGTGCGTGTCATGAAGTTCCTTCCTAGAGTACTAGTTTACTTGCCGTGTGCAGACAAATGACCATTAAACTACAAATGGAGAAACTGAGGAATAGCACGATAAAGTGACTGAAACAATTACTAGCATGTGAGTGGGTCAGAAGTGAAGCTGAGATGGGTAATCAGGACCAACTCACAGACCTCTGTCACGTCCTTCTAGCTTCCCCTGTGGGACTTGTTTCTACTTCGAGAATCTAGGGTGGAGCTACCAGCTTAATATTCTGTCCACAAGTGGAAGCAAACTGTCTTTTTCTGGGAGCCTGGGCCTCTGCAGGGCTGGCGTAGGAAGCAGCCCTAGAGAGCCTTACAGAGGCAGAGGTGCATGTGCCCGGTGCCCACCAACACCCCTCATCTTCTTGATTCTTCTTATAGAGAGTTCTGGGATTCCAGAGAGGCCCTGTGTACTTACCGGAACCCCAGAAAGTATTGAGTAAGTTTATTTTATTTACTTTTTCTTTCACTCTTCTTCCTCCTTCCCCAAATGGGGAGAAATGGAAGGGCAACACTGTTACTGAACACTGAGTCTGTGCTGCAGTCTGGCCACACAGGTAGATAATTCCATAGGAAAAAAATCTGGGAGGTTACTGTGCCAGGGGTTTTTGTTACCTTAAATACACGAGATATCACATTTGTTCTAAACCCCACAGCTGTCATAACATCTACTTCAAACCAGGGTCTCAGGAGTGTACATTCACCCCACCTGAATGCTCTAATCAACTTACTTCTTCCTTGTTAACACCTCCTTTACCTGAGCAGGTCTGGATTAGTAAGCCAGTCACTTGGTGAGCTACTGAGAATCCTGGTACCAGGACTTTTGGCTGGAGGCTGATCCCGTTACCCTTCTGATATTTGTGAACCAAATGAATCAACTCTTCGTGACTTTGCTCTACTCAGAGGGCCGTACGGACTGGCCAGAGGATGTCTTGACTTTTGGCGCCCTTGCAACAGTCTTAAGACTAACATTGCTTTCCTACCCTGTTACTCACATACTCAGAACCTTATACCAGGTGCAGGTGTCATAAATCCAAGAATCTCCTGGGAAAGGGAAACATACTGACTTAGAGCCTGCTCACTGTCCTTCAATCTACGGAGCAGCACTGCATTTGGGGACAGGGGTGCTAAGATTATATCTGACTCAATAGGTAGGGTTGTTTTATTGTTTCCATTTCTCAGGGAGTCTAGATGAGCTTAAAGTCTCTTGTTCTGCCATCACATTGCAAGCAGTGAACCATAATAAATATCGCTGGCAGGTGTGCATTACAGGGCAACTGGATGGTTTGCTGGAGTCAAAGCATTTTTCTTCCAACACAGGTTAATCTAGTACACAGGCAAAATATTAAAAAGCTGCTGTAACTGGGAAGATACACGAAGCTGATTCTGTACACAAAGGCTCAAGACTACAAAAGGCAACATCTATTTCCTGCCTTTCTCTTCTTTCTTCCTACTCTTCTAACCATTCCTGCTTCCTGTCTACCCAAGGAGCAGAGGCAGTGGGATTATAACTTTAGGAGGAAACAAATTTCATTGTCTTCAGTGAGCAGCACAGCTAGCCTGTTTAGTAGCTGAATTCTTCTCCATTAGAGAAACCAAAAAGCAGATTGTGTGTGGCAATTTAGAGAATCAATACGAGAAATAACAACCAGGAGAAATTCTGGTGCAGAAAAGGAAATTGGCACAGCAGATGACTTTGGTGGTCTGGGCTGTGCTGTCACAACATTGCAGTTGCCCTCTCCCGCTGCCCAAGAAACCAACACAAATAGCAGGACACGTGACACGCAGGGTCCCAACTTGGCTGCCATGGAAAGCCCAAAGCAGGTGTCTGTGAGTGCACAGCTGCATCCAGCACCGCCTCCCCCTTTCCCACCTCTTGGAACCAAACTGGGATTCATAGCCTTAGCTTAAAAGTCATAGAGCAGTGTTGTTGGTTATGAAGAAGAAGCGTGGAGTATGGGAGTTCAGACAGTGAGTACTAATCCTTGCTTGCTTTCTTCCCATCTTTCTCATTGCTGGCTCTCTCTCCTGCCTGCATTTATTTAACAAATGTATATATTGAGTCTACTCTGTGAGAAGGGTCATGTTGGATGGGGGAACAGAGAGATGTAAAGGGATGAAAGATGGTCTCTGCCTCCAGAGCAGCTGGCATCCTAATAGGAGACGACACCTTTGTGGAGACACAAGCATGAGCAGAGGGCAGGCTTGAAAGGGGCGGCAAGGCTCTGTGTCACAGCGTTGGTACTGTGGTGTGTGTTGCTTTTAAATTCCAGCCCGGTAGCGTGGCGGATGGCAGAGAGACCTCCGGGTTGTGGGGGCAGGAGCTGGAGCTGGATGGAGGGCTGCCCTGACTCCCGCAGGTTTTTCCCTCAGTGCTATTTCCCTGTCTTGCACACTTAGAGCCTCCATTTAATGCTGGTTCTCTTGTGGTTCTTTTCCCTCCCAAAGACAAGCCAAACGGCTCCTGGGACAGATTGTGGACCGCTGTCGAAATGGACCTGGCTTTCATAATGACATAGACAGCAACAGCACAATCCAGGAGATTCTCATTCCCGCATCTAAAGTGGGTCTGGTCATCGGCAGAGGAGGGGAAACAATCAAGCAGTTGCAGGTGTGTGAGCCCGGAGCACGGAGCACAGCGGCCGCTCGCAGCAGGTCTTCAGCTTCCTGGCCCAGGAGATCTGCTTACGGCTGGCATTCCCTGGCTGGGCTGGCTTTGTGCAGCATTGTGCTGAGGCTTCCTTCCTCCATTTGACAGACAGCTTCTGAACATACACCACGGCCACGTCTGATGCCAAATATGATGCCAAGTACTAGGGCAGGTGTGCCCTATCAGGGGCCCCAGTGAACTTTGAGCAGCCTTTTTGGCAGTGAGCTCTGTGAGGGCTGCTTTTATCATCATAGGACAGCATCTCAGATAAAAGTGCAGTATTTGGAGTCAGAGGCTCTGACCCAGCATTCTTCCTCACTGATTGATCTTAAATGTGCTCATTTACTTTTTGAAGGTTCAGGGTCTTTGTGTGTCAAAAGGGGCAAGTGCAGGCTTCACTGTTGTGATGGAGCTAAAATAATAGCCGTTCTTTTCTTTTTATGTAAGAGCCTGTTACTGAGTGAATGTTCCATGAGCATTAGCTGCTGTTAGTGCCAGAATCCCTCATCTGAGACTCTCGGGACCAAACGGGTTTCAGAATTTAACACTCCCAGCAAGTTCTGGGGTTGTACCCTGAAATCAAATGCATATTTCTGTAGCAAAATAGAATAATACACTCAGAGAAAGGCAAAAAATACACTGACATGAGTTCAGTTTTGCTGCCAAATGAATTATAAGTAAACTTTCTTTCAGAAAAGGGATTTTGCAGTTGCGAGTAAAGGATTGTGGCTTCCCTTGCGTGCCATCTCATAACCTGGTCCTTGGGTCCTGGTTGTAAGGATGGTATCCTAATGTAGACTCAGGGAGTTTATCATTTGGGATCCCAGCCTCCCAGTTTTGGTCCGCCACTCATTAGCTCTGGACCTAGGGCCGTATGTGCTGAAGTAGAAAGATGGCAGGACTTGACTGTCAGTTCCACAGAAGTTCTAATCACATAATGTCAAATGGAGTGTGTGCCAAGTGCCTGGCATTCAGTGAAAGTAGCTCCTTAGTGCTTAGATGCTCCAGGGACTGGAATCATTTTAGGAGATGGTTTTACATCTCGCATTTGGACATGGTCGTACCCGACCTATATGTCTGCTGTCACAGAAGCCAGCTTCATGGCCCAGGTTGGAAGGCAGTCCCTGGTGGTAGGTGGGATGTGCGCTTATTGTGGGTGTGACTGGGTCCGATTTTGTGCTGCCCTGCATTTCATGCCCTGCATTATTCATGAGGCTGTGCTGGTGTGTGTTCCCCACAGGAGCGGACAGGGGTGAAGATGGTCATGATCCAGGATGGCCCATTGCCCACGGGAGCAGACAAGCCTCTTCGTATCACTGGAGATGCATTTAAAGTACAGGTAGGAAAGTGCCATGGGTTGGGTGAGTCCTGGCTGTTGGGGCTATCACTCGGTGGTACCCTAGAGCTTTTATCTTCCTCAAGTAATTGTGAAACTGGCAGCTCCGTTATTGAAGGTAAACTGTTCTCAACAAAGTTTGGTGATGAAAAGAATCTAGGTTTGTGCTGCCCAAAACCAGAGTCCTTAGCTACTTGTGGCTATTTAAATTCACTCAGATTAATAAAAACTGAGCTCCTCATTTACACCGGCCATATCTCAAATGCCCAGTAACACCTGAGGCTGGTGGTGACTGTTTTGGACTGTGTGTGTGCAGAACATTTCCGAGCTCTTGCTGGTGGCACGGCTCAGGACAGTTGGTTTTTTGTTTTGTTTCCCCCACGTCATCCTTCCAGGTGCAGTTTTGATTTGCTGACCTGGGGTCAGCTGAGATACAGGCTCTGCTTGGCGTTTACTTGCTCGTTCTCTTCTGGGCTTATTTTGCAAGCCCTTCAGCTAAGGTTGGAGGTGAGCACAGGGTGAGCACCAGAGCCACCCAAGTGCCTGGGCACCCTCAGAGCAAGTGTCCTGCGCCCCGAGCTGCCAGGCGGGACAGCCCCGCTGGCTGGAAGCAGTAAGGGACTTGGTTTTCTATCCCCTGGGGTGGTCCTGTCCTTCCAACTCTTGCTAGTAGCAGGAATTCAAGTGGGCGGAGGGTGTAGGGTTTTTGTCTGTCCTCAGTGAAACACAGATCTACTTTTTTCTGCCACCTGCAGCCTGTCTTGCCATTGCCACATTCAGAGTAGCTCCGGGGTGATGCTCCTTGGTGAGCCAGGCCACCATCAAGAATGGGTCTTCTCTGGGAAGAATGGGTCTTCTCTGGGAGCATTGGGTTTTGATCAGTGAAAGTATCCAGTCCCTGGCAAAATATTGCCCCCAGTTCTGAACCCTGTCCTTCAGCTAAGCTGGTCAAGGTACACCTGTAAAATAACAGCTTTAGAACAGGAGTGAGGGCAGTGGTGGGTATGGTTCTGCCTGGGGACTCCAGTCAGTGATACGGTTGTTCACTTCCATCGGGCCAGAGTCCCCATGCGCTGCCTCCTCCAGAGCTCCCAGCCTTCTCTCAGTGCGAACAGTTGGGCATTTAAGGAACCAGATTGCCTCTCGCCTTTCCCCACCCTGCTCAGCGTCCGGCCGTGGGCTCCAGTACTGTGATGGTGTTGGATCCAGGCCTGTGGGCGGCCACAGAGTGCCTGCCTCTTGGCTGCCCTCCCTCAGAGGCCTTCTTTTTCTATCACAGCCTTTGATGGTGTCTTTTGTAGGGAAAAACCCCAAGCAAAGAATATATCATTAATGTCCCATAAATTTGCAGGAAAATAATTTTAACTTAACGGGTTTTAGTGATTTTTAAATTTTAAAACTGTATATTTCATTTTTTTTTTTTTTTTCATTTAGGAGATGGAGCCTGCTGTACTTAGGGCACCTATGTATCTCTTCAACCTGCCTAACATTTTGCTGTATGTGTGTGCATGTGTGTGTGTTTCTTTACCATTGAAGTGGCAGATGTTATGACACTACCCCTAAATCCTTAAGCATGTGTCTCCTAAGAATAACCAGGCCTAAGAAAACTGTACTTCTGAAACATTATCTGGTATCCAGTACATGTCCAGATTTCTGCAAATGTCCTAAGGTTGTCCTAAGATTTAAATTGCTGACGGGTTTGTTTTGTTTCTTCCTAGACACAGTTCTCACATTCCCTTGAGTTGTAAGGTACAGTAGGTCTTTAGCGCAGATTCCTGTGTGGCTGGTACTGGCATGGGTTGGCCAACATGCAGTGATAGACTTGCCAAGTGTGTGTTTTGGGGAGAAGAACACTTGAATCTGCCTGGGATATAGTGACGTCCACAAGGAAGTCTCACCAGTAGGTTATAGAAATAAGATAGGCTTGCCCTTTTGTTGTTGTTGTTGTTGTTTGTTTAAAGCAATGTGTTTGGCTTTCAGCCTTTTCTTTTTAACTTACTGGAGTGCCTCTGTGTTGTAAAGCCTTGGCAAAGTTCTCTGTCTCATGGACCTGCCCTCAGTGGGCGCTCTTAGACACCCCTTCCTGCTAGAAAGAAATGGCATCAAGAAACACCTAGGCCAGTCCACTTTATTGATCAGAAAGAAAAAGATTTAAAAATGTAAAAACACCTAGGGGTGATAGGAATCCATTTCTGACCACACGCAGATGTGCTCACCCAACTGAGGCTTTTTATAGAAGGTGGACCCTTCCCCGTGTGGACATTTGGGCAGTGGAAAGAACACATCACTTAAGATACGATACACACATCCCCCTACATGTCCCATAAGCCATAAGTGAATTGTCCTACAGCTGAGCGCCTTTAAACCCAAGTTAAGAGGGTTTGATCTTGAAATTTCACCTGGTGATGTATCTTTTTTCAGGAATTTTTTCTCATAATGCTTTTTGTTTGTGTTTATGCAGCAAGCAAGAGAAATGGTACTAGAGATTATCCGAGAAAAAGACCAAGCTGACTTTCGGGGTGTACGCGGCGATTTCAACTCTCGAATGGGAGGAGGCAGTATAGAGGTATGCTTAAATTACAGGTTAGTAGGCAAATGAGATGAGGACTAAAGTTGTAGGTCACACTTTTGTTAGCTCTTTAACCCTGAGCAAGTTAGTTAAGTTTTGTCTCAAAACCTTAAGAATTCTCTGGCTCCTTAGGGTGGGTGTGAGGGTGGACTGGAACAGCAGCAGCCTGCAGTGAGGGAGCTGGCTACACTTCAGGGCGTGGGGCCATTTCCCTCGGTTTTGAAGCTTTGCTTTAGAGGTTAACCAGTTGCCCAGGTAAAAACCAAAGTTCAGGTTTTCTTGGTGATGTATATCATGATTCTGTCAAACTCAGCAGCCTGTGTTTATTGATGAGGTTGCAATGGGGTCAGAATCTATCCTAGAGAATGAAATTTTGTTGTATGCGACAACATGGATGAACCTTACAAACAGTATGCTCAGTGCAATAAGACAGATACAGAACAAATATTGTACGATTCCACTTATCTGAGGCACCTAGAAGAGGCAGATGCATACAGGCAGAAAGTAGCAAAAGCTGTCAGATGCTGGGGGAAGGAGGAGTATTGTTTAATGGGTACAGAGTTGTTGGGGATGATGAAATGTTTTGGATATGGATGGTGGTGATGGTTACACAACATTGTGAATGTATGTAATGTCATTGAATTGTGTACTTACAAGTGGTTAAATGATAAATATTATGTGTATTTTAGCCACAATAAAAGAAAAATGAAGGAAAAAAATGCATTTTAAAGAACCGCTAGGGCTATGCATGGTGGTTCACGCCTGTAATCCCAGTGCTTTGAGAGGCTTAGGCAGGAGTACTGCTTGAGGCCAGGAGATTGAGATCTGTCTGGGCAATATAGCCAGACACCACCTCTACCAAAACAAAAAAAAAAGTATTTTAAATTAGCCTAGTGTGGCACATTCCTATAGTCCCAGCTGTTCTAGAGGCTAAGGAGGGAGGCTCACTCCTCCCAGGAGATCGAGGCTGTAGTGTGCTACAGTTAACACCACTGTAACCCAGCCTGGATAACAAGTCCAGCCCAGGTAACAGTGTGTATGGTGTGTTTATTGGAAGGCAAAATTACTATTTTTCATCTTTTATCTATAAGGCTTATTCATTTTTATAACCATTTTGATCAAATCTCAAATTGGATGCATTTAACAGTTAAGAATGCAGTTCAGGCCGGGCATGGTGGCTCACGCCTGTAATCCCAGCACTTTGGGAGGCAGAGGCGGGTGGATCACAAGGTCAGGAGTTCGAGACCAGCCTGGCCAATGTGGTGAAACCCTGTCTCTACTAAAAATACAAAAATTAGCCGGGTGTGGTGACGCGTGCCTGTAGTCCCAGCTACTCGGGAGGCTGAGGCAGGAGAATGGCGTGAACCTGGGAGGCGGTGCTTGCAGTGAGCGTAGATGGTGCCACTGTACTCCAGCCTGGGCGACAGAGCAAGACTCTGTCTCAAAAAAAAAGAAAAAAAAAAGAACGCAGTTCAACCACAGTATTATTCCTAAAAGGGAAAAATGTCCTTTATTATATCATTTCCAGGAATGCACTATAATAAAAACTAAGTTGCGTGTTAAAAAAAAATGTGTCCTGGGCCGGGCGTGGTGGCTCGCGCCCATAATCCCAGCACTTTGGGAGGCTAAGACAGGCAGATCACTTGAGGTCAGGAATTCAAGACCAGCCTGGCCAACATGGTGAAACCCCATCTCTACTAAAAAATACAAAAATAAACTGGGCATGGTGGCGGGTGCCTGTAATCCTAGCTACTCAGGAGGCTGAGGCAGGGAGAACTGCTTGAACCTCAGGGGTGGAGGTTGCAGTGAGCCAAGATCGTGCCACTGCAGGCTGGGCAACAGAGCGAGACTCCATCTCCAAAAAAAAAAAAAAAAAAAAAAGTGTCCTGGCCAGACACAGTGGCTCACGCCTGTAATCCCAGCCCTTTGGGAGGCCGAGGTGGGCGGATCACCTGAGGTCTGGAGTTCAAGACCAGCCTGGCCAGCAAGGTGAAATCTCATCTGTACTAAAAATACAAAAATTCGCCGAGCATAGTTGCCTGTGCCTGTTTTCTCAGCTACTTAGAGGCTGAGGTGGGAGAATCATTGGAACCCGGGAGGCAGAGGCTGCAGTGAGCTGAGATTGTGCCACTGCACTCCAGCCTGGGCAACAGAGCGAGACTCAGTCTCAAAAAAAAAAAAAAAGTGCCCTTTAAAAAGACAGGTTTGTGAAAAGTTCTGATGTGGTTTGGTTTCTCTGTGCCTAGGTATCTGTGCCTAGGTTTGCTGTGGGGATTGTAATAGGAAGAAACGGGGAAATGATCAAAAAGATCCAGAATGATGCTGGTGTGAGGATTCAGTTTAAACCAGGTGGGTATGATGATTTAAAAATCCTTAGTGTTAAAAAAAAAAAAAAATCCTTAGTGTTAAAAGGATGATAAAACACCTTACAAAACAAGGGCTTGGCTATTGGTTCATGTGTATTCACCTTTCTCATCCTTGCAACATCCTGCTACCAGATGACCAATCTCAGTTTCTTCTCCCAGCCTTCTTTTCCCTCCCCGGATACATGTCGGTCACCTTTGATTTCCAGGCCTTTTTTCTTTTTTCTTCCTGGAGTATATGCATAGTATGTCATAAATGCATAGTATGTCAGCTTCTGATTTTGCCAAGTAAAATTTTAAAATATATATGTATAATTTTGATTTTATTAAATTGGAGATAATTTAAAACCACACACAAAGACAAAACATCTTAGAATAAAGGACAAATTTTTAAATTTTATAAATTT
Source organism: Homo sapiens (assembly GCF_000001405.40). Taxonomy (NCBI): domain Eukaryota; kingdom Metazoa; phylum Chordata; class Mammalia; order Primates; family Hominidae; genus Homo; species Homo sapiens. The sequence continues at coordinate 130,623,232 of NC_000009.12, forward strand.
GCCTTAATGAGCAAAATTTTCGACGTGGTCTGAAAAGAGGAAAACATGGCAGGCTCTTCTCTGGAAGCTGTTGCCATAGCTCTGCTCTGACTCCCTTGGCTTTTTTAAAGTCAAGCTTTGTTTTAGTTCTTTAATGATACATTTTTTAAATGGCTATAATTGCATAAGAATTGAGCATTGACCTGAAACATGCAAAACAATATAATGACACACATTTTCCTATCACCCACATCACTCCAAAAGAGTCCCTGCAGCTGGCAGTATTCCTGTTGCCCCTTTTGGCACCGCGGGTGAGAATATTGATTGGGAATCAGATTAATCCTTGTTTCCTTCTAACGTTGGGCTTTTTTCTAATCCTGTCTCTCACCTGGCTCCTCAGATGATGGGATTAGTCCAGAAAGAGCTGCCCAGGTCATGGGCCCTCCGGATCGGTGTCAGCATGCAGCGCATATCATCAGCGAGCTGATTCTTACAGCCCAGGTGGGTCCAGCTCTGCAGAGTGTGAGTGTTTGGGCTGCAGAAGTGGAAAGTGCTACCCGGGGCTCTCGGTGCAGCACCATAGAGCTGTCACCCTGAGGCGTCTCAAGTCACATTATGGGAAACCAGCAGTTTCTCTACATCAGCCTCTTTCCTGCCTTCTTGGTATTTTTTTCTGCTCATTAATTATTCTGCCTTTATTTACCTCACCATCTAGATTGCCTTTACACAGTAAGTTTCTGGCTATTTAAACCATGTGGGGAAATACCATGGAGATTGGTCGCCAAGTTTCAAATAATCAAGTGTATTTAATGTTAATCTGTGTTAGTGAAATCCAGTCTTAGTGGTAGAAGACACTTCAGGGTCCTCCAAAGTCCTAAAGCTGCCTTCATGCACTTGATTTCATGCACATCTTTGGACTGTGAGCCAGCCTGTGTGACAGTGCTAGGAACCCCTATAACTGATGGTAGGACTGAGGATACATTTGAGAATGACCAGAACGGAAGAATAAAGCAAGAGATTGGAAATTATAGTCCCAGCTCTGCCATCAGTCATGTGACCTTGGAGCTGCCTTTGAACCTCTGGGTCTGGTGTTCCCAGCAGCAGACTCAGGGTGCTTTGCACCAGGCAGTGCTCTCTATGTGATCCCCTAAGAGCCATCTGGTGGTTCTTACTCAAATTACAAATGTGTAGGCCCCCACCCCAGATCTACTGAATCAGCATTTCCAAGGGAGGGTCTTGGGTCTTCACTAGAGACCCAGGCAATTCTTAAGATTAGACAAGTTTATAAAACGGCCACTAAATCAAGCTCGTTCAGCCTGTGGGCTGCACGCAGCCCAGGAACAGCATTGAATGCAGCCCAACACAAATTCATAAACTTTCTTAAAATGTTACAAGATTTTGTGTGTGTGTGTGTGTGTGTGTGTGTGTGTGTGTGTGTGTGTTTTTAAGCTCATCAGCTATCATTAATGTTAGTGTATTTTATGGGTGGCCCAAGACAGTTCTTCCAGTGTGGCCCAGGGAAGCCAAAAGATTGAACACCCCTGCTCTAAATGATCTCTAACATCCTTTTTTTGTAGCAAGAGTTTATGAACCTTGGCCAGGCACGGTGGCTCACTCTTGTACCCAGCATTTTGGGAGGCCGAGGCAAGCGGATCACCTGAGGTCAGGAGTTCGAGACCAGCCTGACCAACATGGTGAAACCCTGTCTCTGCTGAAAATACAAAATTAGCTGGACGTGGTGGCTCACGCCTGTAATCCTAGCACTTTGGGATGCCAAGGCAGGTGGATCACCTGAGGTCAGGAGTTCAAGACCAACATGGTGAGACCCGTCCCTACTAAAAATACAAAATTAGCCGGGCGTGGTGGCGCATGCCTATAGTTTCAGCTACTCAGGAGGCTGAGGCAGGAGAATTGCTTAAACCCAGGAAGCGGAGGTTGCAGTGAGCCAGGATCCTGCCATTGCATTCCCGCCTGGGCAACAAGAGCAAAACTCTGTCTCAAAAAAAGTTTATGAACCTTGCACTGCAGAGGCTGCGAGATGTTTGGGAGAAAACCTTTTCTTCGAGATCTGTGGCATACCCAGAAAGTTGACTGTGCGCTCCTGTGCGTGTGTGAACATCCATTCTAAAATTGCCTTGTTTACTTGGCAGTTGTCTCATAAGAGCAGAGTGCGGGGGAAAAGCACTCCAATTGTCTCAGCTTTCTGCTGGTTTAGATTCTGGGTAAACGTTCACTTTACTCTTAATCAACATGAGCAGGTTTTGCCCAACATTTCTTCATGTGTTGAAAAGTCTGTGCAGCTTCTCCCTTCCATGAAATAGCTCTTAGCTTGACCAGGTTCACCCTCCACATTTAAGAGAGTTTAAATACTGCAGCTCCAAAATGACTCCGCGGACAGCGGCTGGAATGAGACTTGCTGCTGTCTCAATGAAAGGGCTCTTCCTCTGTCCGCTGTTAGATTTAGGTTTTTCTCTCTGCTGGGTGAACAGTGGGAGAATGCCTCAGAGACTTCTCCAGCCCCACATGGGGAGGAGGCCTTGGCAGGTTCCCTCTGTTCCTCCCTTCTGAAGTATCCCTGAATGGTCACTCTTGAACCTGTTACTGCTGCTGCTGCTTGGGGGCACAACAGCCAAGAAGTTTTCTAAAACTGAGTAAAATCCGTTTATCCTTCTTGCTGACTGGAGTGCCAGGTGTTGTGACTCATAGCAGTGCCTGGTTGGGGAGGGTCAGCAGGCTGTGCATATCTGACTTCCCATAGGCCCAGTATGTGTCCGCCGCAGGAAAGAGGGGCCTCAGCTGCAAGGGAGAAAGCAGTTCTTGATGCCTGTAGATCGGGGCCCAGTGAGGAAAGCTCCAGGGAGAAAGGCCGCTGGGCTTCAGCCTTGGAGTTTGTGTCTGCCTATTTCTGTTGGATACATTTGAGCTGTTTATGTAACCACGTGTGTTCGTCTGCACAGGTCCTCCCCAGATACACCTGTGATCGGTGTTAATTCTGGCTTGAAAGAGCCCTTCAGAATGGGAAGTGTGGAAAGGTGCTAGGTTCTGATGGGTGGCATTGATTACATCCTGTCACTTAACCTCCTCCCTGGAAAAGAGAGGAGCAGTGGTGCTGTGGCAGTGGCAGAGGTCGCTACAGCCCTGTGATCTTTCCAGGAAAGAGACGGCTTTGGAGGCCTGGCAGCAGCCAGAGGAAGAGGTCGTGGCCGTGGCGACTGGAGCGTGGGAGCCCCTGGTGGCGTCCAGGAGATAACATACACGGTGCCAGCCGATAAGTGTGGCCTCGTCATAGGCAAAGGTAAGAGGCAGCTGGGGTTTCACATCCCCCCTCAGCTGTTTGGCTTGAGGGAAGGCAGGTCACGGGACCTCCAGAACCTTTGGTGAGGTCCCTTTGCTGCTGCAGGCTGGGGCTGCCCGGTCTGGAGGCAGTAGCCACCTTCTGCCGAAACCCTGCTTGGCATGGTTCTCTGAGGCTGCTGACGGGCCTGTTGTGAGGAGCAAAGTGTATTATTTCTGGTGAGTATGAAGAGACAGCAGTAAAACTCCCTGCCTGTTGAGGGCAGCTTAGCTTGGTGAAAAGATACCTTGCGCAAGATGGGGGGCATTTGTCAATCGACTGATTGGTAATTAACTCACCTCCAAGGAACTTAGAGGGACGGTTGAGACAGTATCCTCAGTGAAAATTCCTTCTCGACAGTGTGTCACTTGTTTCCCTTACCAGGTTTGAGTATTTGGTCTTGATCCGCGTAACATGTGAAAATGGTTTTTATCCTTTCTGCATATTTACCGTGAGTCACGGACTCTCTGTGGAGGGAAATAAACATTGATGTGTTAGTTTTTTCTGGGCATTTTGGAGAACATTAGGAAGAAACCCTCATTCATGGCTACTGTAGCTCCTTCCTGTCCTTCACTGAGAACCAGGAGAGAGCAGCCACATTTCTCAGCCATTGGCAGCAGTTCATCTTGGCTAGCCCTGGGACCCAGAAAGGCTACTGAGACCAGGGCCGAGGCTGTGGGGCCTTCCCAGTGTAGCAGCAGGGCTCGGCTTCCGTGGGGCTCTGAGCCAGGCCTCGCTGCCAGCGGGGGACTCCCGTTGTCACTGGGTTTCGTATTTGCCTTCATTAGGTATTTGACAGCATGTGGAGAAAACAGTCGTCTCTCCAGAGTTTCTCAAATTTCTTTGATCACCAAATACCCCTTAGCTGCTTGAGGGGCGCTCGTATTGGATAGGCAGGACTTGGGGATGCTTCACCAGCAGAGACCTCCAGAGCTGGGCAGGTGGGAGCCCCCCGACACTCACCTCCCAGGAGCTGCCCTCGTCCCTGCTCACAGACACTGTGGGCTTATGCTCTTGCAAAATGCAAGAAACCGTGTTGTCTTTTAGACTGAACCACTCAGAGTTGGTATGGGTTCGTGTTCATTTGCCGGCAGGTGTGCGGGCTGGTGAGTGTTTGGGGATATTGCAGGCTGCACCAGATGCTGCCAGAAGTCCCACACTACCCAGGCCGTCAGCCTGACCGCTGTGAGACTGCAGCTAGTTGATGCCTGTAGGTTGACGATTAGCTAGATCTAGATTTCTTGGCCTTTTGCAAACTATTTTGTCGGCGAAGTTTTCATTTGCTTGTGTCTCTAAACCCTGACTGAGCATTGTTGCCTCACCATGACAGGTTCTCATAGTGAGCCCTTGGTGCTCACAGAGCAGCCCCTCGTAGTTGGTCCTCCACAAAGTCATCCTGAGTGATTCCTAGAAAACAGTGATGAGAACGAAGCAGTAACTGGTCTGTGTCCCATGCTTGAATAGCAGCCTAAAGAAGCCTAATTAGTGTCTCGGATATGGGAGGGTCTTTCTATGTCACACACACACCGCACTAAACACACGCACGCACGCACGCACGCGCACACACACACACACACACACACCCCCTACCCCTCAGGGCCCATGTGAGACATCTCTTTTCCTTGAGATGGGCGCCTGGGCAAGGGAGAGAGGAGCCCCACGCAGCCAGGCCCATCTTTCCTTGGCCTCTGGCCTGGACAGACACAGAGCCTCCCTGGCCCCTGCTGGATTTCCATGATAAACACAGCAACATTGACAGATAGCTCAGCCAGCCTGCTCTTGTCAGCCAGGCCTTTTAGCAGGTTTGATTAATTGCTTTACGATTTCACGTCCAGCCAGGGGGCCACTGGTGGGGCACTTCTGCCCCCCATCAGGTAGAAGAATGGAGCGGGCTGCTGAATGAGTCTATAGACAGCCACCATGTGCCAAGCTAGTGACCTCATTTTGAAGGAAGATGAACTTAAATTAACTCCTTCTGGCCCCACGAGGTTTTGTGGCGCCTCCTCACCTTATTAGCATGTTCCCAAGGCCTGGGGATGAGGGGCCCAGTGGGGAGGGCCGGGGCCTCGGCTGTCTGGGGACTGCAGGATTCTCAGTCGCAGACACTCGTGTACTTGTGCTTTTGCCTCCAGACCAAGTGGATCTGGTTGGAGGCTGGTAGGGTTCCCTCGAGTCTTACGTGTGCCTGTGGAAATGGTCTCCATTTTGGTTTCTATTCTTTTTTATTTTTTTTTATTTTTTTGAGATGGAGTTTCGCTTTTGTTGCCCAGGCTGGAGTGCAGTGGCGTGATCATGGCTCACTGCAACCTCCGCCTCTGGGGTTCAAGCGATTCTCCTGCCTCAGCCTCCCGAGTAGCTTGGATTACAGGCATGCGCCACCACACCTGGCTAATTTTGTATTTTTAGTAGAGACGGGGTTTCTCCCTGTTGGTCAGGCTGGTCTCGAACTCCCAACCTCAGGTGATCCACTCGCCTTGGCCTCCCAAAGTGCTGGGATTACAGGCGTGAGCCACCGCGCCTGGCCAAGTCTCTATTCTTTATTGCTCCCCAAAAAACATTGCCTAGGAGCCTGCTTTTCATGGTGCAGAGAAGATAAAATCCATGGCCTCCGAGTAAAGGGCAGAGGTAAAGGTCCCCTAGGAGGGGCTTGTACCGGCCCAGAGGAAATCAGAGCTGTGGGTGCTGGCCCGGTGTCCCCAGACAGGCGGGTCTGGCCAGGGTGGAAAATGCAGGGATGCTTCTCTGAAACTCCAGCGGGACCTTAAGGAAATCACAAGCACAACATTTGGTTTTGTTAGTTGTTTTTTAAATTTAAAACCACCCTAAACTTAACCAACGTCTTCTGCATGCGACCTTATCTGCATGCCATGTCTCCCGGCGTCTTTTCTCCCCCGTAAGGGCAGCCCCTGCTGCCTTCAGGAAGGACCACCTGCCTTTTTCATTCCTGGACCTCTGTAGAGTCCTTGCAAGACGCCCTTGTGTCTGCCTTTAGCGTCCCCTCCCTACTGGCCCGATAGGCTGTTGAGGCAGGGCTTTTCTGGCAGTGGGTAGAGAGAAGCTTGGAGTGTTTGGAGGATTGTGGACGGTGTCTTGGTGAGGTGCCACATGGCATTTAGGGCCTGTTTTTTTGACTGTGGGCATGGAGGAGGGGCCGACACTGGCCCCGGTCTTTGCTTTTGATCACCCAGGCTCGCTGCTGCCCTATACCAGCTTTGGAGCAGATTACCTTTTTCTCCACTTTTCCAAACTGTGCTCCAAGTTATCCTTGTATTCTGGCTCCTCCTAGCAACACTCCATCCCCCACAGAGTTGAGCAGAGCAGATCCGCAAGTTCTGTGAATTTCAGAAGAAGAATCCAACTATTGTTACGCTGCTGGAGCTTTTATTACGCAAATTTCATTAAGAGACTGAGACTCTCCGCAGGTTTTTGAAAGAGACCAACTGAATTTTTGTTAGCCCGGCTCCACCCAGGTCTTTGTGACCTCCACCCCATCCTTGCACTGCCTGTGTAGACCGTCACCCCATGGAGGAGGCAGGGACTTGAGAAGTGACAGGGTGGGATACTGAAGGCCCGAGTGGGCTCCAGGCATGGTTGGGCCTGTGGTCATCTGTTTGGCCTATGGAGAAAGTTGCCCACAGCCAGGCTGAAGGCCCCATTGTCATGGAGGCGCCCTTGGCTCACCATTCTTGTGCTAAGAAGGGCAGTGCCATCCCTGGCTGGGCGGGAGCCCCACAGCTGGCCCCCAAGGGTGAGCTCCATGGTGTAGACCCACAGGCCTCAGCCCAGACCTGGTCTCTGGGCCACTCACGACCTTCACATGGAGGTTTCACATGGCATCTGTGGCCTCAGCTTGGCCTTGAGAGAAAGTCCAGCTTCACTCCAAACAGCTAGTTTTGCAAGTGAGAGAGCCCTGGGTTTAGTTGGAACCACTTTGGAGTAAATAGAGACAACTTCTCTACTGTCAGGGCAAGTGCCGACGTGCACAAAATCCCCCCGAGTTGTCTTCTGGAGCCAAGTGCCCCAGAGCCTCAGGAGTTGCCGCAGTCTCTGCTTACTCTTCTGCCTGTGTTGTGCTGTCCGCAGGGGGTGAGAACATCAAAAGCATCAACCAGCAGTCAGGGGCGCACGTGGAGCTTCAGAGGAACCCCCCTCCCAACAGCGACCCCAACCTGCGGAGATTCACCATCAGGGGGGTTCCCCAGCAGATCGAGGTGGCCAGGCAGCTCATAGATGAGAAAGTTGGCGTACGTACAGGGTCCTTCCCCCACCTGGTTTACTCATAGCTGTTTTCTTGTGGATGTCCAAGGTACCAGCTTTTCCCACCACCTTGTGCTGCTTGTGCCTGTGGGTTCTCACATCACACGAGGGCAAGCCCCCTCCTGCTTTGCCGAAGGGGAGGGTCGGAGACCCAGGGAGTGCCAGAGCCAGGCCCAGAAGCAATGAAGGAAGCCTGGCAGGACTCACCAAGGCCGCAGCAGCCGAGGCCCCAGAGCCGTTCCCCTGCGGGCTTAGATGAGCGGCTGGGGCGGCAGCCTCCCCCCACGCTGCCCCGGGACTCCGCTGGCATTGCCCTGGCGGCCAGCCCAGCAGGCAGCTTTCATTGACTCTGGCTTTAGTTTCAGGCACCTCAAGGCAGATAAAGAAAGGGAGTGTTGATGGAGGACAGATGGGCCACTGCTCACCTCAATGGGGACGTAGAATGGCAGAAAGAGCCTTGGGCCAGCCTAAGTTGACGGGAGAGTCAAGCAGGTTGGTCCCTACCCCCAGGGTGATGCCAGGGCAGTTGTGGTGGTGCCAGGACTGGCTGTGTGGTGGTATTGGTCGCTGGAGGGCAGAAGCCATTTCTGCAGCGCAGCCTGCTGTGGGAAGGAAGGCTAGTGTGAGTGCGTAGGTGTCCTTACTTCACTCGACTCCATCTCCCCAAAAGCTGGGCTTTGCCTCGGGGTGGGCCTGGGCAGAGGAAAGAGGTGTGCAACCAACAGCGGGTGAGAGCTCCCTCTGTGCCCCCACAGGGGACCAATCTCGGAGCACCTGGAGCCTTCGGACAGAGTCCATTCAGCCAGCCACCTGCCCCACCTCATCAAAAGTGAGTCTTTTGCATCAGTCTTGCCTGGGAGAATTCACTCGCTCCCCAGAGATCCCCTGTCGTTTCCAGCTACTTCTAGCGAGTGCCAGCCAAGGCCTGAAGTTCTGGGCGTGGGCAGGACTCGTTTCTTTTCCTCTCACCAGCGGTCCCTCCGGCCTATCACTCACTGACCTCAGCGATGGGGTGGGAGCCTCTCAGAGGGCAGAGGGTCTTCTGTCCCGACTGCCCCCTCAGTGCCCTGGGGCTGCGGGGAGGGGACGAGCCCTCTGTTGTGAGGCGCTCAGTCTGTTGTTTCTTTTACCTTTTCCCAGTACCTTTCCTCCAAGGAGCTCCGGGTGCTTCCCAAACATGGCTGCCAAGGTGAATGGGAACCCCCACAGCACCCCTGTGAGGTAGGTGACCTGCTGTGACTCAGTTGGGGACAGACGGCACTAAGGTGGTCACTTGGCTATTGCCGACAGGCAAGGGTCCGGTGATGCTTGGCTGGGGTGAGGGAGGTGAGCAGTGAAGAGGGAGACGACAGGGGTGACTTGCCCCCTATAGGAACGAGTGACCCTCTTGTTATCCACAGTGGTCCTCCGGCCTTTCTGACCCAGGGCTGGGGCAGCACCTACCAGGCGTGGCAGCAGCCCACACAGCAGGTCCCAAGTAAGTGACTCGGGGCGGGGAGTGCATGCCCTCCAGAAAGGTTGCGGCCCACAGAAGTCCTGGGGCCAAAACGCCCTCGTTCAACTCAGCCAGCAGGCCCAGGATGCCCCTCCCCAAATGACAAGGAGCCCTCTGGGTGGGGCTTGGGCCCTCCTGCAGGCCTGTACCAGGGGTTGTGCATGCTCAGAAAAAGGCCCCAAGGGAAACTGCACAAACCTCAGGCGGGCTGGGGACTCTGGGCTGGCCCTCTCTTGGCCCACCTGTCCTCAGAGTTCTGGGCCTCTGTCACTTTCGTTCCCTATGCATGGGTGGGGATGGGTTGAGCCAGCTTCTGCTCCTCCTCTTCTCCACCCCTTGAGGGGCTGGTTCCTGGCCCTCCAACTCCCTGCCCCTGCCTTGGGTGGCTGCCTTCCTCTCCCCTCTCAGGCTTCCATCTCCTGAACTTTTCAGAAGCAAACAGCTAGGGAATGACTTCTTCTGCATCCCGCCTCTCCAGGGAGGCTGGTTGTGAAGGAGAAAGTCCTGGTGGGAATCAAAGCCGCCACCCTCTCTGTCCCCACAGACGCTTCAGGAACCACTGTTGGGTTTCAGAGCTGGTCTAGCCCCTCTGGCATGGCCTTCACAAAGCAAAGCAGAACCCTTACCTTAGTACGATCCACGTTCTTTTGACCCATCTGGAGTTTCTGTCCTGTGTTTAGAAAGGCTTCTTCAGTGTCTGCAGATTCCCACAGCACCCAGGCCGCAGGCCCCGCCTCACAGCCTGGCTCGGAGGGCCTGAGCCCCCTTTCTGGGGTTCTGCCACTTCAGCCTTACACAGAGTCCTGAGGCCAGTGCTGTGTGGCCTTAGGCACGCCCTGCCTTCTCTGGAGCTCCACTTTGCCACATGTAAAATCAAGGGTTTGGGTTTGAATTCTAAAGTACTTGCATGCTCTGAAATTGTATAGTTGTGTTTCTTCCCTTTTTTTCCCCAGTATCTTATTATGAAACGTTTCAAATATCTTAGAACACTCTGCAGTGAGCACCCACAAGGCACCCAGATCCCACCATCCATCCCCTTTCCCTCTGCTCGCTTGGCCATAGGGGCTAACCCTGTTTCCTTTCCTCGGCTCCTCACCTGCTGTTCTAGTCTGAGATAATCCTCCAGGCAGCAAGGTGGCCAGGATTGACTCTGGGGACACTGAGGCCTGGGAGGCCTTCAGGGGAAACGGCCCCCTGGCGGGTGGAACGGGCAGAGGCCTGTGGGCTGAGGAAGGGAGAGTGCAGGAGGCACCCGGTGGTCTTGCCGCCATTGGGCAGCCTTCATCTCATGTTGTGGAGCTTGGCTTTTTTTGTTTATTCAGGGGTTTTGCAGTGGAGAACCGGTTTGGGTTGGTGAAATACTGTTTGGCGGCGAAGTCCTGCTTGCCGGCGCCCTCCGCGTCCGAGGGAAGAGTGTTTGCTGCCTGTGTCCCTCTTTCGCCCTGCCCCTGTGGGAGGAAGCGGGGCGTCTCCTTCCCTCCTTCCTCCCGCTGCTTGCTTCTTCCCCACGCTGCTCCTCAGTATGCAGTAAAGTGAACTAGTGGAGAAAGCATTTGGCTGCATGCTCTCTGCAGTGGTTTGCCCTTCCTCCCTGCTTCAGGCTACAATCCTTACAGGAGACGAGACAGTGAGGGGGTCTTTTGTGGGCCTTGGCAGGTGGACACCTGAGCCAGCCCCGGCCTGGGCAGAAGGAGAGGTCCTGACCCGCCACTGTGGTCAAGTCTTTGAACCCCCTCTTGTGCCTGGCAGGGTGCTGAGGCTCTGTTCCCCCATGCTGGCTGTTTCTCCGCGTCCCCCAGTCTTCACTGCCCACATAGCCTAGAGGGTGAACCCAGGGTCCTGCACAGAAGAGAAGGGCTGGACCACCCAAACACATGCACCCCCTTTCCCTCTGCCCTACCCCAGCTGGCCTGAGGCTGGACAGGGTCCAGGAGCCCACTGGTGCTGCCTACCCCTGCTCCACATGGCCCCTCCACTTCCCTTGGTCCAGAGGCACAGCCCCCAGGCCTTGAACAGAGGGCCACGCGAAGAGAGTGGTCAGCAGCCTCTGGAGTCTTTGTCCTTTGGAAGGCTGATTGGGGAGCCTCAGAACAGCAGTGGCTGTGGCCGTCAAGCTTGCGTCTCCATCTGAAGAGGGTCAGGCTAGCCTTGCTAGTTGCCTCGTGTGCCCAGCCCCACCCTTACAGTGATCTTAGTTACACCCCTTCCCCCAGCCCTGCCAGCTGCCACCTCCTTCCCAGGCAGGGCTGCGGAGCCGTGTGTGGCCAGGAGCGAGGTGGAGGAGTGCAGGGCAGGGCCTGCAGCTGGCGGGCTGGGGCCGAGGCTGTGAGGAGCCCGTAAGGCCTGACTGCTTTTGTGTTCTTCGCACAGGCCAGCAGAGCCAGCCGCAGAGCAGCCAGCCCAACTACAGCAAGGCCTGGGAAGACTATTACAAAAAACAGAGTGAGTGCCCGGCCCTCCTAACCTGTGGCAGCACAGTCCCCTCCAGCCCAGAGACTTCAGAGTCCAAGGCTCACTGTCACCTCTTTTTTCCCTAATGCCTTCCCTGTGTGGCTTGATCTCATTATTTGCCTTCGTCCTCCACCCTGTACCTGCCTGCTTCTTTCTGTCAGGAGTCTGGGCATAGTCAGTCAGTGACCACAGGCTGCCCTGCGACTCGGCACATCCCCTCCTCTTTATTCTCCCCGTGCTGGGCTCCAAAGGACTTGAGGTGGGCGTGGCACCTGGAAGTGTGGGCTCAGCTGGCGTCTGGTCTCCTTAGGGACTGAAAGATTCCGGCTGGGTGCCACCTGGCCGGCAAACAGACCAACCAGACATCTTGTTCTCTGTCTTGGTGCTTCAGGGCAGATGAGGAGAGGTGGTGAGATTCAGGGAAGGAGGCCTTACCTGGGCATTGGAGCTGGGTGCTTAGTTTCTCTTCTTAAGTAGGCCCGTTTTCTAACTACCAGAAATGAAACCAGCCTTCAGAGCAGGGCGAGGGACCCAACAAGCAAAAGGTCTCTGGGGAGTCACATAAAATCAGGACCAGACTCTCGGGATATATCCCACGATTACTAGACCGGAGGACTGAGGGCTTGTTTAAAGAGGTATCTCACGTGCCTTGTGTTTGGAGGATGTTTCTTGCTGGTTGGAAGAGATCGGGTTGAAGGCTACCAGAGAAGTGGTCCCCCTGGTGTTGGCATCATCGCCAGGTTCATGGCCCTTCTAGGGGTTGGAGGTGGGGGTGTTGAGTCATGGTCACCAGAGTGCTGTAAGCTCAGCTGCCCAGTCTTCCCCAAATCCCAATTCCCAGACCCCTGGGCCTGTGTTGAAGCTGTTCACAGGATTTGGACACTATCACAGGCACCCAAGTTAGGTACTCCCCTTCTCCCCCACCCCCACCCCAGGATCCCCCCTTCTCTGTCTGTCACAGGGCCCTGGGAGCTGAAGGGGCAGGCAGGGAGATGCAGAGAATGCGCTTCCGCAGAGAGAAGGCAGGCGTGAGGATTGGTCTTCACAGGCATAGCAGGGGCCGGGCAACAAGAGGCTAACAGCACCTTTTGTAGCAAGCGCTCCTGCAACACCAGCCTCACCTCACTGCCTCCCAGACCTCCCTGCCTTCCAGCCGTCCGGAGGGAGAGCAGATGCCCAGGGCCTTTGGGAAGGGTCCTGCCCAGTGCACCTCCGCTCCCGATAACCTGTGTTTCCTCCTTTGTCAACCAGGTCACGCCGCCAGCGCTGCTCCTCAGGCCAGCTCCCCACCGGACTACACAATGGCCTGGGCAGAATATTACAGACAGCAGGTCGCTTTCTACGGACAGACGTTAGGGCAGGCGCAGGCCCACAGCCAGGTCTGTAGCTGATCACCAGCACCGCTGCCACTCCCTAGCCCCGAGCCCCTGCTCCCAAGCCTTCTGTGTTTCCTGACCCCAGGATGAGAGCGCTGGGCTAGGAGGAACCTCTGGGCGCCATAGCTCCTCAGCGAGGCTGCTTCTGCTGAGAGCCCGGCTCCAGCCCCTCTGTCCCTCCTCGCTCTGGAGAAAAAGAGTTTAGGCCAAGTGGGAGGATTGGGGGCGCAGCCCCTACAAGGAAGTGCCTGAACTTTCCTCAAGTCCAGGCCCCAGACCTCAGGGCTGATTAGTAGTCTCTCTCTTCCTCTAAGCCTCAGTTTCCCTAACCGTAAAGGAGCAAGTGCAGAGGGTGCGCTCCGGCGACTGCTCTCGAGGAGGGTGGAGTGGCCAGGCCGTCAGCCATGCCCGGGCAGCAGCAGGAAGCAGTGAGAGGGCAGGGGGGCAGAGCCCAGCTTTCCTCTCCTGTGCACAACCTAGAGGGTTCTGTTCAGAGGCCAAAAACGGATTTCTTATTAAAGAAGGGAAGACGTCCAAATGTTCCCACAGGGCGCATTTCCCACCTGATGCCAGTCAGGTCCTCATGGATAACATTTCAGTTACCTCCTGGCCCTGGACTCAGCTGGTTGGGCCTCTCACTGCCAAATTGGCCGTCTGGGTCTGGTCCTGGGGAAACAGGTGTCAGGGCTGGTGGTGATGGAGGAGAAGCGTGGCTCCCACTGTCCGCTCTTCCCTGCCCCAAGTCCCTAGTGGAGAGAGAAGCCCAAGACCTCTTCAGCAGAGGTTTTGTCTGGCCCAGCTCCCGTGACGCGAGACCTGGGGGAGGTCACTGGCACACAGACCTGAGAACCTGCCATCACAGACTAATTCCTCTTCCCTTCCGCCCACAGGAGCAGTAGGACAGCGTCCTCGTGGCCAACTCTCCCCTCAAAATCATTGTCAAAGAAAACCTATTTGTAACAGAGGTTTTTACATTTGCAAACCTTTTGATGAAGAACTGTTGTTTTGTTCTGTGAAACACTATATTTAGATTAACGGAATTTTTCTAAAAATCAGGAAAATTAGTTACTAAAAATTGCTGATCATTTTTGTTTCATTATTTTTGTTATTTCAAATGTATAAGCTCTGGGATTCTTTTTGGAGCAATACCTACAAAGTCAGGCACCAGAATGTGCCTCAGAGCTGTGACATTTCAACATGATGGTTTTGGTTTGGTTTGGTTTTGTGTCCTTTTTATTTGCAGTTTTTTCTGTTGCAACAGAAAGTGGCTTGGAAGTCTTAGGTGGTATGTAACAAATTCTTTTTAAAAATTTTAAAGCAGTATTTAAGTATTCTTAAATGTGTAAATTCATTTAATGTTTTACTTCTAATTTCTTGTATCTTGGCTGTCTGGTTTTATTGCATTTTTAAAAAAACTGAACTATTATGTATTGTAATGAATGATGTGAATTCTGAACTGAGACAGATAATTGTATTGCTGTCCAACAGGGGTTGGGAGGGGCATTTTGTAGGGTTTGTATAATTTCTAGAGTTCGAAAGGGGTAATATAAAAATGTGCTCGTGTGTTTAGCCTACGTTTTTCTCATGCCTCCATTACCAGTTGCAATTGTGTATCTAAGACCTCCAAGCTTGTTTTTAAAACAAAACAAAAAACCTTTCTCTATTATCTCAGAAATATAAATACTGTTATTTTTAATATTAAGAAATTCAATATAACTTTTAACACACACTGTGGAACATTAAACCGTATAAAAATGTAGTTATAACTATTTTTAATTCCAAGGTGTTGTTTGCTTTTTTCTTTTAAATATTTTCTTAATATTTTGTCAGATTAACTAGATGAATAAATAAATCTAGTATTAACCGCATTATGAATTAAATAATTTTGATTTAATGAAAGGGATAATATGATTTCCAGTGTTTACTGTAGTGTATCTTGTACAGATAACATGTATTTTTAAAGGAAAAAAAACGGAATTGAAGCTATTTTTTCTTGCATTTCTAATTGACCTGAGGGACATTCCGTTTGAAATGTACTGAAGTTACAGTTTCTGGTTTTTTCTCCTTATTTTTCTTATAATGCTTGAAATGTCTAACTATTAAAAAAGACAATTGGAAAATGTTATGCATGGGGTTTTTAAGAAAACAAAGTGTTCTTTTTATTTGACTGACAATTCATTTTACACTCTATATAATAAAATCTCCACAAGGCATCTTGTGGGCAAAGTCTTTCTGGCCTGTTTGCTTTCCATTCGCCGGTTCATCCCTCTGCCCCTGCCCGCGGCCGCCCGAGAGGGAAAGAGGATTCCTGCGGGCCTCGCCCGTCATCTTGCACCGCGTCCACCCGCCTTCGTTGGTGCACAGTCTAGATGTCTAGCTAGTTCGTTAAGCTAATTTTATGTTAATGGCTCTGTATGATTTGACAGCTTGACTTGAGAGCCGTGGTTGGGCTCAGCTCCCCTTCCCTGTCACAGTCAGGCATCTGTAAGTGAGAAGTCAGTATGGGAGTGTCATCGGATGGAGCTGGGAGATGCATTGAAGGGCGTGCGGCGGGTCAGCAGACTTCTGCGACTGACTGGGCAGCCCCTTGCCCTCCGCCCGCTCCCCTTCCCTGCGTGCCCATGCACACACATTCGCCTGCAAATGTAGGTGGGCTGCCCTAGGCGCGGTGTGCTTCCCTGACTGTTGCTGCCTGCATCCCCCACCTCCTTGTCCCCAGCCTCACCTGTGGCTGTGGTGGTGGTGCTTTCTCGCTCTTAGCCCCGTGCCCACGGTGGGACACCAGATCGCCAGGAGGGCTGGGAAGCATCAGCACACGTGCTCGTTATGTCCTGTCCTTTCATGAAGAAACAAATGGGGCGTCCTTCCCCAGAGGTGTTAAGTTACAGTCCTGTGGTCTTAGGACTCGTGGCGACAGTGTGGGCCTCAGACTTGGAAGGGCATTAAGTAATAGCATCAGCCCTCGCCTTTTTTTTTCCTTCTGTCCCGTTGGTTGGGGTGACTGGCATTGAGCAGTGTCTGCTTTCACGTCTGAGGGGCCCTGCCTTCGCCCTCAGGCTTTCTGTGCGGGTCTCTACTTAGATATAGAGACCTGTTTCCATCCTGAACGGGGCTTGCTGGGCTGTGCCTGGCCAATACCGGCCCCTTGTCTGTACTCCAAGCTTCTGACAGGAGGGGAAAAAAGCAGCTGTGGCTCCTTCAGGCCGAAAAGGGGTGTGGAGAGCAGCCCATCTGCGGCCATGGCAGGCCTGTTGAGAGCCGGAAGACAAAAAGGAGATGTGGCATTTTTAACTGCACCTCTAGAGAATCGAGTTTGACGTTGAGAAATTGAATAGTAAAAGGCACTTGGAAAGTGGGGGGAGGGGGCCGAGTGGGAGGAGGGCGTAAACGCTGATGACGGTAATGGGAATTCGGGAGAGGGCATTACAGAGAAGACTTCCTTCTAATTCATCTTCCAAGCTCTGTGCCAAAACAGCATTTGGCATGGTTCACAGGGAGCGATTGTGTGATAATGAACCCTAAGGTGTCCCTTAATTGAAGACTGAGCATTGTGGTTTGTGCCAAGAGTCATAAATGGCGCAGGCTTGCGGAGGATGCATTTTCTTAAATGTATCGGTAAGTACAGATTAGCGCTTGTCCCCAGTGAAATGCCCATACTATAAATTATGGAAATCTCTCTTTCTCTCTGATGCAATCTTTTATTGGGGGGAGGGGGTGTGGTACGACAGGAGGCGGGGGGGGAAAGTTTGCAAGCATATGAAATTTGGCCTCTCATTAACATGGCGCCCAAGGAAGATGATTTTCATCAGCAGTCTGGTGTACTGGAGGCTAAAGTGCTTGAAATGTACCAAGTTCAGCGGTTGTGTTCCATTAAGAAAGATGCATGGTCATCACTGTAAGGGCGGTCGGGGTCCGGGAGGCGGGGCGGGCGCTTGCCCAGTCTGTCTTCTGAATGCATGCCCCACCCCCACCCGCCACCGCCCATGCCTACTGGGTCTCTGCCAGCCTCCCAAGTTCAGGATCCATCAAGGACCCTGCTGAGCCGATCCCAGCCCCACCCAGAAGTTTGGGCTGGGGTTGAGGAGTTCTCAGCCAGCGGGCCTCAATCAGTACCCCTGGCCTCCCATCAGATAGGAGGCACCATCTTTCCAGGGTCACTCGACAGTGGTGACCACCCATGATGTCCCAGAGCCCCCAAGGTAGGGTCGGCTGGGGCACAGATGGCACAGTGCAGTGCCTGGTCCATGAGAACGTGGGTCACCCCAGAGCCGCAGCTTCTAGCTGGCTACAGCCCCACTCTCTCCCAGCCCCACTTCTGGTCCACTAGGGCCCAGCTGGGGTTTTTTAAGATGGGCTGAAGCAAATGGGCCTGATAGATGCTTAGAGATTAATGGCCAGAAAGTGGCTTGACACTCAATTCCGCAGGGGGCTGCAGGCCCTGGGTCTGTGTCTTGGGTAGGGTGGAAGGGGAAGCAAAGACAACCCTCACTGCCCTTGAAACAATGGTCATCTTGGCTGTCCTTTGTCTTGAAGGTGTTTCTGTAGCATCTACCAAGGGGGTCCTGGCCCTTTCCAGGTACCTGCTTCCAAGGTGGTCTCTGCACCCTGGGAGGTAGAAAGGCCTAATCTCCCCATTTCACAGAAGAGGGCTCAGAGTCAAAGGCTGAGACCTGCCTTTATTCACACGGGCATGGAGGGGCCAGTTCTGTGCCAGGTTCTATGCTGCACTCCGTCTGGGGCTTCAGAGGAGAGCGTGACCACCGCCTCCTGGGGGCGCACTGTCTTTTGTAGTCACCACCAAGGGAGATGGTTGGCAGGATGGGAGAAGATCTTGAAAGTTAGGGTTGAGTACCAACTTGGCCAGCCCTGGAAGTGCACTACAGTCATTCATCATTTTCAATTCCGTATTTGCAAATTCACCTACTCACTGAAACGTATTTGCAACCCCCAAATCTACCCCCACAGAGCATCTGCGGGTCATTCACGGTGAAAAACGTGAGTTACCGGATGCACGTGTTCCCAGCTGAGGTGGAAAAGGCGGCGCTCTGCCTTCTGGTTTCAGCTCTCGTGTCATAAATAAGCACTTTTCCTTGCAGTCTACTTAGTGCCACAGTTTTTGCATTTTGTGCCTTTTTTTTTTCTTTTTTGACAGTTTTACTGTCTAAAGTGGCCCCCAAGCATGGCACTAAAGGGCCATCTAGCATTCCTAAGCATAGGAAGGCTGAGGTGTAGCTGATGGAGACAATATATGCGTTCTGCCTCTTGCAGGCCTGAGTTACACGGCTGTTGGCCACGAGTTCAATGTTAATAGGTGAACAATATACATATTAAGTAAGGAGTATTTATTTTTATTTATTTTTTATTTTTGTTTATTTATTTGTTGAGATGGAGTCTTGCTCTGTCACCCAGGCTGGAGTGCAGTGGCACGATCTCGGCTGACTGTAACCTCCGCCTCCCAGGTTCAAGCAATTCTCCTGCCTCAGACTCCCGAGTAGCTGGGATTACAGGCGCCCACCAACATGCCTAGCTAATTTCTTTGTATTTTTAGTAGAGATGGGGTTTCAGCGTGGTCAGACTGGTTTCAAACTCCTGACCTCAAATGATCCACCCATCTGGGCCTCCCAAACAGCTGGGATTACAGGCGTGAGCCACCGTGCCCGGCCAATGAGGGGTCTTTAAACAGAAACACACATAAAACAAGATTATGGAGTGCTGATGCATGCCTGTAGTTCCAGCTACTAGGGAGGCTGAGGGAGGAGGATCACTTGAGCCCAGGAGTTCGAGGCTGCAGTGAGCTATGTCCGTGCCTGGGAATAGCCACTGCATTCCAGCCTGAGCAACACAGCAAGACCCCATCTCTTAAAAAAATAAAAAAGGGGCTGGGCGCAGTGGCTCATGCCTGTAATCCAGCACTTTGGGAGACCGAGGTGGGCAGGTTGTCTGAGATCAGGAATTCGAGACCAGCCTGGCCAACATGGTGAAATCCCGTCTCTACTAAAAAGACAAAAATTAGCTGGGTATGGTGGTGCACGCCTGTAATCCCAGCTACTCGGGAGGCTGAGGCAGGAGAATTGCTTGAACCTGGGAGACAGAGGTTGCAGTGAGCCGAGACTGCACCACTGCACTCCAGCCTGGGCAACAGAGCGAGATTCCGTCTGAAAAAATAATAATAATAATAATAAAATAAAACAAAATAAAATAAAAAAGATTATCTATAGATTGGTGTGGACACTGGCTTGCAGGAACCTTGCCTTGTATTTCCCTTAGGAACAAGGGTTTAGTATTTGATGATTCAGTATTTGCAGAGACTTTATATATCACTACCATGAACAACTAGAATCCACTGGCTCTTACTTTCCTATAAGGAAAATCCGACTCTTATCCCATTTTGGAGATGAGGAAATAGGGTTTTGCTTGTCTGTTTGTTTTTTCTGAGATGGAGTCTTGCTCTGTCACCCAGGCTGGACTGCAGTGACATGATCTCGGCTCACTGCAGCCTCCGCCTCCCGGGTTCAAGCAATTCTCCTGCCTCAGCCTCCTGAGTAGCTGGGATTACAGGTGCCCGCCACCACACCCAGCTAATTTTTGTATTTTTAGTAGAGACAGGGTTTCACCATGTTGGCCAGGCTGGTCTCGAACTCCTGACCTCATGATCCACCCGCCTCGGCCTCCCAAAGTGCGGGGATTACAGGCGTGAGCCACCGCGCTCGGCCAAGGAAACAGGTTTAAATAGGTTCTGATCAGAGTCATACCATGGTTGTGCACATGTGACCTGAGAGGTAACCAGGACTATGCTCCCCATTTTACAGATGAGGGCTCAGAGAGGCTGGAAACTGTCCTTACTCACACAGGCACGGAGGGGCCAGTTCCATGGCAAGTTCGTGCTCCACTCTGCTGGGGTTTCAGTGGAGAGCTACACTCTTGCTGAGGCCTCCTCAAACCTTAGCCTGGCTGCGATACCGGCCTGCCTTGCCACACCCACACACGAGCAGAGCCAGGCACATGTGCAAGGAATGCCTCACGTGGTTCTAGTGGGGCCTGGCGAGTTCAGCCTACCTAAGGCAGCAGGGTGTGAGGCATGAATGTGTGGACACTTAAACTTGGGTCTGAGTCCTGCCTGCACCTCATATGACCTAACCTCTGGTATCCTAAGTGTGGGGCTAGCAGCCACCTGCCCGCCTGTGGGGCTATGATAGGAGTCAATGGCACACAAGTAAAGCGCTTCACACCTGGTTCTTAATGGGCACTCAAAAACTGGCAACCGGCCTGGTGCAGTGGCTCACATCTGTAATCTCAGCACTTTGGGAGACCGAGGCGGGAGGATCGCTTGAGCCAGGAGTTTGAGGCCAGCCTGGGCAACGGAGTGAGACCCCACCTCTACAAAAAAAAAAAAAAAATTCTAATTAGCCAGGCATGATGGCGCATGCCTGTAGTCCCAACTACTTGGGAGGCCAAGGTGAGAGGATCCCTTGAGTCCAGGAAGTCGAGGCTGCAGTAAGCTGTAATCATGCCACTGCACTCCAGCCTGGGTGACAGAGCAAGACCCTGTCTCAACAAACAAGCCAAAAAAAGCCGGGTGCAGTGGCTCTTGCCTGTAATCCCAGCACTTTGGGAGGCCAAGGTGGGTGGATTACCCAAGGTCAGGAGTTTGAGACCAGCCTGGTCAACATAGTGAAACCCTGTCTCTACCAAAAGTACAAAAAATGGGCAGGGTATGGTGGCAGGCACCTGTAATCCCAGCTACTAGAGAGAGTCTGGGCAAAAGAGTCACTTGAATCCAGGAGGCAGAGGCTGCAGTGAGCCGAGATCGCACCACTGCACTCCAGCCTGGGTGACAGAGCTAGACTCCGTCTCAAAAAAAAAAAAAAAAAAAAAGCCGGGCGCGGTGGCTCATGCCTGTAATCCCAGCACTTTGGTAGGCCGAGGCGGGTGGATCACGAGGTCAGGAGTTGGAGACCATCCTGGCTAATATGGTGAAGCCCCGTCTCTACTAAAAATATGAAAAATCAGCCGAGCATGGTGGCAGGCGCCTGTAGTCCCAGCTACTGGGAGGCTGAAGCAGGAGAATGGCGTGAACCTGGGAGGCAGAGCTTGCAGTGAGCAGGATCGCGCCACTGCACTCCAGCCAACAGAGCAAAACTCCGTCTCAAAAAAAAAAAAAGAAAGAAAAGAAAAGAAAGGTTCTTCCCTAACTCCACTTCTTCAGTCAAGGGGAGAGAACGATCAACAATTTCCTTCAGGCAAAGGGAACCCACAGGCCTCACTTTTGTTCCCAACTTGGACAGATGACTTTCTGTGACTTGGATAGATCAGCTCTCTTGATCTGTTTTCTTTCCTTGGAATTGGACCACACAAGTGGTTTCCAAATTATGGTAGGTTGGTGTCAAGGATTTCATGGTTGTTTAATTCACATTTCGATAAAACACGTTAAATATTAAATGCATTTAAACTTTTTTTTTTTTTTTTGAGACAGAGTCTCACTCTGTTGCTCAGGCTGGATTGCAGTGGTGTGATCTCGGCTCACTGCAACCTCCGCCTTCCAGGTTCAAGCGATTCTCCTACCTGAGCCTCTCGAGTAGCTGGGACTACAGGTGTGTGCCACCACGTCGGCTAATTTTTGTATTTTTAGCAGAGTTGGCCAGGCTGGTCTCGAACTCCTGACCTCAGGTGATCTGCCTGCCTCAGCCTCCTAAAGTGCTGGGATTACAGGCGTGAGCCATTGCACTCAGCCTTAAACATTTTTAAAAACAATTTGTAACCATAATGTTTTTTAAAAACACCATGCACTCAAGTACATTATATGCTGCACTTTCTTTTTCCCTTCCTTTTTTTTTTTTTTTTTTTTTTTTGAGAGGGAGTCTCTCTCTGTCATCCAGGCTGGAGTACTGTGGCATGATCTCGGCTCAGTGCAACCTTTGCCTCCCAGGTTCAAGCAATTCTCTTGCCTGAGCATCCTGAGTAGCTGGAATTACAGGCGCCCACCACTATGCGCTAATTTTTGTATTTTTAGTAGAGACGGGGTTGGCCAGGTTGGTCTCAAACTGGTTGGTCTCGAACTCCTGACCTCGTGATCCATCCACCTCGGCCTCCCGAAGTGCTTTGATTACAAGCTTGAGTCACCGCGCCTGGCCAAAGCTGTATTATTATTATTTTTATTTATTTATTTATTTATTTATTTATTTATTTTAATTTTTATTTTTTTGAGATGGAGTCTCGCTCTGTCGCCCAGGCTGGAGTGCAGTGGCACGATCTCGACTCACTGCAAGCTCCGCCCCCCGGGTTCATGCTATTCTTCTGCCTTAGCCTCCTGAGTTGCTGGGACTACAGGCGCCCGCCACCACGCCCGGCTAATTTTTTGTATTTTTAGTAGAGACCGGGTTTCACCGTGTTAGCCAGGATGGTCTTGATCTCCTGACCTTGTGATCCGCCCATCTCGGCCTCCCAACAAAACTGTCTTAATTATTGTACCTTTACAGTAAGTCCTTCAGCTTTGTTGTTCTTCAAGATTGTCTTGGCTACTCCCAGCCCTTTGCATTTCTATACAAATTTTAGAATCAGCTTGTCGATCTCCCAACCCCCATAAAAATATTTTAAATTTGCTGGGATTTTTACTGGGATTGCAATGAATCTATAGATCAATTTGGGAAGAACTGACAACCTAACAATGTTGTAGATTCTTTTGAATTTCCTGTTTTCACAGTCAGATCATTTATGAATAATGATGGTGTTATTTTTTTCTTCCCAATCCTTATGCCATTTGTTCTTTGTATTGCTTGACTACTCTGGCCAAGACCTTCAGTATCTTGTTGATTGAAAGCCATGAGAGTTGTCATTCTGGTCTTGTTTGTAGCCTCAGAGTGTATGTTTGGCATACAGTTTATCTGATAAGGAGGTTTTCTTCTGTTTCTAGTTTGCCAAGAGTTTTGTCATGAATAGGTAATGAATTGTTTCAGTACTTTCTTCTGCATCTGTAGAGATCATCTATGATTTATCTCCTTTTTCGCTTCAATGTAATGAATTACACTGATAGATTTTCAAATGTTAAACCAGCCTTGCATTCCTAGAATAAACCTCATAATGGTTGTAAAGGATTATCTATTTTATTGATAGATACATGGATAGATAGATAGATGATAGATAGATGATAGGTAGATAGATGATAGGTAGATAGATATAGTTGATAAGATATACATATTATATATATAATTGGTTTGGTTTACTAACTTTTTTATTAGGATTGTTATATATACATTCATGAAAACCACTGGTCTGTAATTTACACCACATTTAATCAATCTATATTAGTCTATTCTCACACTGCCACGAAGAACTACCTGAGACTGGGTAATCTACAAAGAAGAGAGGTTTAATTGACTCACAGTTCTGCAGGCTATACAGGAGGCACGACTGGGAAGCCTCAGGAAATTTATAATCATGGCAGAAGGCAAAGGGGAAGCAGGCACATCTTAGCGTGGCAGAGCGGGAGAGAGAGAGCAAGGCAGGAAGTGCCACACACTTTCTTTCTTTCTTTCTTTCTTTTTTAGACGAGGTTTTGCTCTTGTTGCCCAGGCTGGAGTGCAGTGGCGCCATCTTGGCTCACTGCAACCTCCGCCTCCCGGGTTCAAGTGTTTATCCTGCCTCAGCCTCCCGAGTAGCTGGGATTACAGGCATGTGCCACCACGCCTGGCTAATTTTTGTATTTTTAGTAGAGACGGGGTTTCTCCATGTTGGCCAGGCTGGTCTCAAACTGCCGACCTCAGGTGATCCGCCCGCCTCGGCCTCCCAAAGTGCTGGGATTACAGGTGTGAGCCACCGCACCCGGCCCAAATGCCACACACTTTCAAA
Source organism: Homo sapiens (assembly GCF_000001405.40). Classification (NCBI taxonomy): domain Eukaryota; kingdom Metazoa; phylum Chordata; class Mammalia; order Primates; family Hominidae; genus Homo; species Homo sapiens. The sequence goes on from NC_000009.12 coordinate 130,646,969, forward strand.
CCATCAGATATCATGAGAACTCACTCACTATGATGAGAACAGCAAGGGGGAAATCAGCCCCCGTGATCCAGTCATCTCCCACCAGGCCCCTCCTCAAATTCAACATGAGATTTGGCCAGGACAAAAATCCAAACCATATCACCATCGAAGATGCATAACAGGTCAACTTGTGCTACTACCTTAACTCATTTCTGAGCAGGTGTGTCCTCATTGCGCACATTGCCATTGCGGAATGTTCTAACACTGGTCTTTGAAGTCATGCCTGTGGGCATCGGCTCTTGTGCCCAAAAGTTCATTTCTCAGTTCATTACGGAATTCCATGCTCAGATGCCAGGCGAGGTTCAGCAAACAGATGGTCTCGCCATGACCAATCATGGTTCTCGTGCAGTTAAAACCCACAACTAGGCCAGGTGCGGCGGCTCGCACCTGTAATCCCAGCACTTTGGAAGGCCAAGGTGGATGGATCACCTGAGGTCAGGAGTTCAAGACCAGCCTGGCCAACATGATGAAATCCCATCTCTACTAAAAATACAAAAAAAAAAAAAAATTAGCCTGGCGTGGTGGCACGCACCTGTAGTCCCAGCTACACGGGAGGCTGAGGCAGGAGAATCACTTGAACCTGGGAGGTGGAGGTTGCAGTGAGCCAAGACCGAGACCCTGCACTCCAGCCTGAGCTACAGAGTAAGACTCCATCTCAAAAAAATAAAATAAAATAAGTACAGGCACGGTGCCTCACGCCTGTATTCCCAGCACTTTGGGAGGCCGAGGTGGGTGGATCACCTGAGGTCAGGAGTTCAAGACCAACCTGACCAACATGGTAAAACCCCGTCTCTACTAAAAATTCAAAGTTAGCCAGGCGTGGTGGCAGGTGCCTGTAATCCCAGTTACTCGGGAGGCTGAGGCAGAAGAATCGCTGCCTCAACTTCCGGGAGGTGGAAGTTGTGGTGAGCCGAGATCGTGCCATTGGACTCCAGCCTGGGCATCAAGAGTGAAACTCCGTCTCAAAAAATAAAAAAATAAAAAATAAAATAAAATCCAACTAATAGTGTTGAGGCACCAGCTGTACCCAAGGCATTGTGCTCAGCCCTGAGGGATGGGGCAAAGTCACTTCTCCCTGCATGGAGCTGATCTAGCAGAGGCACTTGTTTATATCTGGCAATGGTTAGTTAGCAATTCCACTTTATAATTTTATTTTTTAGTGATCCTCCTACCTCAGCCTCCCAGCAGCTGGAACTACAGGTGTACCACACCCAGCTATTTTTTTTTTTTTTTTTTTTTTTTTTGTAGAGACGAGGTCTCACCATGTTACCCAAGCTAGTCTTGAACTCCTGGTCTCAAGTGATCTTCCCATCTTGGCCTCCAAAAGAGTTGGTATTACAGGTGTAAGCTACCATGCCCTACCTAGCAATTCAACTTTGAGACAAAAAATTCTTCCTACCCTTTTTTTAAAAATCTTCTGAACCATTTTATTTTATTTTATTTTATTTTTTATTTTTTTTTTTAATTTTATTAAGGAGTCTCACTCTGTCACCCAGGCTGGAGTGCAGTGGTGCGATCTTGGCTCACTGCAACCTCTGCCTCCCAGGTTCAAGCGATTCTCTTGTCTCAGCCTCCCGAGTAGCTGGGACTACAGACGCGTGCCACCACGTCCAGCCAATTTTTTATTTTTAGTAGAGACAGGGTTTCACCATGTTGGCCAGGATGGTCTCGATCTCTTGACCTTGTGATCCTGATTCAAACAAATAAGCAGTTGTCAATGATGACAGTTTTTGAACTGCTTACCTTGTTGTTTTGCATACACTGTAATACAACTGGTTCAGGCTGGGCGCGCTGGCTCACACCTGTAATCCCAACACTTTGGGAGGCTGAGGCAGGAGGATCACCTGAGCTCAGGAGTTTGAGATCAGCCTGGCCAACATGGTGAAACCCTGTCTCTACTAAAAATACAGAAATTAGCAGGGTGTGAGGCTGGGCATGGTGGCTCATGCCTGTACTCCCAGCACTTTGGGAGGCCGAGGCAGGCAGATCACTTGAGGTCAAGAGTTTGAGACCAGCCTGGCCAACATGGTGAAACCTCGTCTGTACTAAAAATACAGAAATTTGCTGGGCTTGGTGGAGGATGCCTGTAATACCCGCTACTCAGGAGACTGTGGCAGGAGAATCACTTGAACCCGGGAGGCAGAGGTTGCAGTGAGCCGAGATAATGCCACTGCACTCCAGTCTAGGCAACAGAGTGAAACTCCATCTCAAAAAAAAAAAAAAAAACCTACAAAAATTAGCCAGGCGTAGGGGCACGCACCTGTAGTCCCGGCTACTCAAGAGGCTGAGGTGGGAGAATCACTTGAGCCCAGGAGTTGGAGGTTGCAGTGAGCCGAGATCATGCCACTGCACTCCAGCCTGGGTGGACTGAGCGAGACTCCATCCAAAAAAAAAAAAAGAAGAAGAAGAAGAAATAAATGCCACTTGTGCTTGTATCTGATCTCTTTGGCTTTCTGCAGTTTGAATATATTGTGGCTGGGTGTGGATTCTGTGTGTGTGTTTGTTTTTTATTTGTTTTGCTTTGTGTGTACGTGTGTGTGTGTGGTGTGTGTGTTTCTGTTTCTGGTATTTTTGTTGTGATTATTTGTTGCTATTTATCCAGATTGGTGTTCTCTGAGTTTCCTGGACCTGTGCTTATCTGCCTGTCATTAATTTTTTTATTTTTTTATTTTTGTAAGGCAGAGTCTTGCTCTGTCACCCAGGCTGGAGTGCAATGGGCAACATGGCGAAACCCCATCTCTGCAAAAAGTACTACAAAATTAGCCGGGCGTGGTGGCGCGTGCTTGCAGTCCCAAATACTTGGGAGGCTAAAGTAGGAGGATTGCTTGAGCCTGGGAGGCCAAGGTTGCAATGAGCCGAGATCGTGCCACTGTACTCCAGCCTGAAAAACAAAACAAAACAAAACAAAAAAACTTGAAAGTCACCACTTTCATTATTTCATTATTAAAATTAAAAAGAAAAAAAAAACGGCCGGGCGCAGTGGCTCACACTTGTAATCCCAGCACTTTGGGAGGTCAAGGCGGGCGGATCACGAGGTCAGGAGATCGAGACCAGCCTGGCTAACACGGTGAAACTCCGTCTCTATTAAAAATACAAAAAAAAATTAGCCGGGGGTGGTGGTGGGCGCCTGTTGTCCCAGCTACTCCGGAGGCTGAGGCAGGAGAATGGCGTGAACCCGGGAGGCGGAGCTTGCAGTGAGCCGAGATGGTGCCACTATACTCCAGCCTGGGCAACAGAGCGAGACTCCATCTCAAAAAAAAAAAAAAAAAAAAATTAACTTGGACAAACTGAAAATCAATGACTTTTCTTGCAGTTGAAACTTTTCTTGAAGTTCTCTGAGGTTTCAGAGAACTGAGTTTGCAAAGGCAAAGCTCCACCCAAGTCAGGAGAGACAGGAGAACCTGGAGAATCCCAGCGACATCTGTGGACCAGGAGCAGAAGCCACGGGAGCCCTAAGTGGGAACACAGATGGGAACTCGGATGAATTGCTAGAGGCTGAGTGTGGACTGGCATCAGAGGGACAAAGTCCTAGAGTCTTCAGTCTAGGGGGTCCCCCACACTTTCATGGGTTTCCCTCCAGGAATCCCACTTGATTCTGTCGAAGAAAGATCCTGGGCCGGGCACGATGGCTCATGCCTGTAATCCCAGCACTTTGGGAGGCCAAGGCGGGCGGATCACGAGGTCAAGACATTGAGACCATCCTGACCAACATGGTGAAACCCCGTCTCTACTAAAAATACAAAAATTAGCTGGACATGGTGGTGCGCACCTGTAGTCCCAGCTACTCGGGAGGCTGAGGCAGGAGAATCGCTTGAACCCGGGAGGTGGAGCTTGCAGTGAGCCGAGATCACTCCAGCCTGAAGACAGAGCTAGACTCTGTCTCAAAAAAAAAAAAAAAAAAAAAAAATCCCACAGGCTCTCGCTGGGGTGGGTGTAGAGATCCTTGTGAAACACTCAAAGCCTTCTAGCCAAGGCCCCATTCCAGGGGGAAGAGCTTTGCCAGAGCCTATCCCAGGTAGGGGAATGGAATTCTCCTTCCAGCCCCCTCCAGCCCCTTCCAGGCTTCGCAAAGAACAAGCACAGTGCTCAGGAGCCAGGCTGCAAGGAATTAGGTCGGGAAGGAACCTGAGCCAGAGAAGGTAGTAAGTGGCAGGGGGGAAAAGTGACACCCCTGCAGGGATACTTGTGAATGTCACAGCCCCAAGACCCAGGACCAAGACAGGACTGACGACAGAATGTTCCCTCTCTCCCACACCTCACCACACCCACAAGCTGCGGTACCATCATGGGAGTCACAGGCGACAGAACTCAAGGCTCAGACCTCCCAAAGTCAGGAGGGAGACAACAATGAGGACAGTAGAAGACGTGGAGCCTCTGGCACCTGCAGCCGCAGCAAACACCTAACACTGCCCAGCTCCTAGAAAGAGGATAATACAGCCTCGGCCGGACGCAGTGGCTCGCGCCTGAAATCGCAGCACTTTGGGAGGCCGAGGTGGGTGGTCGCTTGAGCCCAGGAGTTCAAGACCAACCTGGGCAACATGGCGAAACCCCATCTCTACAAAAACTACAAAAAAAAAATAGCTGAGCCTGGTGGCACGTGCCTGTAGTCCCAGCTACTCGGAAGGCTGAGGTAGGAGGATCACCTGAGTCTGGGAGTTAGAGGCTACAGTGAGCCTTGATCATGCCACTGCACCCCAGCCTGGGCACCACAGCAAGACCCTGTCTCAAAAAATTTAAATAAATAAATATAAAATATAAAAGAGCTTTCCTTTCGCTGCTGCAGCCGCAGCCATGAGTATGCTCACACCTCAGAAGAGGCTCATCTCTAGTGTCCTCCACTGTGGCGAGAAGAAGGTCTGGTTGGACCCGATGAGACCAATGAAATCCCCAATGCCAACTTCCGTCAGCAGATCCGGAAGCTGATCAAAGATGGGCTGATCTTGCGTCACCGCAAGCCTGTGACGGTCCATTCCCGGGCTCAATGCTGGAAAAGCACCTTGGCCCGCCGGAAGGGCAGGCACTTGGGCATAGGTAAGCGGAGGGGTACAGCCAATGCCTGAATGCCAGAGAAGGTCACGTGGATGAGGAGACTGAGGATTCTGCGCCGGCTGCTCAGAATCGAAGAAGATTGATCGCCACATGTATCACAGCCTGTACCTGAAGTTGAAGGGGAATGTGTTCAAACACAAGCGGATTCTCACGGAACACAGCCACAAGCTGAAGGCAGACAAAGCCCGCAAGAAGCCCCTGGCTGACCAGGCTGAGGCCCGCGGGTCTAAGACCAAGGAAGCACGCAAGCTCCGTGAAGAGCACCTCCAGACCAAGAAGGAAGAGATCATCAAGACTTTGTCCCAGGAGGAAAAGGCCAAGAAATAAAAGCTCCCCCTTTGTCTGTTATTACATGGATCAGCTCCCTCCGTTATTACATGGATCAGCCATTAAAATAAAACAAGCCTTTAAAATAAATAAATAAATAAATATAAAATGAAATATACCCTCCTCACACTAAAGGCCTCTTGACCTTAGTTCCTGTTATCTGATACAGTGTGTCTGGATTTCAACAAAAAATTGCAAGGCATGACAAAAGGCAACAAAAAAACACAATCTCAGCTGGGCACCAAGGCTCACGCCTGTAATCCCAGCACTTTGGGAGGCCGAGGCGGGCAGATCACCTAGGTCAGGAGTTCGAGATCAGCCTGGCCAACATGATGAAACCCCGTCTCTACTAAAAATACAACAATTAGCCAGGCGTGGTGGCGCATGCCTGTAATCCCAGCTACTCGGGAGGCTGAGGCAGGAGAATCGCTTGAACCCAGGAGATGGAGGTTGTGGTGAGCCAAGATCACGCCATTGCACTCCAGCCTGGGTGACAAGAGCAAAATTCCATCTCAAAAAAACAAAAAAAAACAAAAAACATGCTTTTGAGACCTATCCTCCCCCATAAAAATCTGTGGCTGTGAAAGTGCAGTTCCTCCCTGTGTGGTGTTGGGGGGGCTCTAAGCACCCCTCTAAGGGAGCTCTGGGGAACAAAAGGACATCCTGCCCAGCTAGACAACAAGAATGAGAGGGTTTCTCCCTCGAAATTCCATGGAAAGCAGGAGCTGGAGGTTGCAATGGGCTATGATGGCACCACCGCTCACCAGCCTTCGTGACAGAGCCCGACCCTGTCTTAAAAACAAAATGAAACAAAACTAAACTTTTGCCAGACATAATGGCTCATGCCTGTAATCCCAGTACTTTGGGAGGCTGAAGCAGCAGGATCACTTGAGGCTAGGAGTTTGAGACCAGCCTGAGTAAAACAGGGAGACCCCAACACTACAAGAATAAGTTTAAAAATTAGCCGGGTGTGGTGGCATGTACTTGCGGTCACAGCTATTCAGGAGGCTGAGACTGGAAGATGGCTTGGGCCCGGAAGGTCAAGGCTGCACTGAGCCATGATCACACCACTGCACTCTAGCCTGGGTAATAGAGCGAGAGTCTGTCTTTAAAAAAAGAAAAGACAACGTAGTGCCTATAGCTGATAATACCATATTGTACACTAAAAAACGTAAGAGAGCAGATGTCAAGTGTTCTTACCAGCGTCCCCCCACCACCAGCCCCTGGCACACACACATGGGAGCAAGGGGAAGCTTTTGGAGGTGATGAATGTTTATTACTGTGATTGCAGTGATGGTTTCGGGGTGTACGCATATGTTCAAACTCAGCAAATTGTATGCATTAGATATGTGCAGCTTATTATATATTAATTACACCTCAATGAAGCTATTTTAAAAATAAAAATTAGGGCCAGGCACGGTGGCTCACACCTGTAATCCCAGCACTTTGGGAGGCCGAGGTGGGCGGATCACGCAGTCAAGAGATTGAGACCATCCTGGGTAACACCATGAAACCCCGTCTCTACTAAAAATGCAAAAAATGAGCCGGGTGTGGTGGCGGGCGCCTGTAGTCCCAGCTACTCAGGAGGCTGAGGCAGGAGAATGGTGTGAACCCGGGAGGCGGAGCTTGCAGTGAGCCGAGATGGTGCCACTGCACTCCAGCCTGGGTGACAGAGCGAGACTCCATCTCAAAAAAATAAATAAATAAATAAATATAAAAATAAAAATTAGGCCAGGCGTGGTGGCTCACACCTGTAATCCCAGCACTTTGGGAGGCCAAGGTGGGTGGATCACTTGAGGTCAGGAGTTCAAGACCAGCCTGGCCAACATGGTGAAACCCCATCTCTACTAAAAATACAAAAATTAGCCAGGCGGGGTGGCAGGTGCCTGTAATCCCAGCTACTCATGAGGCTGAGGCAGGAGAATTGCTTGAACCCAGGAGGTGGGGGTTGCAATGAGCTGAGATCGTGCCACTGCACTCCAGCCTAGGTGACAGAGCAAGACTCTCTCTCAAACAAAAAAAAAGAAGAAGAAGAAGAAAAGAAAATTATTAAAATTAAAAAAAAAAAAAAGAAAGCAAAAAGAAATCCCAGCCAGGCGCAGTGGCTCACGCCTGTCATCCCAGCACTTTGGGAGGCCAAGGCGGGAGGATCACCTGAGGTCAGGAGTTCGAGACCAGCCTGGCTAACATGGTGAAACCCCGTCTCTACTAAAAATACAAAAGTAGACGGGCATGGTAGCGCATGCCAGTAATCCCAGCTATTTCGGAGGCTGAGGCAGGAGAATCGCTTGAACCTGGGAGGCGGAGGTTCCAGTGAGCCGAGATCGCACCACTGCACTCCAGCTCAGGCAACAAAGGTGAAACTCTGTCTCAAAAAAGGAAAAAAAAAAAGAAAAATAAATCCCATGGAAGGAGTCTAAAATTCTGGCAAGCGTCCCTTAGCATGGTGTGGGCACTGTCCACAGGAAACAACACCTCATGGCCAGAACCCAGCTGGTTCTTCTTTGGCCTCGGTGCGTGGACAGCACCAGCAAGGGGCAAGTTCCCAGTAGCTGCCGATGGAACTGACTCACCTTTAACTAAAGTCTCCAGTGACCAGGGGCTGCCAGGGCTGGGCTGGCCAAGCACCACCTGACTCGCCCTTGCTCCATGCCCCCAGCTCCAGGTCCAGCTTGATGCATTGTGGATGTGCATTAAATATTTGCATAATTAAAATAAATACATGATGATCTGAGAGTCTGGCGTGTCCAGAAGGCTCTGGAATATTTGTGTCTTCTTGAACATTTGGAGCAGCAAAATTCCCCTTCGTTGTAACTACAACTAATTGAACTGGTCTTCAAATAAGTTTCTTCCCTAATTATCCAAGGTCTGACCCCAGACACAGAGGAGGGGACAGGTGGGAAGGAGTGAAGCGGGTGGGGAAGGGAATCTAGAATTAAACATCTCTGGCCGGGCGCACTGCCTCACGCCTGTAATCCCAGCACTTTGGGAGGCTGAGGTGGGTGGATCACCTGAGGTCAGGAGTTCCAGACCATCCTGGCCAACATGGTGAAACCCTGTCTCTACTAAAAATACAAAAATTAGCCAGGCATAGTGGTGTGCACCTGTAAGCCCATCTACTCCAGAGGCTGAGGCAGGAGAATCGCTTGAACCTGGGAGGCGGAGGTTGCAGTCAGCCGAGATTGCGCCACTGCACTCCAGCCTGGGTGAGAGTGAGACTCCATCTCAAACAAACAAACAAACAATAGAATTAAACATCTCCTTCCAGGCCAGTGTAACACACATTTTCTGTCATCTCAACAGTTGTGAGCATTGGACTCCCATGGGGTCAGAGGGATAAGCAGATAGGACCCCTGAGGGTTTTATTCTCTGAGCTATGGAGAGGGGAAGGGCACAGGCTTAGAGAGCATTCGAGACTCTCGACAAGCCTCAGTTTCCTCCTCTGTAAAAGTAGGCAAACGCAGGGACACATCTCACAGAGTTGCTAGGAGCTGCCTGCATGTGAATGTGCTGGACCCAATGCTTCACTGGGAACAGAAAGGATCTCTTGAGGAGCAGGGCCATTGCTGCGTTGTCCTCCATGCTGTTGACGGTTTGGGAGCTGGGGTGGTGGGGATGATATGGGAGGTGCTGGGGAGGCACATCACAGGATGGACAGGCCAGAAGCTGGAAGCAGAGGCCGGGGGAGGCTGAGGCCCTGGCTGCAGGGAAGGGGAGGGAATGAAGTATCTTCAGCGGGTCCAACCCACTGCAGCGGGTCCCTCCAGCTCCGATCTGGGGTCTGAGGACACGTCCAGCTGTTTGTGTCTACTTAGGGGGGAGCATTTATGACTGGGCTTCACCATCTCTTTCCACATCCTGACTGGGCCCCCGGGTTCTGAGGATCTGGGCTGCCCTGGCCTTTTGGCAGTTTCTGGAGCTGCCATCCGCTTTGCTGGGATTCAGAGGCTCCCTCGTGCCACCCAGAGGAGGTAGGCAAGGCCGGAGCCCTCACTGTCCTTCCCTAACCTGTCCATGCCACTGTGGCTCCATCTACCCTGTCATTCACTCACGGGCTGAGCACTCGCTGTGTGCCAGGCCCTGGTGCTGGCCCTGGAGACCAAGGAAGATTCAGACCAGATGCCTGTCCTCCAGAAGCCCCAGTCCTGAGATGGGTCAGGAGGGACCACGGAGTTCATCTCTGCACACCTGGTGCCTAGTTTCTGTGCAGTAAACAAAAGCTGCTCCCTGCCCACTTGAACGGGCTCTCGGGGTTGGCAGACAGTGCATGGATCCCCCGAGTCATTGTTCCTCTGGCTTGGATAGCCCTAGCCGGGAGGTTGTAGTTAAGGTCCCAGCCTGAACTCAGGCTGCCCGGATTTCAGTTTCACCTCTCCTCTTTGCTCACTGCGTGTGACCAGGGACATGTCAGTGAAACTCTGCCCCTTCCTCCTCCCAGCCTCTAATGTGATGGCAGGGCTGCAGCAGCCATTGTGTCACCACGAGAACAGAAGGAACCTCAGGCCTCACATCCTTGAACTGCTGAGCCAAGGTCATAGACACATACCCACCTCTGTACTCTGTTATGTGAAAAAATAAATCTCTTGTGACAGCAGCCACTGGGGTCAGGTCCACTTTTGCTTGGGGACAGAGGTGTTCCTGGCTGAGACACTTAACTTCCCTGTGGCTCAGTTTCCCTTTCTGTGAGTTACAGATAATGACAGCAGCTACCTCAGGGTGCAGGGCTGAAGATGGATTGAGATACCCTGGGTGCCTAGCAAATGTTCATTATTTGATGACTGTTGTTCTTCATTCCAGCCACTCTTCGTTAGATACGGCTCACAGACTCCTTGGCGTCCTGGTCAACTTTCTTATCATATGGTTTTGCTTTCAGTATCTCTTTATAGGTGATATTTGGTACCTACCTTTGTTCTTTCCATATTTCCCAAAGCCACGTAGCCATGTGGTGTTTGTTGCTGTTGTTTTTGTTTGTTTGTGTTGTTTTGTTTTGTAGACAGAATTTTGTTGTCACCCAGGCTGGAGTGCAGTGGCGTGATCTGAGCTCACTGCAGCCTCCGCCTCGTGGATTCAAGTGATTTTCCTGCCTCAGTCTCCCAAGTAGCTGGGACTACAGGTGTGTGCCACCACACCAGGCTGATTTTTTGTATTTTTAATAGAGACAGGGTTTCGCCGTGTTGCCCAGGCTGGTCTCAACCTCCTGTGCTCAGGCAATCTTGAACCCACCTCAGCTTTCCAAAGTGCTGGGATTATAGGCGTGAGCCACCACACCCGACCTACCATATGTTATCTTTTATTTATTTATTTATTTATTTTTATTTTTATTTCTTTGAGACAGAGTCTCGCTCTGTCACCAGGATGGAGTGCAGTGGCGTGATCTTGGCTCACTGCGACCTCTGCCTCCCTGGTTCAAGCGGTTCTCCTGCCTCAGCCTCCCAAGTAGCTGTGATTACAGGCACCCATCACCACGCCCAGCTAATTTTTGTATTTTTAGTAGAGACGGGGTTCTCCACGTTGGCCAGGCTTGTCTCCAACTCCTGACCTCCAGTGATCCAGCTGCCTTGGCCTTCCAAAGTGCTGGGATTACAGGTGTGAGCCACCTTGCCCGGCCATATGTTGTCCTTTAAATGTAATGAAGGTGCCCACATTTTTCGTAAGTCAAATGCATCGTGTCTCCTATGAGCTTTTCATGCACTGTCTTTTATCCTTTACAAAAGACTTCCCAGTGGAGGTTCTATTTTTATCTCCATTTCACAGATGAACAAACTGAGGCTCACAGAGGACAAGTGGGTGCCTTGGCTCCTGACCAGTAGCTGCTGGAACCAGACTTGGACCCACATCTGCAGGTCTCTGGGGCCCTGGGCATTTCTTGATGGCCCCAGAGGACCTATTCACCTGGGGAGTGGTCTCTGGGGAGGGGACAGTAATAGGAGTGCCAGCCACAAGCACCTTTTCACCATTCACTCTGCAACTTGAGTGTGAGCTCATTCACCTGATACGTGAGGCATCACAAACAGGCCTGGTTATTGTTCCCACTCTACAAATGAAGTCACAGCCATTTCAGCAGGAGCCCTCAGAGAAAGCTGTCAAGAGAGACCTCAGAGCCACCAGGGCGACCTAGGAGAAGCTCTGGCCTACCAGGGTGCACCGCTTGGAAGGTGGTCTGAGAAGGCAAGAACTGGGTCTGCCCTGGTCACTTGGTGCCCCCAGGGCCTTGTATGGGACCTGGTACATAGTAGGTGCTCAAAAAATGTTTGTTGAACAATGCAATGATTCCCCATGAGGCAGGAGATGGTCTGGATGGCAGCAGGTGGCCTCAGGGAGCAGCAGTCAGGGCACAGCCCCCTGACTCCAACCCCCTGTCTGCTCTGGGGCAATGCAGGGAGGACATTTCAGGTGGAATTGAGTGCAAGGTTCTGGAAGGCAGGAGGCGGCTCAGGGAAGTTGTGGAGGAAGGGCTGGGTGTGGGGTGGGAAGGGACTCGGGCAGAAGAGGAGGTTGTGAATGGGTCGGAGAGGGCTCCTTCTGGCTGCCCCTAGACCCACCAGAGGGGCAGGCAACAGAGGAGGGTGAGCTGGAGGCTGGAGGGGCCAGGGAAGACGGACAGGGAGGGCGCCTGCCTCCCACAGACCCCAACCAGCCTGCCCTCTTCAACCTTTCCCTGCTGTTTTCCCCAGGACTCCTTTTGCCCTCACACTCCAGTCTCTCTGTAGCACCCTGTTGCTCCCTCTTGGTGATCCAGCTCTTGAAAGCCTCTCCAGGCCTCCCGCTCTTTCGGAAGCCGTGCCTCTCCCCCTCTGCTTCCTTCATCTCCGAGTCTTTGTACCCCTGCGTCTCCGACTCGGCCTTTCATCTGCTCCCTCCACCTCGGCATCGCCTTGCCTCAGTCTCCCCCGACCCCTGTCTCGCCCCCTCTGCTTCCAGAAGCCTGCGCCTCTGTCTCTCCCACCGCCCGGTCTCCTGGTGTCCCCGGCGTCTCTCCCGTCGTTCCCGCCGCCTTGATCAGCCTGGGCTGTGGCGCTGGCATCGCTGGCCTGGGGACCGGGGTGTGGGCGATGGAAGGGGGTTCGAGAGGCGCAGGGGAGGGGCTTCCCCTCCTCCGCCCCTGGGCGCCTGGGGAGACTCGCGTGCCAGTCACCTGCCGGTCGGGGCGCCGACTTCGCGCCTACGCACTCCACGTGGGCGCCCCGGGGCGCGCCTTTGTCTCTCCCGAGCCTTGAAAGCTAATTACATTGGGAGGGGACAGGGGTGGGGTGGGAGAGGGGGCCGCTGTCCCCATTCACTGAGCCGAGGCCGCCACTCCGCCGGCAGCCCCGCGCAGGCCTGGCCCCGAGTCACGTCTGTTGAAACCGTTTTTTTCGGCCTCGCCCCCACCCGCCTTGGCAGCCAGCCGCGCCTTTGTACGCGCCGGCGGGGGCGCCCTGGAACCCTGAACCGTCTTACGGGGAACGGGGGTGGGGGGAGGGGAGCGGCGCGGGCCCCACGCGAGGAAGGAATTTCCTGGGCCACTGCGAAAGATTGAGGCTCAGAAAGCCAGAGAGAGACGTGCGAGGAGGAAGCGGAGAGGGTGTGCGAAGCTGGAGAGGGAGTCGGAGCGCCAGCGAAAGAGGGGAGCGCTGGGGAAGGAGGAAGAGAAGGAGAGGGGGAGAAGAGAGACGCGGATGCTGGGCGCGCGACGGCAGCGGGCGGAGGAGGGGAGCGGCCGGGAACCTGCGCGCAGGGGAAGCCAGGACGGAGCGCAGCACCGGCAGGGGAGGGTTGCCGAGGGGCTGTGCCGAGGAGCCCGGGTGGGGGCGGCTGGACCGCGGGCCGCGGGACTCACAGACAGTGCGAGGCGGCGCGGGGGCCCCTCTCCCTATGCGGGGCTGGGGCGCAGGGGCTGGGCGGGGCGGGTGGGCGTCTGAGCGCGGCGCGGGCGCATTCTTCGCCTTTTCTTCCTCGGGCTCATTCCGGCCGATCGATACCTGCGCGGGACCTGCCCCCGCCGCTAATATCTTTTTAATGAGTTCGCCAGGCTTAAAGCGAGCGCGATCTGCCCTCCAGGGTGGATTTTCCCCCGGCAGATGTTTCGGGAGGAGGAGGCGCGCGGAGCTCCCGGGAGGGGGGACAAATCTCTCCCTCCGAGGGGCGAGAACAGGAGACTTTCTTCTAAAGTTCAAAAGAAAGACGGGCTTTCACTCGGCCCCCAAAAATGTATTTCTCGGCGGACAATGGGCTTCTTTCTGCGCCTCTGAGGGCCGGCGGGGCGGGCAGGGCGGGGACCCGTGCGCTTTGGCCCCGCCTGACCGACTCGCACCCCCCTCCCCCGCACCCAGGCCCGGGCCCCAGAGCGAGGGCGCAGGAGCCGCGAAGCCGGCCGCCCTTCCGAGCGTCCCCCTGAAGCGCACTGTCGGGACCTGGCTCTCCCGGAGCTAAGCCCCGGCGCACCGGCGAGAACGAAAGCGTCGTGCGGGGCCCTGGGCTGTCCCACACGCCCCCGTTCTCATAGGTGCCTCAGCCGGGCCGAAGGGACGCGCGCTGGTGCCTCAAGGGGAGGACGAACGGACCTCCGGGCTTGGGCCGCGGCCTCCTTCCCCTCGGCGCTCCGCCCTGAGCGGGGCAACAACTAGAAATTAGCCAACCCCGGGCGGCTGCCGGGCCCTGAGACTGTCTTGCCCGCCCCGGCCCAGCCACCCCTCCGGGTCGCCCCTGCTCTTCTCCTCCACTTCCCCTTCAATGTCCCTCCGTGGGGCCGTCGGCCTGCCGCGGCGGCCCTCTCTCCACTCCCGTGGGCTCAGGGGAAGAGGGCACCCGGGCGGCGAGGATGACCTCCGAAGAGCCGCGGCAAATTGATTCGTTCCGCCCGGAGCCGGGGCCGCGTGAATGGGGGCCCGGGCGGCGGCGGCAGCGGAGAAGAGGATAAAGATGTTCTCCCTGAAAGGGGGAGGGGGCGCGGAGCGGGAAGCGGGGCCATTCACTCCTGGCCCGGCCCCTCGGGAAGCCGCGCCGAAGAAAGGGGGCCGAGGCCTATTCAAGTCCTACGAGCCGCCCACAATGGACCGATATACTGAGGGCCTCTCTATTAACGCCCATGAATATTAAAGAGATCGCCAAGTGGCGGCCAGCGGGCGAGGGGGGCGACGGAGCCTGAGAGCTCCGGCCCGGCCGAGGGGAGGGGGCTTTTGCGCGAGCACATTCCGCGCCTGGGCCCCGCGGAAAATGACAAAATAACACGGGTCATCCGCTGGGAAAGCCCGGAATGTTTCCCCTCGAAATCTCCTCCCGGGGAGATGTGAGCACAGGGTCTTGCTCCCTATTTCAATGCACCTTGAGACTGGGCGCTACCTACGGGCTCCTTTTTCCCCGGGCGGGGGTCCAGGTGGGTTTTGCCGCTAGACTAGAAGCACAAAATGTGAGCGCGGTGGAGATTTGGGCGCACCAGCTGGGAGGACGTTCTGCGCTCCGCTTCTGCCCGGCTCCCAGTACTGCTCTCCGGGCTTGCGGGTCCGGAGGAGAGGAATGGGACTCCCTGGCCGCAGTCCGAGCCCGTGGTCACTGCGCCAGCGGAATCCAAGCCTCTAACTCTAAGCCGGGGTTCAGGACCCAAACGCTGCACCCCAGCACGGAGGATGCACAGACCTGAGGGCTTCCCGCAGTGGGACGTGGCCCTGGAGAGGGCAAAATCCTCGGGGTTGTCGTGGGGTAAAGTGATCTTACCCAAAGAGAGACCAAGCAAAGAAACCTCAGTTCACAAAGTCCAACTCAAACCATTGCACAGACAGGGACACCGAGGCCCAGAGAGGAAAGGGGCAGTCCACAGGACACACAGCAGTCCTTATCCCCCTTTGGTGTCCTGGAGGAACTGAGGTCGCTTTCGGGGCTTGGGAGCTGCCGCAGCGCTTGGCTCCTGGCAGCGCTCCCCGACGTCGTCTCCCTCGCTCCTAGCACTTTGTCCTCTCCACCTAGGTCTTCCCAGAAGCCAAGAAGTAGGCCCCGGTGAGGCTCCCCTGCAGGAGCCATCGGACTCCATACGCCCCCTCAGACTCGAGCTCTGGCCAGGGAGCCGATGCGACCCACAAGCTGCGTCGAAAAATGAGTGGAGGGTTCGGCGACCCTAACCCACCTCCCTCCTCAGCAGCGCTGCCCTCTGCTGGCGCCCTGCCCAACGGTCCTGCCTTCTGCCAGGTGTGCCCTTCCTTGGGCTCCAGCCTCGGGCGGACCCGGACGCAGGGTCTGAAGGCCAGCTACCGCCGCCTTCCTCCCTTTGCGTCCCAACGGGGACGGGGGATGCCGGAGACTACTGGCAGGAACTGGGGACCAGGGGTCTGGAGTCTGGACGCCAGGTGTGAGACCCTCTTAGCCAAGGCGCGTCCGGGTGGTGGAGGGGCGTCTATGCCAACAGGCGTTTGGACAGGGTCTCGCTCATGGGAGGTCAGCTCGCTGTTCTTCCACCCAAGTCCTCCGCGCTGAGGAGAAGGTCTAGGGAGTCCACACAGTCCAGCGGAGACTAATCCGTGAGCCTGACCCACGCCGAGAGGGTCCAGGCACCTCTGTTAGCGGCATCTGAAATTGTAGGCTGGTGATGGGAGCCAGAAGTGCGGCAGGTGGGGTGAGCTCCCTCACCCAGCATGTCAGGGCCTGGGGTCCGAGGCTTGAGGCTGACACTGGGGAGCCGCGAAGCCTGCAGGAAGCGGGGCCTTCCGCTGGGCTCAGCAGCTACCTGCTTCGGGAGAGGGGATCGCTGGGCTCCGAGGTGCCTCGAAACCGCCGCAAAGCAAGTCTGCTCCTGGGATGATGGGCAGGAGGAATAGAGGAGAGGAAGGGAAAGAAGAGAGAGGCAGAGGAGAAAGAAAGAACTAGGAGGCAAGAAGGAAGGGGCGCCGCAACGCCACCGGCTTCCCGAGGTTGCAGCTCAGCAAGGAGCCGGAAAGCCGGGCCGCAAGCCGAACCCGCACTGAGGCCTCTCGCGGAGCTGCCTGCAGTTTCTGAGGGACTTCGCTCTCAGGCACGCCTGCTCCCACCTAGGAAGGGTCTCGGGACCCCTTTCAATCCCCCTATATCCCGTAGGAAATTCTTTTCCCAGAGACAGGCTGCCAGGGCGATTCCTGTCCGCCCATCTCGACCCCCGACCTGGCCCCGCAAGGGCCGGGAGCCTGGCCTTCCATGAAGCTGTCTCAGGCCGGGACCAGCCCCAGCCCCGACGGCCGCTGCGGCCCCGCCTCGGCAGCCCCGTGAGCCCGCGGAGGAGTTTCGCACCCGACCGTGCACAGCGACCGAGTTGGCGCGGCCCGTATGAAGCGAAGCGCCGGCTTCAGCAGCGCAGTCTGAGCAGGGGATCCGCGTGGCAACTAGGGCTGCGCGCGAGCTCGGGGCGACTGTGGCGGCCCGGGGAGTGCAGGGCCGGAGAGGGAAGAGGACGCGGGCTCTGGCCGGGGAGGGAGAGCGGTGCAGGGCTGGGCCGGCCAGCCGGGGCAGCAAAGTAAAGGTGAACGCCGGGCTGGGCCAGGCCGGTGAACATAGATCAGGCCTGAGGGGAGCGCGGGGCCCGAAGCCAGGCGTCCCCTCTTGTCTAGCCTGGTCCCTGGAGTCCTAGAGAGCCTCGCCGCACCCCCTCCCCTTCTCCGTCCCCTCCTCTCCTCAGAGCCGGCTGAGCCTCCCTCCCTGCCCTGCGCTTCCCACGGGGAGAGAAGGAAAAACAGGAGGGGGGAGGAAGGACCAGGAAGGGGAGAGAGGAGTGGAGGGGTACTGTTTGGAGCGGTCCGCGCGCCCCCGCCCCTCGCGCTCTCGCGACGAAGGCTCCTCGAGCCCAGCCGGGTACAACAAGTCTGTCCTCCGACGTCAGGGGGTCATTAATAACCAATTAGGAGGGTCACTGCGGCTCCTATAAAGGCGCTGAGATTTTGCCAAGGGGAAGACGGCCCCGGCCGAGTGTGCGAGAGGCTAGCGCGCGCCTGAGCCCCTTGCTGCCGCTTCCCTGCAACCACCCGCCTCTCACCCACCCTGCACCCCCCGCACCCGCCTCCGCCTCCACCCGCGTCTCTCCACCCTCCGCGCCGCCTTTGCCATCTCTACAGATTTCACCATCTCTCTTCCCCTCTCCCCCTCGTTCGCTTTCCTCCCAGTCGCCCCCTCACCTCCCGCTCCCTCCTGCGTCCTCCTCCTCTCCGTCCTCCCCCTGCTCTGGTTCCTTCTCCATCGCAGCGCTCTCCTCTCGCCCCTTGGGCTCCCCTCTCGCCCGCCCACCTCCCCCGTCGGCCCGGCCGTCCCCCGGCGCCGGGGAGCTCCGGGCCGCCCATGATGGGCTCCGTGCTCCCGGCTGAGGCCCTGGTGCTCAAGACCGGGCTGAAGGCGCCGGGACTGGCGCTGGCCGAGGTTATCACCTCCGACATCCTGCACAGCTTCCTGTACGGCCGCTGGCGCAACGTGCTCGGGGAGCAGCTCTTCGAGGACAAGAGCCACCACGCCAGCCCCAAGACAGCCTTCACCGCCGAGGTGCTGGCGCAGTCCTTCTCCGGCGGTGAGTCCAGCCGTCGGAGCCCGGCGCAATCCCTCCTCCCGGCGACCCCCATTCCCGTCCTGGCGATGCGCGAGACGCGGCTGGGATACCCGGCCTCGCTGCTACTCGCGCCAACCTGGGCTCTCCCGGCGCTCGGTGCACCTCAGTTTCCCCATGGGCCAAACCAGGACGCGAGCCACCAAGCAGCTCCGCAGCCCACCCGGCTCAAGGACCGACCCCGGCGACCCCGTCGCTCGGCCCCGACGCCCCCGCCGGCCCCTCCCTTCCCCTCCTGCGCTTGAGCTGGCGGGTTCCCGGCATTTACAGCCTTACTAGGCGTGTAATAGCAGTTGACTCAAAAAGAAGGGGTTTTAAATTCATTTAGTTAACTTGGGCTTGACCCACGAAAGTTCCCACTTAAACCAAGAACTTTAAAAGGCAGCCGGGGCTGGGGAGGGGGTGGAGGGAGGGCGGGCGGGGAGAAAAAGCCGCGGGGAGAGCGAGGGAGAGAAAGAGAGAGCGAGAAAAGTTTCTTTTCTTTAAGATGTCTCAAGTTCTTATTCCTCATTCATCAACCCGCAAACAATATCTTTCCCTGGCTCTGGCATCTCTGCGCGTCGCCCTCTTTTCCCCCTTTACGATTTCTGTTCCTCTCTTAATTTACCGTGAAGACTAATTCCACTTCCATTCACGCTATGTCAACCATCTAATCCCCCTTTTTTGTAAGGGGAATTCCTCGGCCCCTTTTAAACAAGTCCCCTCCGCATTGAGCTACAATTTACTGCTACAGCATTCTTCCAGGGCTAATGAATTTAGAATTAGCAATTTCTTTCGAATGGAGCCGAATGAATGCGATCACTTTAACAGCGTGACAAATTGCCCGCCGCGCCGCAATGGACACCGTTTAACCCCCCCCTTTCAGCCGGCCCGCTCGCCGGGTATTTTCCCAGGTAGCTTAGAGGGGAACCTTGTAAGACATGGAGGCCGCCCTTGTGCGCCTCGCCGCTTCCAGCCCTGCCGCAGATGCCCGACAGGGGAACCCTCGGGGAGCTGGGGGCCGCCGCGGCTCCTCCCCGCCCAGAGAGATGACATCGGGGTTTGTCTGAGCCCGGGCGCCGCCCTCCCTGGCACCCCAGGGCCTGGGAGCAGAGAGGGACTCGGGCGCGCCCGGGGTCACACAGCGAGCGCAGAGCCTGGCCAGCTGCTGCCGGTGCTTCTTTGGCACCTCCAACACCTGCCAGCCCGAGGTCTGTCCCCAGCGCTGATCACGGCCCGGCTCCTCTGCCAGTGCCCAGAGCCTGGACACACAGTGGGCTCCCGGAAGCCGACTAGGCGAAAGAGTCTCCGGTTGGCCTTCACCTCCTTGCAGGACCTGGCCTCAGTTTCCCTGTGCATAAAACCGCTCGCTGCCGTTGGCTCATTAATTCTTAAACTTATCCGGGGCAGAGGATGGAAGAAGTTGCGAATGCTTTGAGAATTCGCGGAGAGACTAAAAACCCACTTCTAAAAATGATCCCCAACGCACCACTCGCTTTCCAGGGCACGGAGGGTCTCCAGGTTGCAAACAGAGGAGAGGTCGTTGAGCCTCCGCACATCCGACTTCCTCCACACCCGGGTGGCTTCTCTGGATTTGGGGCCGACTTGGGTTTGGCTGGTCTGGGCAGGACCGAAGCCGGGGTCCCGGCGGGGAAGGAAGGGCCGGGCCTCGGCTGCCTCGGGCTCTGACCGGTTTTCCTGGCCCCGCCGCCGCAGAAGTGCAGAAGCTGTCCAGCCTGGTGCTGCCTGCGGAGGTGATCATCGCTCAGAGCTCCATCCCTGGCGAGGGCCTCGGCATCTTCTCCAAGACGTGGATCAAGGCGGGAACCGAGATGGGCCCCTTCACCGGCCGCGTGATCGCCCCGGAGCACGTGGACATCTGCAAGAACAACAACCTCATGTGGGAGGTACGCGCGGGCTGGGGCAGAGGGGCGCAAGGGCCGGCGAGGGGCGCTGGTCGCGGGTAGGACTCGGGCGTCCGGCCGTCGCCGCTTCCACCCGGGCTGAGAGCGGCGGACACTCCTGGCCTGGACGCCCCCTGAGCCGGGACTCTAAGCCGCCCGAGCCTGGAGCTCACCCCGCCTCTAGGCTCCTCCCAACCCGTGCCGAAAATCCGACCCTCCTTCCCCCGGACACCCTGGCAGAGCAAGACTGTGGTTGGCTCCACTTGGCAGATGAGGGCACTGAGACCCAGAGCAGTCAGGTCGCTTGCCCAGGGTCCCCACGCGCCATCCCTCCAGGCCTCTTCCCAGCCACTTACATTCTTTCCCTGGCCCCGGAAGCAGCCTGGGAAGCCCCTCAAGGCCAGTCCTGGGCTGGGGGTGAGGTGGGGCTGGAAAGGAGAATGCCTGGTGAAAGCAGAATGACATTCACGATGACTGTGGCTGAGGTGGCATTGAGTCAGCTTCTGTGTCCCCAGCCTGCAGTCACGGATGACCTCAGTAGCCCATGCCTTACTGTTCCCTTTTCACGGAGGCTCCAAGAGGCTTCCATCCTAGGCCTTTCCACCCATCACAGTGCCAGTGCCAGGGAGGGCCACCCCTGTGCTTCTTCCTAACTTTGCAGAACGGGAAACCCACTGAGGCCAGACTGGTGCACACCCTTCCTAAACTCATTCCCTCGCCCGCTCCCCCACTCCAGCTCCCCCCGGCGGACCCTGGAGAAGCCCAACTTGATAGAACTGCGGGATGGCCCAGAGGCCTCTCTTGACCTCATCTCCCTCCTCTGGAGGGCTGGACCACTAACCACCTTCTCCAGTTGCTGGGTCAGGAAGTTGGGGTCCAGTTTGACCTCTGAGTGGCCTTGGCAGCTCCCGTGAAGGGGTTTAGGCCAAGCTGGAGTGCCACAGTGACCCAGCCCTCCCTCCCTGGACTCCAGGATCCTCCCTCTCTGAGGCCTGGCTGATGTTCCCAGTGCCATGGGGAGCACCTCTGCATCCCTTGAGAGAGCTCAGGGCCACTTTGTCTGGGCAGTGATCCCTTGGAGACCCTCTTCTTCTGGGGGTAGGGAGGACACGGCAACAGGAGCGTGTATCATGGTCAGCCCATAGAGCCCTGGAGACTGATCCCCTGTGGGCCACTTCCAGCCGGCTAGCTTCAGGCAAGTCCCTGCACCTCTCCAGCCTTCCTTTCTTCAGTGGGAAAATGAAGCTTTATCCACTTCCTGGGGCTGTTGTGAGGATGGAGAGTGTGTGTGTGGATGTGCCTGGAAGATGGTACACATGGCATAGCCCTGCCTTACCTGGTCCTTGATCCATCTGTGCCCAGGTGTTCAATGAGGATGGCACGGTGCGCTACTTCATCGATGCCAGCCAGGAGGACCACCGGAGCTGGATGACCTACATCAAGTGTGCACGTAACGAACAGGAGCAGAACCTGGAGGTGGTCCAGATCGGCACCAGCATCTTCTACAAGGCCATTGAGGTGTGTGTGTGTGTGTGCACTGTTGTGTAGGGACCAGCCGGTAAACCCGGCGGGGGGAGGTGTGCAGGGCAGCGGTGTCCAGGAACCACAGTGGACAGAGGGGAGCTGACACTGGCCTCGCTGGCTCTGCGCAGGCCATGGGGCTGTGGCAGACAGGTGGGTCTCCAGACATCCCGCTGTCCAGGTGTGTGACCTCCATGGGAAGCTTTCTGCTGCAGATCAGAAATGATGGAGCTCTCAACTTGACGGCATTGGGAATGTCACGAGCATCTCCATAGTGAGGTCCCCAGATGTTGGCTGACAGTTTCCTGAGGTTCAGGGGTCACAGAGACACAGAGAAGCAAGATGGGGAGAGGCGGCCCAGGGAATGCGTTGGGGTGGGAGAGAGGGCGTGTGTCTGCAGCCGTTTAGCTGTCTGATGGCCCTCATTCTGCATGCATGGGCACCAGTGGCTTACGGCTCATGACTCCAGACTCAGCGATGGCTCCCCGTGTGTCAGGCTTCTCCCAGATGCTGGATATGCAGTATGGTATTTAATCCCCACGGGGCCCCAGGAGGAGGATTCTGTGATTATTTACAGTTTACTGACCAGAAAACCAGGTCTCCCTCGGTGGCAGCAGACTTGGGGGTTTTGCCGGCCATCTGGGGGGAGTGTTAGCACTAATAGCTGCGCTTCCTGAGCCTTCTCAGAGGAGACAGACAGGGCCAGGTAACAGCCTGAACACGGTGGCTTATGCCTGTAATCCCAGCACTTTGGGAGGCTGAGGTGAGTGAATTGCCGAGGCGGGCAGATCACAAGGTCAGGAGATCGAGACCATCCTGGCTAACATGGTGAAACCCCGTCTCTACTAAAAATACAAAAAATTAGCCGGGCATGGTGGCAGGCGCCTGTAGTCCCAGCTACTCGGGAAGCTGAGGCAGGAGAATGGCGTGAACCCGGAAGGCGGAGCTTGCAGTGAGCCGAGATCACGCCACTGCACTCCAGCCTGGGCGACAGAGCGAGACTGCATCTCAAAAATAAATAAATAAATAAATAAAAATAAAAATACAAATACAAAAATTAGTGGGGCGTGGTGGCAGACGCCTGTAATCTCAGCTACTCAGGAGGCTGAGGCATGAGAATTGCTTGAACCAGGGAGGCAGAGGTTGCAGTGAGCCGAGATAGTGTCACTGCACTCCAGCCTGGGTGACACAGTGAGACTCCATCTCAAAAAAAAAAAGGCTTGGCACAGTGGCTCAAGCCTGTAATCCCAGCATTTTGGGAGGCCGAGGTGGGCAGATCACGAGGCCAGGAGATCGAGACCATCCTGGCTAACATGGTGAAACCCCGTCTCTACTAAAAAATACAAAAAATTAGCCGGGTGTGGTTGCGGGTGCCTGTAGTCCCAGCTACTCGGGAGGCTGAGGCAGGAGAATGGCGTGAACCCGGGAGGCGGAGCTTGCAGTGAGCCGAGATGGCACCACTGTACTCCAGCCTGGGTGACAGAGTGAGACTCCATCTCAAAAAAAAAAAAAAAAAAAAAAGGTAACCGGTAAATATCACTTCCTGTGGTGTGGCAGGGGTGAGGCTGAGCCAGGAAGGTTCAGAGGAGGGTGGGAAGAGGAGGGTGGGAAGAGGAGGGCTTCCTGGTAGGGCAGTGCCTGGTGGCAGAAAAGATCCAGGTATCTGGCCAGTGGCTGAGGGTGCAAACCAAGCAGAGACGTGGTTGCCAGGGCAGGCCCACACTGGGACCCTCCCTGGACAGTGTCCTTTGGCGGGAAATCTGGCCCAGGAGTAGAGGGAAGCTACCCACAGGCTGCTGGGGGTAGGCTGGTAGCAAGTGCTGTGCAGAGGCAGTCAGGTGCTTCCCACCCCACTTCTCTGCTCCCCTTGGGGTTGGGCTAGGGCTTGGTGGAGATTTTTGGGTGTTCTGGAGGAGCAGAGAGTGACCGACCTTTAGTCCATGTTCCATTTTCTCCCCAGGACTCAGACCTTGAAGCTCTTTCTAAGACCCCTGGGGGTGCCAGGGCCTAGTAGCTTCTCGGATGGGTTCCTTTGGTTGTCCCTGAATAACAACACCCCAGAGACTCTCCCAGAGGTGACAGCAGGGGGCCTAGCCTGGGTCCCAGCTGAGGGGGGTGGTGCTTGGAGGAGCAGGAGGTGGAGGATAAGAAAAAACTGAGCGGTTCCTGAATTGGGTTTGAAGTGAGGTAAGACGGCCGTGGGGCAGGGTGCAGAGAGCACTGAAGGTAGCCCAGGCCCAGGACAGAGGTGGCTCCTTGACCATCTGGCTGGGCCACCACATCCTAAAATTGGCTTCCAGTGTAGCTGAACCCCACATATAACAGAATGCACCCTCCCAGATCCTCACCCCACCACCCTCTGTCACACACATCTTCGCCTTCATACGCTCTTTCCCAGCCATCCTGATACAGATGTGATGGAGGGCTCCAACCCATCCCCTCACCAACCCCACACGCACACACATACCCACACATGTGAACACAAGAGACAGACCAGAAACGCCTACATCATTTTGGCAAGAGGGCTCCAGGCTGAGGCAGATGTGGGGGCCTGAGTCTCATCTCGCTGTGCAGGTCACACTGGCTAGAAGCCAAACAAAGTCAGGAAACATGAATAGACACTTAGAAATTCAGTCCGAAGGCAAGGAGGCTGAAGAATATCTTCAGGGAAGCATTTGAGTTTATAGGATTAGGAAAAATGGTCATCTACATTTGATCATGAATTTAAGTTGAAAAAAGAGGATCAGGCAGGGCATGGTGGCTCACGCCTGTAATCCCAGCATTTTCAGAGGATGAAGTGGATGAATCACCTGAGGTCAGGAGTTCAAGACCAGCCTGGCCAACATGGTGAAACCCCGTCTCTACTAAAAATACAAAAATTAGCCAGTCATGGTGGCGGGTGTCTGTAATCCCAGCTACTCCAGAGGCTGAGGCAGGAGAATTGCCTGAACCCAGGAGGCGGAGGTTGTAGTGAACTATCAGCAGCATTGCACTCCAGCCTGGGTGACAAAGTGAGACTCCGTCTCAACAACAACAACAACAAAAAAAGAGGATCAGGACACACACACACACACACACACACACACACACACACACACACACTGTATCACATATGTGATATAGACAGATCCACCAATTTGGCTATCAGTGCTTTTACAGAGTTAGCAAGCCTTCTAAGAAGGGGCTGTCTGCGTGAATGACAAGGAAATAAAATGCCACCCATTTTACTTTTAAAGTGGATACATTTTTTTGTGGTGGCAGATTTCTCAAACCATTTTGTCACAATGTCAGATTCCACTTACCAGATAAATTGTGTGTCTGGGTGTATGTGGCCACCCTCAAGATGAGGCCGAGGCCCAGAGCTCATGCAGCCCTTCTGGGCTAGACTGGAAGATACTGCTGTTCCCCAGGCCAATCCCTGGATGACTTGGGAATCAATTGGCTGTTTATTCTCTGCGTGTGGGTGAGTTAGCCAAGGAGAAGGACCTCTGCTGTGATGTTTTCTTAAACTTTCTGCCACTCAGAACTGCCACTCATAGTTCATAACGGTAACCCATTACTTACCAAAAATAGGAAGGAACATCTTTATTCAATAAGCAGAATATACTATTGCTGCTCTAAAACTTTCCATAAATACAGAATAGCAGCCTTCTCAACAGAGACGAAGGCAACGGGGCTTTAGAGCCCAGGCGGTCAGTGGAGGTTCCGCAGCAGGGCGTGCATCTGGCTGGATCCACTGATGTGGCCCCTGGGGAACCTCCTGGCTTACTCCAGTCACAGAATTTACTATAACTTCAGGTGCCTAAAATGACAGTTCTAGAAAGTGCCTAGCACATAGTAAGTGGCCACTAAATGTTGAAGGAATAAAAGGGTCTTAGCAACTTTTTTATTATTATTTTTTTTGAGATGGAGTCTTACTCTGTCATCTAGGCTGGAGTGCAATGGTGCAATCTTGGCTCACTGCAACCCCTGCCTCCCAGATTCAAGCAATTCTCCTGCCTCCCAAGCAGCTGAGATTACAGGTGTGTGCCACCACGCCTGGCTAATTTTTGTATTTTTAGTAGATTTCCCCATGTTGGCCAGGCTGGTCTCAGACTCCTGACCTCAAGCGATCTGCCCGCCTCGGCCTCCCAAAGTGCTGGGATTACAGGCGTGAGCCACTGCACCTGGCCAGCAACTATTAAAAAATAGAATCTGCTCAGCCCTCGGGGTGCTGCTCTCTGTTACTATCCTCATTTTTATGACGGCGAAACTGAAATGTTACGGAGATTACGGGAAGTTGCTGAGCTGCGATGGGAACCTAGGCCCATCTGAGCCCTGAGCTGGAGTGCTGAGTCACCATGCCATGTGGCCTCCCTGGCCAATATCTATTTGCTGGAACTCTATTAATTGGTGTGTCGGGACATCTGTGGTACAATGGAAATTGATGTTTGTCCAGATGACATTGAGATCCTTTTACACTGGGGTTTCAGACCCTGTGGAGAAGGGGAGGGTATTTGCAGTCTCCTGGGAGCATGTTCAGTGGCAGGATGTGAATTTACAGCAGGAGAACAAACCAAAAATTCTGTCATTTCCAATTTATAATAAAAATTCAGAAAGTGGGGAAGGACAGATCTTCTGGGCTGATAGGGCCCAGAGAAGCACGTTGACAGGGCATGTCCATTTGTCAAAAGAGACTCGGGCGCTGGTATTCCAGAGTTTTACTGATGTGGATTTTGTGGTACAGGACTCAGTTCCTTTGGGAATTGCTTTGTTTGTTTTGTGTCCTGAGCCTATCCCTGCTCCCCAGAAAAGTGAATGACCAGCTGATCCTGCTTCTCCAAGCCCCAGCAGAGAGTCCCAGCCAGCCAGGCCAGGCCTGAGTCTCAGCAGTAAAGAGTGCTGCCGAGGGGGCCTAGAGGGCACGGTGGCTGTTCTTTGCATCCAGGCGGTCAGCTGGCGGGACCCCGGGAGCCTCTGCACAGTGATCCCAGGGTTCCAGGGAAGAAGCTGCAGGTTCCTGGGTTTCCCGGGCTTGATAGTAGAAGTTTGTTGATGGCGGGTGCCTGGGAGCAGGCAGACACCAGAAGCCTGGGCACGGGGCACAGAAGGGCTGAGAGAGACTCCCAGTTCCCAGCTTCTGGGCAGTTGGGGCTGCTGGCTTACAGCTGTCTGGAAATATGTGTCATTCTCAATTCCAGCAGCCTCTTTTTTTTTTCTTTTGGAGACAATCTTGCTCTGTCTCTGAGGCTGGAGTGCTCAGCTCACTGCAACCTCCACCTCCTGGGTTCAGGTGATTAAACAATTCTCGTGCCTCAGCCACCTGAATAGATGGGAGTACAGGCATGTGCCACCACTCACGGCTAATTTTTTTTTTTTTTTTTTTTTTTTTTGAGACAGAGTTTCACTCTTGTTGCCCAGGCTGGAGTGCAATGATGCCATCTTGGCTCACCGCAACCTCTGCCTCCTGGATTCAAGCGATTCTCCTGCCTCAGCCTCCTGCGTAGCTGGGATTACAGGCATGCGCCAGCACTCCCGGCTAATTTTGTATTTTAAGTAGACACAGGGTTTCTCCATGTTGGCCAGGCTGGTCTCGAACTCCCAACCTCAGGTGATTCGCCCACCTTGGCCTCCCAAAGTGCTGGGATTACAGGCCTGAGCCACCGAGCCTGGCTATTATTTTTTCTTTTTGTTTTTCTTTTCTTTCTTTCTTTCTTTTTTTTTTTTTTTTTTTTTTGAGACAGAGTCTTGCTCTGTCTCCCAGGCTGGAGTGCAATGGCGCCATCTCAGCCTACTGCAACCTCTGCCTCCCAGGTTCAAGAGATTCTCCTGCCTCAGCCTCCCAAATAGCTGGGACTACAGGTACATGCCACCATACCCAGCTAATTTTTGTATTTTTAGTAGAGACAGGGTTTCACTATGTTAGCTAGGCTGATCTCAAACTCCTGACCTCGTTATCTGCCCACCTCGGCCCCCCAAAGTGCTGGGATTACAGGCGTGAGCCACTGCGCCCGGCCCAATTTTTGTATTTTTAGTAGAAACAGGGTTTCACCATGTTGGCCAGGCTGGTCTTGAACCCCTGGCCTCAAGTGATCTACCCACCTCGGCCTCTCAAAATGCTGGGATTACAGGTGAGAGCCACCACACCCAAACTGTAGGCTCTTCTTAACTGATTTTCTTGCTTTTAAAAGATAATTTGTGTGTGTGTGTGTGTGTGTGTGTGTGTGTGTGTGTGTGTATAGAAGTAATATGTGCTCATTATTTTTTAAAAAGTCAGAGGCATGATGTAGATGGCATCATGCTACTCTCCATGAACTGTAAGTCAGCATTTTAAAATAGTCTCGAAATGGCAAACGCTTCTGGGGAAAGACAAGCAGCAAACCAGCGACAGTGGCTGGCATCCAGAGTGGCAGAGAGTGACTGCTCATTTCATACCATGTTATATGTTTATACAATGCGGTCCATATGTCTGCATCGCTGTTTTAATTTTTAAATTCATTAGTAAAATTAATTTTAGTACATTAAAAGCGTTCTTAGTAAATAAATGACTCACCCTTATACTGCAATAGTCACCATCAGAGTTCTTATTTTATTTATTTTTTGAGATGGAGTTTCACTTTGTTGGTCGGACAGTAGGGCAGTGGCATGATCTCAGCTCACTGCAACCTCCGCCTCCCAAGTTCAGGCGATTCTCCTGCCTCAGCCTCCTGAGCAGGTGGGATTACAGGTGCCCACCACCACGCCTGGCTAATTTTTGTATTTTTGGTAGAGACGGGGTTTCACCATGTTGGCCAGGCTGGTCTCAAACTCCTGACCTCAAGTGATCTGCCCGCCTCGGCCTCCCAAAGTGCTGGGATTACAGGCATGAGCCACTGCACCCAGCCTACTGTTACTGTATTTATATTTAATAATAGTTGTTTTCAATTAAAATTAAAAGGCCGGTGTTGGCTTAGTATTTGATGACCCCCAGGCCTGGAGCCTGGAGGTGGAGTTCAGCTGGGGGCTTGCTGAGCCTCCCATCTCATCCCACATCTGTGCTGGAGGAGTTGGTTTCCCTTCTGGGGGAGATGGGGCTGGGAATTGCGGGTACCTGCATGAGGCTGGTGTCCTCGGAGCATTCGGGCCCAGCCTGTGCTCTTGCTGGACACTGAAGACAGAACCTCAGTCACCCTGGGCTTCCACCGAACCAGCGGCCTCTGCAGCTCTGCTGGCTCAGTGAGCACTCCTGCAGGGACCTGGATGCGCCAGAAACCGCTGCCAGCTTCTCTGAGAGGTTGGCGAGCTCCAGGAAAAACAATCACTGGCGCTTCCATGTCTCGATTATGCAAAGAGCTTTATGCATATGCTCCACTGCACCCCAAACACCACTCAGTGAGGCCATGGCAATGTGAGGAAACAGGCCCCACGACGTGAGGCGACTTGCCCGAGGTGACTTGCTCAGCAGATGGGGAGCCCTAGTGGATCCCAACATGTCTGACTCCAGACTGAGCAGGAACCCCCTGTGGGGTGTGTTCAGTGGTCTGGGGGAGGGTGCTGATTGCTTTGGAAGAACCATGACATCAACGTGTCCGGTTTCATCCAAGACTGGAAACCAAGGGTCAGGACAATGTTGGAGGTGACTTACAACCAGAGTCTTAGAGTTGGGGGGAAACTCAGGGACCGTGTTCCCTCCCTGACCCCCTCATTTGAGGAACACAGAAAGGCAGAGTGACTTGCCTAAGGTCACACATGGACCTGGTGACAGAGGGCTCATCTGCACCATCTCATAGACAGACTTCCTTCACAATTAATTTATGTTAAATATTTCAATTCCATTATCTGCTTTTCTGGGAGGTTCACAAAACCTCTTCCTTCCACCCCAGTGAGGTCTGGAAAAAAAGTAGAATTTTTAAAAATGTAAAAAACAAAAAAAAAGCTGGGCGCGGTGGCTCACACCTGTAATCCCAGCAATTTGGGAGACCGAGGCGGGCGGATCACGAGATCAGGAGATCGAGACCATCCTGGCTAACACGGTGAAACCCCGTCTCTACTAAAAATACAAAAAATTAGCCGGGCGTGGGTGTGGTGGCGGGCACCTGTAGTCCCAGCTACTCAGGAGGCTGAGGCAGGAGAATGGCGTGAACCCAGGAGGTGGAGCTTGCAGTGAGCCAAGATCGCGCCACTGCACTCCAGCCTGGGCGACAGCGCGAGACTCCGTCTCAAAAAAAAACAAAAAAGAAAAACAAAAAAAACCACGCAAATCAGAACCTCTTTCTTCTCTGCCCCTTTCCAGCAGGGGCCTCCAGCTCTGACCTGCTGGCCTCCTGGACAGTGGCCATTACTGTGAATGAGCAGAGAGGTCACCAGGGATCTCGCTGTGGTGCCACATTCTAATCTGTCCACTTTCTTGGAGGCACCGTCTAACTTCCTGTGGCTTCTGGGACTGCGATTCATGTTTCCACATTGGCTTCTCGTCATTTACTAACCCTAAGGCTCGCCATGATGCCCCGTGAACCATGGGGGCATGTGGAAATGGATGTGGTGACTCTAGGCTGAGTCTCAGGAGGATGGCTGTCACCTAAGCCCCCTCACACTCTCCTGTTCCCACCCCTTTTCTTTCGACCTCCCCTTCTTCTTCTTTTTTTTTTCCTTGAGACAGGGTCTTGCTCTGTCACCCAGACTGGAGTGGTCACCCAGGCTGGAGTGTAGTGGTGCAATCTCGGCTTACTGCAACCTCTGCCTCCTGGGTTCAAGCAGTTCTGCCTCAGCCTCCCAAGTAGCTGGGACTACAGGCATGCGCCACCGCGCCTGGCTAATTTTTCTATTTTTTTGTAGAGACAGGGTTTTGCTATGTTGCCCAGGCTAGTCTCAAACTCCTGGCCTCAAGTAATCCACCCGCCTCAGCCTCCCAAAGTGCTAGGATTACAGGCATGAGCCACCACGCCCGACCTCCACTTTCCCTTCTTTTCAGGGGTGAGCAGAGCTTGCTGCAATGGTCTGAGGGTCTTCCAGGCTCTGACCAGAGGAAGGAAGACGTAGTGAACGCCAGAGTTCTGAGTGTGGGCTCTGCAGGCTGAACCAAGCAGACACAGAGGGGGCCCTGTCTCTGACCACAGAAGCCAACGCGGGGTCCTGGCCTGGTTTCAGACACCTCTAGATGGAATCCCATGCGATCTTTTGTGCTTCAACTAAAAAAGGACCTGCCAGGAAAACAAACCAGCTGTTGCCTGGGGGTGTCTGGGTTTCTCTGGGCACATCGGATAGTGGCCCCCAGGGGAAGGTGCCAAGGCCAGCACTTCTGGAGTCCAGGCCTTGGGAGAGTGATAGGATGTCCCTTCTCTCATACGCCCTGCCTGGCTAGGGCCTGGAGCTTCCCCACTTGGGAGGGGTAACTGGCTTCCATAAGAGGCCTGGCAGGCAGGCCCCTTGGGATGTCCCGGAGTGTGTGGCATTTATGATCAGTGCCACCCCAGAAGCAGGCCCCTTACGCCTCCCTGGATCATCACTGCAAAACCCTCTGACCAACATCCTTTGCCATGAGCCTGGGGCAGGTCCTCCCCGAGAGCATCAGAGCCCCAACATCATTTGCGGGGTTCTCTGTCATTGACCTAGGACGCGGTGAACTGGACTCTGTGTAAGGCAGTGTACCCCAATGTTTCCTGGGGTGGAGGTGTTCATCCATCCGAATGCTTCTTTTTTAGCATCTGCCGTGTGCACAGAGACACTCAGAGCCCTGTGCTTGGTCGGGAAGTACCTGTGATGTGGGATGCCTATGGGAGCTTTGGATAAGAGATGTTTCCGGAACATTATCGCCTCAGGGTATAGCCAAGTACCCTGGGGTGCCCCACAGCCCACCCTTCTTGGAAACATCTGGCTCAGCCCTGCAGCCCTGGGGGCTGGCTGACTCTAGTTCCCCGGGGTAAGAATGGAAAAGGTTTCTAGTTTTCCATCTCCCATTACTTCTGCTTGCTGTGAGGCGTCCACTCTGGTGCTGTCAGCTTGGAAGCACTCCTGTGGCTGGAGCTTGGACAGAGATGGCCTGGGCAGGGAGAGGGGGGCAGAGGGGCTCGACACCCCAGGGACTTCCGTGTTTGTGCAGCTTCCCGGGACAGCTCAGTGGAAATGGGACTGTGTGGCTTTCTCAGGGCTGAGACTGGGTCCGGGTCTCCTGGCTGTGGAGGGGTGCTCAGAGACCCCCAACTCTCACCTCCCAGCTGCGGCCTCCCTGACCTCCTCTTGCCTTCTTCCCTGCAGATGATCCCACCTGACCAGGAACTGCTGGTGTGGTACGGAAACTCACACAACACCTTCCTGGGGATCCCAGGTGTGCCCGGGCTAGAGGAGGACCAGAAAAAGAACAAGCATGGTAGGTGTTCCCCATGGGGCCGCTGAGACACAGACCCATGGAGAGGGGAGCCCAGGGAGGGGAGAGAGAGAATGAGAGAGGCAGAGAGGCTCTTGGCCTCCAGGGACCTTGGTTCAATGTCTGGCAGCATTGAGCAGATCAGACATACAGGTCCAAGGAGGCTGATGCCCCTGGAGCTGCCGCATGGGCCGGGCATGGGTGGGAGATGGTCCTCCTGCTTCCTGGCCAGAATAGACTGTCTGGGGGGTATGTGGGGGAGACCAGAGAGGCAATGAGGTGTGACAGGAGAAGAAAGGAGCTGGGCAGCAGGAGCCTGGATTGAGTTCTAGTTCTGCTGTACAATCTTGGAAATGTCCTGTGCCTCAGTTTCCTCACCTGTAAAGGGAAGGTCCTAGGCAAGATAATCTCTAAGTTCCCTTCTGGTTCTGACAACCTGTATATTTCCTTGCCCTGTCGATGATGTCTGGTGCAGGGCCTGGCACAGAGTAGATGCTCCGTATAAGCCTGTTGAAGGAAGGCAGGACAGACTGTGCCTGTGTGTGTGTCAGGGGGACACTGCCCATCACAGCAGAGACCATTTGCTCGACAACTATTTCTTGCCAAGAATTGGGCTAAACCTTTGGCAGATATCATCCCACTGGGTATTCATAAAACCTCTGTGTATTTTTTTTCTTTTTCTTTCTTTCTTCCTTTTTTTTTTTTTTTTTTTTGAGACTGAGTTTCACTCTGTCACCCAGGCTGGAACGCAGTGGCGTGATCTTGGCTCATTGCAACCTCTGCCTCCCAGGTTCAAGCAATTCTTCTGCCTCAGCCTCCCGAGTAGTTGGGATTACAGGCGTGTGCCACCATGCCCAGCTAATCTTTGCATTTGTAGTAGAGATGGGGTTTTGTTATGTTGGCCAAGCTAGTCTCAAACTCCTGACCTCAAGCGATCTGCCCACTTTGGCCTCCCAAAGTGCTGAGATTACAGGCGTAAGCCACGGCACCTGGCCTGTGAAATTTGGTTATCCATATTTTTATTTTATTTAACTTATTTTTGAGACAGAGTCTCTCTCTGTCACCCAGGCTGGAGTGCAGTGGCACTATCTTGGTTCACTACAGCCTCAACCACCTGGGCTCAAGCTATCCTCCCATCTCAGCCTCCCAGGTAGCTGGGACCACAGTCGTGCACCACCACACCTGGCTAATTTTTTAAATTTATTGTAGAGATGGGGTCTCGCCATGTTGCCCAGCTGGTCTGGAACTCCTGGGCTCAAATGATCCTCCTGCCTCTGCCTCCCAAAGTGCTGGGATTACAGGCATGAGGCACCGTGGTCAGCGGTCCTTATTTTTGGAGGATGAACCTGAGCTGGTGAGCTACTGTTTATTAAGTCCTTGCTCTGCAGCTGATGTTTTACAAACATTAATTTCTCTAGGCCGGGCATGGTGGCTTATGCCTATAATCCCAGTACTTTGGGAAGCAGAGACAGGAGGATCACTCGAGCCCAGGAGTTCCAGACCAGCCTGGTCAACATGGCAAGACCCCATCTCTACAAAAAATTTAAAAGTTAGCCAGGTGTGCTGGCACGAGCCTGTGGTCCTAGCTGCCTGGGAGGCTGAGGTGGGAGGATCGCTTGAACCCGGGAGGTCGAGGCTACAGTGAGCTGAGATGGCACCACTGCACTCCAGCCTGTGTGACAGAGCCAGACCCTGTTTCAAAAAAATAAATAAAATCTTTTTGGCCGGGCGCTGTGGCTGTAATCCCAGCACTTTGGGAGGCCGAGGTGGGTGGATCTCGAGGTCAAGAGATCGAGACCATCCTGGCCAACATGGTGAAACCCCGTCTGTACTAAAAATAGAAAAATTAGCTGGGCGTGGTGGTGCACACCTGTATTCCCAGGGAAGCTGAGGCAGGAGAACCACTTGAACCCAGGAGGCGAAGGCTGCAGTGAGCCGAGATCGCGCCACTGCACTCCAGCCTGGAGACAGAGGGAGACTCCGTCTAAAAAAAAAAAATATATATATATATATATATATATATTTTTTTTTTTTTTAACTGATCCTTACCATGTTAGTATTATCTCCATTTCAGGAAGGAGAAAACCGAGGCGCAGTTCCATGGTACAGAGTAGGCATTCAGTAAATGTTTGTGGGATGAGTTAATGAAAGGTTTGGGGGCAGGGGTCATCACAGTTGCTCCCCTTTACAGAAGGCTGCTCCAATCCAGGCACCTCTCAGGCACTGGCTAAGGCAGGTCGGGTGCTTAGCGCAGAGACCTTTCATAGACGTCTTTTCTCATCCTCTCGGGCAATCGTACGCCCGAAAAGGCAGTGCTAGCTTTCCATTTTACAGATGAGAAAGCTGAGGTTTAGCTAGGCTGAGTCGCTAAGTCCCCGAGGTCTCGCATCGCGATCGGGAGTCCAACTCCCTATTGGACCCCCCAGCCGGGGTACCCTTCGCTGTCCCTCCAGTCCGTCTGCCACCGTCCAAGCAGCACCCACCCTCAAGGACGGACCGGCCCCGGGCTGGGGGCGCTGAGGGCCCGGGCTGCGGGGCGCCGGTTCTAACGGGGCTGCTCTCTCCCCTTCTCCGTCTCCCTTCCCCCGCCCCGCCCCGCCCCGCGGCCAGAGGACTTCCACCCGGCGGACTCGGCGGCTGGCCCCGCGGGCCGCATGCGATGCGTCATCTGCCACCGCGGCTTCAACTCGCGCAGCAACCTGCGCTCGCACATGCGCATCCACACGCTGGACAAGCCCTTCGTGTGCCGCTTCTGCAACCGCCGCTTCAGCCAGTCGTCCACGCTGCGCAACCACGTGCGCCTGCACACGGGCGAGCGCCCCTACAAGTGCCAGGTGTGCCAGAGCGCCTACTCGCAGCTGGCCGGCCTGCGCGCCCACCAGAAGAGCGCGCGGCACCGGCCGCCCAGCACCGCGCTGCAGGCACACTCGCCCGCGCTGCCCGCCCCGCACGCGCACGCGCCCGCGCTCGCCGCCGCCGCCGCCGCCGCCGCCGCCGCCGCCGCGCACCACCTGCCGGCCATGGTGCTGTGAGCGCGCCCGCGCCCCCGCCGGGCCCCGCGCGCTCCTGGGTCCCCGGCACCCCGGCCCCGCAGCGCGACTCGCCCTCCAGCCCCAACCCCCGGCCCGGCGCCGCCGCGGAGCCCCGCGCGCTGGGGTTGCGCCCCGGAGGCGGATCTCAGGCACCCCCGCCTTGGCCCGTGTCGCAGATGAGGACACTGAGGGCGGCGTCCCTCACCCAGGCCACGCAGCTGGTGCGGCTGTTCGGCCGCCTCCTCTGGGAGGGGGTCCCCCTGCCTGGCCTCGCCCCCGAGTCTCCCTGCTGCTGTAGAGCCGGGCGCCCAGGCCGGCATCCCCCTCGTGGGTGGCAGGAGAGCGGACTTAGAGCCCCCGAGGGCCCCTCAGCAGAGGAAGGGGAGTCCCCTCCTCCGCCACCGAGAGTCCTGTGCTTCGGAATGAAGGGAGGGCGACCTCCTTGTCCGGGTGTGGTCGGGCGCGGGGGTTGTGGGGGCGCCATCTCCTCTTCCGGCCCCTGGGACTGGTGTCCTGAAGTGTCGGGAGTCCTTACGCAACCTTGACATGTGCGGGCTACTGGGGTCCATCGGCAGCGGGAAGAGACCCGGAGAGATGCATCTTCTGGGCCCTTCTCTCCTTTAGGCCAGCTTACCCCCAAACCTGGCTCCTGGGGACGGATGAGGAAGGAGCTCTTTGCAGTGCACCAGGCACGTTGAGAGTGGAGGCACAATGGAAATCCTCTGTGGGACCCCGAGCAAGACCCTGCACCTCTTTGGGCCTCAGTTTCCCCATCTGTAAAATGAAGGAGTTGGACCAATGCCCCCTCCCCTTCAGCTGTGACATCGTGCCTGGGAAGGCGAAATATACCCCCAGCCCCTTCCAACACACACACTCCAGCGAGAGGAGGGCAAGACTGGAACCGCTGCCCGAGAGGTTAAGGTGGCTTCTGTGGCCACGAAGCGCTTCCGAGCTGTGCCCAGTCCCGGGAATTCCGCCCAGTCTGCCCACACTTCCCTCGGTCCCTGCCCGTTTCCTCAAATTCGGGCCGTGCGCGCCCTCTGGTGTCGCCTCTCACACTTTGCAGTCATTTACCAGGATTCCCGTAGGGCGTTTTGTAAAATAAACTATAATATTAATGAAAAGTATAAAATGTATAGAGTTTTCAAGAAACTGCGTTCTACTTCCAGAAGATGGTCACTTTAACCTTGTAAATATTTATCTAAAATGATATTTACAAAACTGTAATATATTATTATTTGATTGTATATGTACAACTGTAAATACATTTGTACCTCTCTTGTATTCTAAAATAAAAATTACTTGGAACATTTATCATTTAGCATCTGAATGGGTGGACACTTTTATCTGTAGGAAGGAAATATAGAAAGTGTCTAGAAGCTGGAAAGGGGCGGGTAAGCGTTGTTCCACTTACTGGTGTGTACAGGAAAATTCTCTCTGTCACAACTGGGATGTCAGAGCTCAGTGAGATGGGCCACAGTGCAAAGCAACCGGAAATCTTGAAAGGGGCCAGGCAGATTTCTCCCGGTTTCCAGCTGGCTCAAACATCAGTGCCTTATTTTGTAACTTCTCCCAAATATTTACTTTTTTTTTTTTTTTTCATTTTAATGGCCAACTCAAAGGAGTTCAAGCAGCCAGTGGGAATGGGCCAAAATGGCCACCAAGTGCCCTCCCAATGCCTAGACTCTCCAAATGTTCTGGGCACCCATTTCCAGACCCTCTTGAAGAAGACCAGGGAGCAGGAAGACCTCTAGTTAAAGCCAGAGGGCTTCATGGTTCCTATAGGGCCAGTCTCACCTCTCCTCTCCAGGAAGGAGGTGCGTGCAGGGGAGTGTGAGTTCACACCTGTGCTCCAGCATACACCAGCCATGAGGGTGTCATCGTCCAACCCACTGGGTGTGTGGTTTCCTGGCATCCCGCAGATACAACTCTGCATCTTCATCCAGCACACGTGTGCACACATGTGCACCTGCAGACACTTGGGAATTTACACTTGGACACACAGCCCAGCCCCACTTGGAACTTCAGGGGTGTACTCCTAAAGACCCCCTTACTTTGAGTGATTTGTCTTGGACCCTGGAAATGGAGGCACAGGCAGGGTTGGACACCTGATGAGTTCACTTGCAGGCCCCATCTGGGGTTCACTCCCTCAGGCCAGTGGGGGAAGTCACCTTTGGTTCTCCTCCCACTGGAACCTCGCTTCTCCTTTGACACCCCACCATTAGGCTCCCAATGCCTCCGGTGGCCCCTGCATTCCCCCCTCCCATGCAGCCCCCATCCAGGCCTCTTGTTCCCTTGACCAAAGCCTATCTGTCCTGAGTCCCCCTCCCTTGGATGCCAAGGGGTGAAAAGGCAGGTGCTTTTCCTGCCCACATGTTGAGACTCCCAGGAAATAATTCTGGCTTCCTGAAGTAGAGCCTCCCAGAGTCAGAACTCAGAGAGGTCAGTGAGGCCCTTGAACAAAAATCGAAATTGTTTTCTGTGGGTCATTCTGTCCTGTGAAGTCTCAGCTAACAGATCCAAGGATCCCCATCCCAGGCTCCAGAACCCACCTGGTGGTAGCTGGCTGTAACTGCAGACCAAGGTGCCTCTGGTCTGCCCACAGATCTGTTTCCACAGAAGTGTGCTGCCAGGGCCTGGGATACCAGGGTGAAAGGATGTGACTTGTGATTTGCACGCTGGAGGGAGGCATGATGCTGAAAAGCCTAACCTCTTACTTTGCTTGCATTTCCAGCAGAGGCCTAAGGCCCCTTTCCTGAGATTGCAGCCCCCCTAATCAAAGACATGCAAACACAGCCATGGCAGTTTCTGTGGGCCAGCCCTGGGCTTGGGGCTTTATTTTTATTTTTATTTTTGAGATGGAGCTTCACTTTTGTTGCACAGGCTGGAGTGCAATGGCTCACTGCAGTCTCTGCCTCCAGGTTCAAGCGATTCTCCTGCCTCAGCCTCCCAAGTAGCTGGGATTACAAGCACCCGCCAGCACGCCCAGCTAATTTTTTGTATTTTTAGTAGAGATGGGGTTTCACCATGTTGGCCAGGCTTGTCTTGAACTCCTGACCTCAGGTGATCCACCCACCTTGGCCTCCCAAAGTGCTGGGATTACAGGCATGAGTCCAGCCGGTCTTAGGGCTTTAAACATATGTATTCCAGAAATCCTCCTCACAAACCCACAAGTGGATACTACCCCCCAATCTTTTCCCCCAATGCTCTTTTAATCAATGTCCATGTGAAGTACAACAAAACAGAGGCATAGAGAGAGTAAATAATTTGCCACATCACTCATTCAGTGAGTGGCAGAGTGGGGTTCCCTTCAAGTGTCTGACCCCAGAAGCCACGCCTGTGACTATTAGGCCACATCACCTCCTGGTCAGCCCGCAGATTCAGTCCAAAGGGCTTTCTGCATCTCCCATGGGGATGCAGTGTAGTCCAGCACTGTATATTGACCTTGTATTTTTCAACCTAGCAAAACTCACTTATTCATTCCTGTACTTTTTTGTACATTCCTTAGGACTTTCTAAGCACATGATCATGTTACCAGTGAATAAAAACACTTTTACCTGTTCCATCCTAATTGGGATGTCTTTTATTTCTTTTTCTTGCCTTATTGCATGGTCCAAGACCTCCAGCAATAGAAGATTCTAGATAGAGGCCAATGATCTGGGTCTGAAACTCCACTCTGCCATTCACTAGCTGTGTGATCTTGGGCAAGTCAATTAATATCTCTGTGCCTCAGGTTCCTCACATGTAAAGTGGAGTGATATTTAGCTCCTAAGGTTGACATGAGGATCAAATGGGATAATGTCTATATGTGAATACATACATGACTCAGTGCTTGGCACATAGTATGTGCTCAATAAATTGGAATCTTTGTTAATACAAGCATGCCTTTGGCGGGTGAGAAGGGTGGCAGATGCTCCTACCACTCACCCCACTGGGCAGCCCCCAGAGGACATCTGAGGCAGCTGTTTGCACTCCCTTCCTTCAGCCCTTTCTGATGCCCATTCTTTTTTTTTTTTTTTTTTTTTTTAGACGGAGTCTTGCTCTGTCTCCTAGGCTGGAGTGCAGTGGCACGATCTCAGCTCACTGCAACCTCTGCCTGCTCAGTTCAAGCAATTCTCCTATTCTCCTGCCTCAGCCTCTCAAGTAGCTGTGACTACAGGCATGCACCACTATGCCCGGCTAATTTTTTATATTTTTAGTAGAGATAGGGTTTCACCACATTGGCCAGGCTGGTCTCGAACTCCTGACCTCCCAAAGTGCTGGGATTACAGATGTGAGCCACCGCGCTCGGCCGATGCCCACTATTCTTGAATCCCTTGAACTAGAGGAACGGACACTCTGAGTTTCCAGCTTCCCTCCTGCCTTGCAGGTGGCCTGCTGGGATGTATGTCTGTGGATGAGCAGAGGAAGTTATGGACAGTGGCAGGTTAGTTGCCAGGCATGGCTGTTTCTTCACAATATGATTGCCTCAGGATAGTCAGACTTCTTATGTGTCAGCTCAGGGCTTCAAAGGCAAGTGTTTCAAGAGAACCAGGAGGGCCGGGCGCAGTGGCTCACGCCTGTAATCTCAGCACTTTGGGAGGCCGAGGCGGGCGGATCATGAGGTCAGGAGATTGAGACCATTCTGGCTAACATGGTGAAACCCCATCTCTACTAAAAACACAAACAATTAGCCAGGCGTGGTGGCGGGTGCCTGTAGTCCCAGCTACTCAGGAGGCTGAGGCAGGAGAATGGCATGAATCTGGGAGGTGGAGCTTGCAGTGAGCTGAGATCAGGCCACTGCACTCCAGCCTGGGCTACAGAGTGAGACTCTGTCTCAAAAAAAAAAAAAAAAAAAAAAAAAAAAGGAGAACCAGGAGGAAGTGGCATGGTCTATTCTGACCTAGCTTTTGAAGTCACACAGAGGCATTTCTGACATATGCTGTCCATCAAAGCAGTCAGAATCCTGTCCTGTGGCAGGAGAGGATGCACAGAACCCACTTCTTTTTTTTTTTTTTTTTTTTTTTAATACGGAGTTTTGCTCTTCTTGCCCAGGCTGCGGTGCAGTGGCACAATCTCGGCTCACTGCAACCTCTGCCTCCTGGGTTCGAGCAATTCTCCTGCCTCAGCCTCCCGAGTAGCTGGGATTACAGGCGCCTGCCACCACACCTGGCTAATTTTGTGTTTTTAGTAGAGACGGGGTTTTACCATGTTGGTGAGGCTGGTCTCGAGCTCCCGACCTCAAGTGATCCACAGGCCTCAGCCTCCCAAAGTGCTGGGATTACAGGCCTGAGCCACCACTCCTGGCCAGACCCCACTTCTTGATTGAAGAAGTATGAAAATATTCAGGGACATGCTTAATATGACCATAGACATTGACACTGTTTCTAATACTTTCAGAACAAGTGATGCTTTGATGAGCATCCTTAGGCTGAAATCTGTGTGCACGTCTCTGCTTAGAAAGTTTATGCAGTTGGCCAGGCGTAGTGGTTCACGCCTATAGTCCCAGCACTTTGGGAGGCACAGGTGGGCGGATCACTTGAGGCTGGGAGTTCGACACCAGCCTGGCCAACATGGGGAAACCCCAGCTCTACTGAAAATATAAAAATTAGCTGGGCGTGGTGGCAGGCGCCTATAATCCCACCTACTTGGGAGGCTGAGGCACAAGAATCACTTGAGCCTGGGAAGTGGAAGTTGCAGTGCGCCAAGATCGCACCATTGTACTCCAGCGAGACTCTGTCTCAAAAAAAAAAAAAAAAAAAGGTTTATGCAGTTATTTTTACCATTTTACTATTTCAATGGAACACGAGGTGAACCCAGTAGGTAGATGAGGATTGAACCAAGAGTTTTGGGCTAGAGAGTCCCTGCTGCCTCTGTTTTCATGTTTTTCAGAATTTCCTTGCCAGTTACTTTCACCTGGAGTTCACCTGTTCCCCACCCCAACTCCTCAGGGTCCATGGTTCCCTCATTTCAAGGCTCATTCAAATGCTTCCTCTGTCAGGCAAGCTTTTCTGTCTGTCCTCCCTCTCCCTTCCCCATCTTTGAACATCTTAGCACTTTGATGACTGGGGCCTCAAATGATCCAGCTCTGTGGTCCCACAGCACATAGCTGGTGCCCAGCAAATGCCTGCTGAAAAAGTTTATTCATCAATTCAACAGAGATTTACTGAGAGATTTGTTGTTGTTGTTGTTGTTTGTTTGTTTGTTTTAATGGAGTCTCACTCTGTCAACCAGGCTTGAGTGGAATGGCACAATCTCGGCTCACTGCAACCTCCACCTCCCAGGTTCAAGCAATTCTCCTGTCTCAGCCCCTTGAGTAGCTGAGATTACAGGCACCTGCCACCATGCCCGGCTAATTTTTGTATTTTTAGTAGAGATAGTGTTTCACCATGTTGGCCAGGCTGGTCTTGAACTCCTGACCTCAAGTGATCCACCCACCCAGCCTCCTACAGAGCTGGGATTACAGACGTGAGCCACTGCGCCCAGCAGAGAGCTGTTTCAAGGGTCCTGAAATCTGACATGGTATGCCAACATGGAAATCTTTGTTCTAGAAACAAGAGGCAGGGTGCGCCATGCAGAGCCGCACAGGAAAGCACCGGGTTGGTCAGGAGGCAGAGGGAAGGAGGGGTAAACATGAGCAAGAGCCTTTATTGTGGTTTCCATGGGAAGGAATGGGTGAGGCAAGGTAAGCAGCCTTAGGATTGGTTGGTTTGAATAACTGCAGTAGGTGCTGGGGTTTATATAAGGGCTTTCCCTAGCTGTCTGGTGTCTGGCCTTGGGATGATCAGGGCAGTTGGATACTGGCCCTGAGTAAGAGAGCCTAATAAAGGAGGTGTTTGTGGGTGTGGGCTCTGGATTGGGTGGCATGCATTTGCAAGGGACCTCCTGGGTGAGTTCTTCACTATCTCCAGGAACCAGTTAACCCTGGTTGGGGCAGTCCCTCTGGGAAGAGCAAGTCCCCAAGATCTCAAAGCATCTGAGTACAGAAAAGCAAAGGCTCTGGGCACAGTGGCTCATACCTGTAATCCCAGCACTTTGGGAGGCCGAGGCGGGTGGATCACCAGGTTAGGAGTTCGAGAACAGCCTGGCCAACATGGTGAAACCCCGTCTCTACTAAAAATACAGAAATTAGCCAGGCGTGGTGGCAGGTGCCTAAAATCCCAGCTACTCAGGAGGCTGCAGTAGGTTCAAGAGGAGAATCGCTTGAGCCCAGGAGGCAGAGGTTGCAGTGAGCAGAGACCACACTATTGCACTCTAGCCTGGGCGACAGAGCAGGATTCCGTCTCAAAAAAAAAAAAAAAAAAAAAAAAAAGAGCAAATGCATGCTTAATACAAGGGCCTACTATATATCAAGCATATATACGAAATGGGCAGTGAACCAAATGGACAGTCTGGGTATTGGTGGGGCTCATATCCTGTGGGAAGACAGGCGATGAGCAGACAAGCAAATCTGTATTTTGTAAATATATTGTATTTTTTTCAACAAATATTTTATGGCTGCCCTGTGTGCCAGGCCTGGATCTAAGCATTGATATATGATGAACAGAATAGATAAAGTCCCTGTTTTCAGCAATGCATGTTCTAGTGGGGGGAGACTGCAATCAATGAACAAAAAAAAAAAAAAAAAGAAAGAAAATTGAAGCCCAGGCATGGTGGCTCACACCTGTAATCCCAGCACTGTGGGAGGCCAAGGTGGGCAGATCACTTCAGGTCAGGAGATTGAAACAAGCCTGGCCAACATGGTGAAACCCCGTATTTCCTAAAAATACAAAAATTAGCTGGGCGTGGTGATGGGTTCCTGTAATCCCAGCTACTCCGGAGGCTGAGGCAGGAGAATCTCTTTAACCCAGGAGGCAGAGGTTGCAGTGAGCTGAGATCGCGCCATTGCACTCCAGCCTGGGTGACAAGACCAAGTCTCTCTCTCAAAAAAGAAAGAAAAGAAAAGAAAAAGAAAAATCAGTGACAAGAAGTAAAACAGGATCAAGGGATTAAAAAAAAGGACTGGAAAGTTATTCCAGATAAGGTGATCAGGGAAGTCTTCTCTGAGGAGGTGATGTTTGAGCAAGCCATGAGTGAGGAGAAGGAGCCAGCCACACAAAAGCCTGGGAGAAGAGAATTCATGCAGAAAGAGACCAGAGTGAAGGGCCCTGGAGTGATGAGAAGCTTGGTGCTGTGGAACCGAGGGGAAGCCAGCTAGTCTTGAGGCAGGAGAATAGGGTCTGGAGGCAGGGAACATAAGGCTGATTCACACTGACTTTCTAGAACTAAATCAAAAGGAAAACCCCAACTTTCCACGTCCAAGTAACCAAAGGACCAGAGGCTACTCCCTTTGCA
The DNA here is from genome assembly GCF_000001405.40 of Homo sapiens. Taxonomy (NCBI): domain Eukaryota; kingdom Metazoa; phylum Chordata; class Mammalia; order Primates; family Hominidae; genus Homo; species Homo sapiens. Next base: position 130,689,983 of record NC_000009.12, read on the forward strand.
ATCCCAGCTTTTCTGTGTGCAGATGAAAAACTGAAAGTACCTCTGATTGCTCCCTTCCCACTACCAGTCAGGCTGGTAGGTGGCCAAGTCTTCATTTGCATGGGAGTATAACTTTGTAACTTCACTTCAGCCTCTGATTGATAACTTTCCACAGCCAATCAGACATTGGCGTAGGGTGTAACTTTTAACTTCAGCCTCTGATTGGCCACTTTCCACAACCAATCAGACTGATCACGGGCCACTCCTTCATTTACACAGGGCGTACACCAAATAACCAATGGGAAACCTTTAGAGGGTATTTAAACCCCAGAAACTTCTGTAAGGAGCCTGTTGAGTTTCTTTGCTTGAGCTGTTCTTGCCCTGTAGAGTGTACTTTCGTTTTCAATAAATCTCTGCTTTTGTTGCTTTATTCTTTCCTTGTTTTGTCTGTATGTTTTGTCCAAGACGCCGAGAAGCTGGGCACCCTCCACCGTTAACAGTCCGGCTGCAGCATAGTGAGTAACGCAGTGGGTTAGGACGAGCGTGAGGTCAGAGACAGGCAGGAGTCAAGAAGTGCTGGAAGCAGAGAAGTGATTTAATCTGTTTTTAAAGCTCTCTCTGGCTGCTGTGCGGAGATTGGATGATAGGAAGGACAAAAGTAGAATTAGGAAGACAAGCTAGGAGGTTATCTCCCTGGTAAGAGATGCCGTTGATCAGCCTGGGGCAGTGGCTGCGGAGATGCACAGATGTGTGGCATCAGTGAATCTTAGACCTTTTCCGCCATTGAAATTACATAGGGAGTTAAAACACGCACAGACTTCTGGACCTTACCTTTGCAGAGCCTTGTGAAAGGCAAATAAATCTTGGGGCCCCAAAATCACTAAGCTAAAGGGAAAAGTAAGTCAAGCTGGGAACTGCTTAGGGCAAACCTGCCTCCCGTTCTATTCAAAGTCACCCCTCTGCTCACTGAGATAAATGCATACCTGATTGCCTCCTTTGGAGACGCTAATCAGAAACTAAAAATACAAAAAATGCAACCATTTGTTTCTTTTTTCTTTCTTTTTTTTTTTTTTTTTTTTTGAGACGGAGTCTCACTCTGTCGCCCAGGCTGGAGTACAGCGGTGCGATCTCGGCTCACTGCAAACTCCGCGTCCCGGGTTGAAGCCATTCTCCTGCCTCAGCCTCCCGAGTAACTGGGACTACAGGCACCAGCCACCATACCCGGCTAATTTTTTTTTTTTTTTTTTTTTTGTATTTTTAGTAGAGACGGGGTTTCACCGTGTTAGCCAGGGTAGTCTCGATCTCCTGACCTCGTGATCCGCCCACCTCGGCCTCCCAAAGTGCTGGGATTACAGGCGTGAGCCACCGCGCCTGGCCTCAACCATTTGTTTCTTATCTACCTATCACCAGGAAGCCCCTTCCCAGCTTCGAGTTGTCCAGCCTTTCCAGACCGAACCAATATTCATCTCACATATGTTGATTGATGCCTCATGTCTCCCCAAAATGTATAAAACCAAACTGCGCTCCGACCACCTTGGGCACAGGTTGTCAGGACCTCCTGAGCTTGTGCCACAGGCACATCCTCAATCTTGGTGAAATAAACTTTCTAAATTAACTGAGACCTGTCTCAGATATTCGGGGTTTACAGCCTCAATGCCTAAGGAATCTATACTTTTTACAAGCCCCCTGGGATGTGCTGCTTCGTCTCCGGGTACCCACTTGTCTACTGGTCGTAAAGGGGTAAGTGTGGCCGGGCTTGGTGGCTCATGCCTGTAATCCCAGCACTTTGGGAGGCCAAGGTGGGCGGATCACTTGAGTTTAGGAGTTCGAGATCAGGTTGGGCAACACGGTGAAACCCTGTCTTCACAAGACAAATACAAAAAATTAGCCGAGCCTGGTGGCATGTGCCTGTAGTCCAAGCTATTCAAGAGGCTGAGGTGGTAGGATTACCTGAGCCCAGGAGGACGAGGCTGCAGTAAGCCATAATCGTGTCATTGTACTCCAGCCTGGGTGACAAAGACTCTGTCTCGAAAAAAATAAAAATAAAAAAAGGTGCGTGTGATGATGCAGAAAGAGGAGCACTGGGGATGGGAGAGGGGGAGTCCCTGTCGTTTTGGATTCTAGTCCCAGTTACGGGTCTGTTTGGGGGGCTCGGTGGCCCCAAGTGATCATCAGGGATAGCAATGCCTATCTCGAAGATGGGCTGAAAGTGAGGAATACATAACATAGTATTTGTAAAGCACTCAGCAAAGGACCAGCCGAAGCACTCGGGCTATTTCTGGTAAAGGGTGCAGGCTCTGGGGTAAATCGCGTGCAGTTGGAACACACATCGGCTTTGCAGCCATCTGCTAATGTGAATTCCATTCCTTTTGGGGCCTCGATTTCCTCCTCCATAAACTGGTATCCACAATGCCAACCTTGTGAACGCTGTGAGAATGCGCGGGGTAAAGGCGACGTCTCTCCCTCCCGGGAAGAACTTGGATGGTGTCAGGCCTACACTCTCGCTCCGCCTAGGGCCGCTCGCTGGGCCTGGCTCCCCGGCTGCCGGGCTACGCGAGCTCAGAGGACACCATCGCCCTCTTATGGCCGCGGCAGGACTGGACCGAGGGGCTGGGCTCTAGTGCCTTCCTCCAGGCACGGCAGAGGGCGAGGGTCTGGCAGCCCGCTTACCCAGGGCCTCGGGGCACTAGCATTCATGTCATCGACTGCCTGGCAGGGCTGGCTTTCTTAAGTGTGGTCGTGAGACTTGCTTAAGTGGAAGAAATGCTGTCGCTTTGGAGATTTATAAAACAATTGGCTCGATGGATCTTTCTTCAGGAGGCGGACTTGGTTTACCGGCTTTACTGACCACAGCTGATGCCAATGATTTCATTTAATCGTCTTTAGAGTCCCTGTGCATGGGGAGTTACCATCCCCAATTAGTTTCTTGTGAATGCAGGGCAAGGAGAGGGAGAGGGTAGTGGGGGACGGGGAGAAGGGGCGAGGGGTACCCTCCTATTAAAACGGAGCCGCAGAAAAACCCACAGAGACATCCGTCTGTTCCCCGCTGAGTCCTTAGAACAGCGCCTGGCACACAGAGAGCGCTCAACTCGCTGTGTAACTAAATGCAAGCCAAGATCTTCGCATTGTGTGTGCTCTTCCCTTCCCTACCAAATATACCTGGCTTGCAAGGTTTGACCTGTTTTCTTAGACGATTTTTAACTTGTTTCCAAAAGAAATATTGGAGTAAATTAGCTTGTTCAAAGGAGTCCTTATGAAAGGACAGAACCAAGTGAGAAGTATCTGGAGCCCGGTTTGGGGTTATAGATGATGATGTTGAGCCAGCACCCACGGGGCGGCCGCAATGTAGAATCCTGGCGCTACTGGGAACCGTGTGGAAAGGGGCTCTTCTTTCTGTTCAAATAGTGTTTTCTGTAGATCCCATCTCTCCATCCTCCTGAGCTCTCTCTTACAAAATATCGGATTTCAGCAGCTTAGAATTGGACAGAAACTCAGAGGTCCGTTTCTCAATTATCTCTAACCCTGGTAAACAATAAATGGGATGATGAGTACAAGACAGTTTTGGTAAAAAGTCACACGCCACACAACGTGAGATTTTATTATTCCACGGGTGCTTCCTTGCCAATAGTAGACATGGCAGCTCGGCTCCCTTCCCTTCGGGTTCGCCTTATTGTTGCCAATTGTAAACATGGCCTCTAGGCCGTGAGTTCTCATTGGCAGCTGCTCTGAGTCCCCGCCCTTCCCCGCCCCTCCGAACGCGGCCTGGAGTTGTGGAGTCGGATATCGCAGCTCCCGACTGAGCTGCGCCTGCGCAACTCATTGGCGCCAAGATGGCGATGGAGATGAGGCTTCCAGTGGCTCGCAAGCCTCTTAGCGAGAGACTGGGCCGCGACACTAAGAAACATCTAGTGGTGCCGGGGGATACAATCACTACGGACACAGGATTCATGCGGTACGTGGGGACTTGGGGGAGTCGAGGCTTCAGAGAGCGGCTTCAGGGCTCTCTGCACGTGGTCCAGGCCTCGTATCCCTGTGTGTGTAACTCCCCGCGGGACCCAGGGCACTTCGTCTGAGCATCCTACACACCTCGCTTCCGAGCCTCGTGCTTCTTGCTCCCTGCATCTTGTGTGTCCCCGTCTGCATTTGTCTCAGCTCCCTGAAACCCTCCACTCCTGACCTCCGGTGGCTGTGACTTTTGGGTCTTCTGCCTGAAGTCCAAATCTTTGATCCTTCCTTGTGGGAGACCTGGAAAGCTGGGGAGGGTTAGGTGCAGGCTCTTTTCCAGTTTTCAGCTCTCTGAGGGGACGGTGGGCGTTCTTGGCTGCCTCCTCTTCAGTTTAGAATCCGTAATTGTTCGATCTTAGGGCAAACAGTTACATTGTGCTGCATGCACCCATTTATACACATTTTGAATCTAAGGGGTGTAGTGCAGTGTATTGTGGTTAAGAGGGAAGGCTCTTGAGTCAGACAGTTGGGGTTCCGGTCCTGCTACCATCACATCTTATTAGCGGCATTGCCTCTCCACGGTCAGTTTCCTCATCTGTAAGATAGTGATAATAACAGTATGATACGGTAATGAGGATTAAATGAGACAATTATGTAAGAAAAGAAGTAAAACCAGCCATTATATCATCATAGATAACACTAGTGTTTCAACCTTTATTATTATTATTTTTTTACTTGTATATGTACAAGGGGCACAGCATTCATAGCATTGCCCTTTAACCTGTTAGTTTAAGGTTAGTGGATACCAGGAAATTTTTTTTTCTTTTTTGAGACGGAGTCTGTCTTAGATCAGTCGTGCGATCTCGGCTCACTGCAACCTCTGCCTCCTGGGTTCAAGTGATTCTCCTGCCTCAGCCTCCTGAGTAGCTGGGATTACAGGTGCACGCCACCATGCCTAGCTAATTTTTGGTTTTTTTTTTTTTTAGTAGAGACAGGGTTTCACTGTGTTGGCCAGGCTGGTCTCGATCCCCTGACCTCAAGTGTGATCTGCCCGCCTCGGCCTCCCAAAGTGCTGGGATTACAGGCATGAGCCACCATGCCTGGCCCCTAGGAAATCTTAAGATTCATTCTTTCATTAATGCTTTCAACATATATTTTGTGCAGTTGGGTTATTATGGCAGAGTGAAAAATCTCTGTCCTGGTGGAGTTCTAACAGGGAGAGATAGATAATAAGCGCAATGAATAAGTTATTCAGAATGTTAGGCAATAATGCAATAGGGAAAAAAGTGGAGCAGGGTCAATGGTATGTGGGGGGAATGGTGGCAACAGGGTGGGCTGTGTTTTCAATGGCACAGTCAAGGTAGGCCTGCTGCAGAAAGTGACACCTGAGCAGACCTGAGTGAGAGGAGTGATGTCCAAGTAGCTGTCTGGAGAAGGAGCACTGAAGGCAGAGGGAGCAGCCAGCACAGAAGCCACGCTTTGCAGGGGGAGCCTGTTAGCTTTGAGGAACACGTTGTTCTTGAAGGGAGAGAAGTCATTTCGAGTTACCCTCGTATCCTTTCTTTGTATCTTCGCCTTGCATCAGGGGCCATGGAACGTATATGGGAGAAGAGAAGCTCATTGCATCTGTTGCTGGCTCTGTGGAGAGAGTAAACAAGTTGATCTGTGTGAAAGCTTTGAAAACCAGGTGAGAACAAAAGGTGTGTATTCCCTTTCTTGCAGCATCAGGTTGTACAACCAGGCTTTTCCTGCCCCCTCCTTATCCCCCACCCCACCCCTGCCTGCCCTGTCATGCTGTAAGTCTGAGGTTTTGACCATGACTGTAGGTGGGGTGGTGCAGATCAGTGCAGGCTTCAGAGGTTTCCCCATGTTATGTCACCACTCCAAGCCTTGGTTACCTCCTCTGCAAAGTGAGTATAATAGCATGGCCTACTTCATAGGATTTTCTCTTTTTTTTTTTTTTTTTTTTTCCGAGATGGAGTCTTACTCTGTTGCCGAGGCTGGAGTGCAGTGGCGTGATCTCGGCTCACTACAACCTTCGCCTCCCGGGTTCAAACAATTCTCCTTCTTCAGCCTCCCGAGTAGCTGGGATTACAGGCGCCCTCCACCACGCCTGGCTAATTTTTTTCGATTTTTAGTAGAGACAGGGTTTCACCATGTTGGCCAGGCTGGTCTCGAACTGCTGACCTCTGATGATTTCCCCCCACTTGGCCTCCCAAAGTGCTGGGATTACAGGCGTGAGCCACTGTGCCTGGCCTAGGATTTTCTTTAGAATTCAGTGAGATGGTGCCTGTAAAGTATTTAGCACAGAGCCTGATACCTAGAAGCATTCAATGAAGGTTAGCCCCAGAAAGCAAGCCAGTGGGGTTGGAACAGAGTGAGTGAGGGGGAGAGAAGGGGCAGATGTAAGCAGAGAGCTGAGGTGGGCGGGCGTGGGCCTGCCTTGTAGCCAGAGTAAGCATTTTGGCTTCTACTTTGTGTAATCTGGGAAGCACTGGAAGGGGTGGAGCAGAGGAGGGACTTGATCTGGACTTAAGCTCACTCTGGCTGCTGATGGGAGATTGAAGGGGGATAGGGCAAGCTTAGGGAGGTGGATTAGGGACCATACTCATGATCTGAAGTGATGGTGGCTTCAACTAAGGTGGGAGCAGTGGAAGGTGGAGGAGTGATTGGAATCTACACAGATTTTATTTTCCGAGTGTTTTTTTAAAATCATGAAAAGCTGTTGGGTTTTGTATTCTTTGGGCTTTACTGTGCATAGGACCCCGTCAACTGTGAATAGAAATAAGTTTACTTCTTCCTTTCCAATTTGGATGCCTTTTATTTCCTGCATATGTTTTAAGGGTAGAGCCAACAGGTTTTGCTACTGGACTTGTCCTGGAGCGTGAGAGAGAGAGAGGAATCAAGGAACTCTCCGAGGTTTTTGGCCTGAGCAACTGAGGGGATGGAGTCACCGTTGACTGAGATGGGGACAACTCATCCCCTATCTCGGTTTGCTATGGAGGACTGGAGGGGGCTGCGGGAAAGCTTAGTTTTGTGCTTGATACATTTGAAAATGCCTGTTAGTCATCTAGATGGCAGAGTTGGGTAGCTAGCAGTTGAGTAGGATTTGGAATTCAGGAGAGTGGCACAGTCACAGCACAGAGTGGTGTTTTAAAGGTATTAGATTGAGTGGCCGAAAAGTGAAGAGGTCTAAGGACTTAGCCTCAGCACTGAGTACGTCTCATTAGAATCGCGGGTAAGGAACTAGCAAAGGGGCTTGAGAGGAGCAGGCAGTGAGTAAGTGGAGGAGACGTGAGCAGACTTGTGTGGTTGGAGTCCTGGCTCAGATTTCCTTTCTCTTCCTTTGGCTGGTGCAGAACTCATCCATGTGCCACAGGAAAATAGTCCGTGTTTTTCATTGTCGTGTAATCGAACAAAATAGGGTTTTTGGGCTAAATGAACTACTTGGAATGGTGATATGTCTAAGGATAGTTAATGGAGACTTTATACGTGGAGGAATGTTTGAAGTTAGCAGTTTCTGAAAGTAAGTCCAGACAATATAGTTACATGAATTTGCTGAATGTGGCGCCTGTTCCAGGCTTTCACCCTGTTGAACCGACATCTCAAATGGTGTGTGGTCTTGTCAGAAAGTCTGCTCACAGATGGATGAACCCCTTGTGTTTTGTCTTTCAGATACATTGGTGAAGTAGGAGACATCGTAGTGGGACGAATCACAGAGGTAACGTCGATATCAGATTGGTGTTTACAAAGTCGAGGCAGGCTGGCGATTTCATTCATGGGACAGTCATTCCACTTGTAGTTACATGAAAAAGGCATTCATTGCATTTGGCCGTTGTGTGGCTTCTGATGTAAATATGTGGCTTGTTCGATTTCAGATTACTGGTTCATGTTTTTTTTTTTTTGAGATGGAGTCTCGCTCTGTCGCCCAGGCTGGAGTGCAGTGGCATGATCTTGGCTCACTGCAACCTCCACCTCCCAGGTTCAAGCGATTCTCCTGCCTCAGCCTCCCAAGTAGCTGGGATTACAGGCACCCGCCACCACGCCCAGCTAATTTTTGTATTTTTAGTAGAGATGGGGTTTCATTATATTGGTCAGGCTGGTCTCAAACTCCTGACCTCAAGTGATCCACCAGCTTCGGCCTCCCAAAGTGCTGGGATTACAGGCGTGAGCCACCACATCTGGCCTTACTGGTTATTTATGATATGACACATGAACATGGAGCATGTGTCCAGGTGTGGAACTTGGCTTATAGGTTCAACAGAAGAGGTGGAAGGTGGAGACCAACTCCAGGCTGGATTCGGTCTTGCTGCTCTCGTCCATGAACCTTCCTGGAGGAGAGCTGGTAAGGGCTACAGCTGGGGCCATGGACTAGGGCCCAGTGGGCTGGGGGGAGCCGTGGGACCCTTTGTTCCACCAGAGGACTTTGATTTACACTGAGGTTGCCCCTTTGACTCCTGTTTGTCTGCTGTGAAGTTTGCTGCCTAGATGTGTATGTAGACTTTTCACCCTGTCCAGGTCTCCCGAAAGAGGGAGCAGTTGGCATATGGTAGGATCAGAAACATCCATGGGGTGGGATCCCAACAGAGAGTTGGGGAGAGAAGCCCTTAGATGCTGGTTGTTAACAGTTTTCCTTTTTGGATATAACAGCCTTGCATAGTGAAGATGTTCCTTGAAAAGTTGTCTTTACATTAGGTTTTTGTGAATTGAAAGGCATTTCATTCAACCATGTGTGGAATGTGGTTGCTGGCATTCCAGACAACCACAGTAACTAAGCCACAGCCTTTTGTAAAATGCCATGGTTCACCTTGATCTTCAGTCCAGCGTGTATTTACAGAGAGGCTTACTGTGCCAAGCTCTGTGCCGAGTGCCAAGCACGATTGAGTTCCCCAGCAGGGGATATAAGATAACTGACCTAGTCCCTGGCAGTAGAAGAATAAATAAGCTGTGGTTATACAAAAGGAAATTTCAGTGAGAGAAGCTTGTAGGAAAGACAGGCATTGGAGTTGATCCTGGAAGGATGGAGAGACTTTGAATGACTAGTTCAGGGAATCTGAGATAAAGGGAAATGTATGAGCAGAGATATATCCAAGCAGGAGTTAGTCTGGTCCTGCTGGACCACAGAGGGCTGTCATGGAAGATGACTATGGAAATGTTGGCTAGGTGAGATTGGGAGGGGTCTGAATGTTCCTCAGAGAAGGGAGGGAAAGAGGAAGAGGAGCTGTGGAAAAGTCTTTTGAGATGGAAAGTCGTGATTATCACTGATTCCCCTCAAGTGGCTTGGGTTACCTACTCTTGCTATAGTTCTCAGTGCTTGAATATTGTGGTTGGCCTCAAACATCTCAAAAGGAAGTGAAAGAGAAGTGATGGAGACCTTTCTGAGGATCTGGCTTAAGTAATGTCATTTCTTTGTGTATTTCAGAGGAGAAGATCTGCAGAAGATGAGCTTGCAATGAGAGGTTTCTTACAGGAAGGGGACCTTATCAGTGTATCCTGCGCTTTGCACTCCAGCCTCTTGATGCTTTTCTGTGGGACTGGGAAATGGGCCTTCCATTGTATGTCTCTGACGGAAGAACCATGTCATCCTTGCAGGGATCCGAGTCTTAGACCAAGTGTCGGGCTCTGCTGCATCCTTTCTCAGTCTCCTTAATTCAGGCTGACTCCCCAGCTCTTGTTGGGACCTGCTGCTAAGTCATTTCTTTGGGTCTTGTAACTTACGGTGGCCTGTGCTTTAGACTAGGCTTTTGTTAATGGTGTTAACTTTTAGCGCAGGGAGTGGAGAAGGTGTTGTTCACGTCAAGATATTAATGACAGGCCGAGTGTGGTGACTCATGCCTGTAATCCCAGCGCTTTGGAAGGCCAAGGAGGGAGGACTGCTTGAGCCTAAGAGTTCAAGACCAGCCTGGGCAACATAGCAAGACCCCCCTCTCTACAAAAAAATTAAAAAAGAATTAGCCGGGCGTGGTGGCACATGCCTGTAGTCCTAGCTACTCAGGAGGCTGGGGCCAGAGGGTTGCTTGAGCCCAGGAGCTCAAGGCTACAGTAAGCTATGATCACACCACTGCATTCCAGCTTGGGTGACAGAACAAGACTCTGTCTCTATTTTATGTTATTTTTTAAATTTTTCTTTTTTTTTAATGACGGAGTCTTGCTCTGTTGCCCAGACTGGAGTGCAGTGGCGCGATCTCGGCTCACTGCAACGTCCGCCTCTTGGATTCAAGCAATTCTGCCTTAGCCTCCCAAATAGCTAGGATTACCGGCGTGCGTCATGCCTGGCTAATTTTTGTATTTTTAGTAGAGACAGGTTTCACCATATTGGCCAGGCTGGTCTCAAACTCCTGACCTCAGGTGATCTGCCCACCTCGGCCTCCCAAAGTGCTGGGATTACGGGCATGAGCCACCATGCCTGGCCTCTGTCTTTATTTTATTTATTTATTTATTTATTTATTTATTTATTTATTTATTTTTTTGAGACGGAGTTTCACTCTTGTTGCCCAGGCTGGAGTGCAATGGTGGGATCTCGGCTCACTGCAACCTCTGCCTCCCGGGTTCAAGCGATTCTCCTGCCTCAGCCTCCTGAGTAGCTGGGATTACAGGCATGCGCCACTATGCCCGACTAATTTTGTACTTTTAGTAGAGACGGGGTTTCTCCATGTTGGTCAGGCTGGTCTAGAACTCCTGACCTCAGGTGATCGACCTGCCTCAGCCTCCCAAAGTGCTGGGATTACAGGTGTGAGCCACCGCACCTGGCCTTCTGTCTGTATTTTTAAAAAAAAGATATTCATGACAACCAAGGGGAGAGGTAAGGTCACAGTGATGTGCTCTGGGTCAAAGATTGTTGAGCCTGGACCATTGGAGAGGGGAGGAAAAGATGGAGGTGTGGGGTCAAGGGGAGAGGCTGCAGAGGACAGGACAGTGTGTGGCCAAGGCTGCTGTTTGTTCCTTCATCACCCTGGCCAGGCTGAGGTCCAGGCAGTGTTCTCTGACGGAGCTGTCTCTTTGCACACGAGGAGCCTGAAATATGGAAAAGTAAGTCGGGCTCTTGATGTTCCTGTTTGCTGACTGAGACTACAAGGCTATTTTTGAATCCCCATAGCTCTCTGGAATTCTGGCCTAAAGAACCCCAGTAGCTAAGCATTAATAGAGGCTGGCATCCCACAAACTGATCGTGTTCCTTAAACGTAACATCAGGACGGTCAGGGTTCACAGGGTCATGGGTCAGTAGCCTTGTAAAGAACAAGTTTTATCCTTTTTCTCCAAGGAGACTGACTTTCACCAGAAGAGCCCCTCCAACTGTGGGCTGGGAGGTGCAGCTGTCTCTCTTCCTCCAGGGGGCGCTGCAGCTCAGCACTGGGGCTGAGGCTGTCCTGGGAACAAAGGCAGGCTGGGTCTGGTTAAACAGCCCTTAGACAAACGTCCAATCAGTCCAGTGGATGTTATTGCTGGCAAAGCTTGCTCTGTCATCTGAGCCTCTAAATGGAATTTCACTGCTTTTCTTGTACGAGGTTGCATTATTGAAGCTATTTACTATTTTAAGGAGAGCATACTTCCTAAAACAAATTAGGATTTACTAGTCTCTTAGCTTTATCTGGGTGAACGTTTTTATTTTCTGAGTGGAACAAAAACCTCTTCCCTTAATGGAGTGGCTGCAGACAGCCACGTTGATGTACATGGAGTAGGCAGAGGACTGCTGCAGTATGCTGACTTTCACAACCCTGGGTCCTGCGGACTCTTCCTTGGCAGGACGTGGACTTGAGCTGTCCTGCCAGGACCAGACATGGATTTGCACCCAGCTCCACCCATCTCCTTACCTACCCAGAGGCACACATCTCACAGGCAAGATGAGTGTTTGGGGTTCAGGTATGAGCTAGGGTCATGGAACAACGCAGTGCTCCTGGGCCAGCAGGAGGCTCCAGCTCACTTCCTCATTGGCTTCAGCTTCTCTAATGTCTGGCACATGAGTTCTGGCTTAGAGTGCAAGGAAGACTGCAAAGGGAAATGACAGAGAAGAGTATTGAAGGTCACCTTCTGCTGGGATGTATGAATAGCCTCTGAGTCCCAAAGCGTTCTCTGCAAAAATGTGTACTATGTGTATGCATGTAGGCGACAGCAATTATAAACAGGAAGGACACCAATTTGAATATACTTAGGATGTATATTCTGTAGTCTCCTTTTCATTCATCCCGCCAATCTTGCAGTGACCTAGCTTCGTGATATATTTCTTTAGCTAGGTCAGGGGGTTTTGGTCCAGGTTTCCCCCTCCCTGGTGAAACGGCAGAAGACCCACTTTCATGATTTGCCATGTGGTGCCTCAGTGATTCTCGGTAACAACGGCTTCATCTGGATTTACCCAACACCTGAGCACAAAGAAGAGGAAGCAGGGGGCTTCATTGCAAACCTGGAGGTGAGCAAACACTGTGGCCATTTTCAGTGGGATGGAGGGGGCTCAGTCTTTGCTGTGTTTTTGTGGCCAGTGAAGTTGGTTGTTTTTAGCTATGTTACTGGTGTAGGCTGAGTCACTTTGACTTTCCATCACGGTATGTTCATGAAGCCCATATTATCTTCTCTTCTAAGGAGATGAATTCAGTGAATGGTTTGGTGTTTGTTGGTGGAGGTGGCAAAGTTGCAGGGTAATAGCCGAAGAGCCAGTGAAGAAGCCATTCTTTTTCTGTTTTTTTGTTTGTTTGTTTTGTTTTGTTTTGTTTTGAGACGGAGTCTTGCTCTGTCGCCCAGGCTGGAGTGCAGTGGTGCCATCTCGGCTCACTGCAAGCTCCACCTCCTGGGTTCAAGTGATTCTCCTGCCTCAGCCTCCTGAGTAGCTGGGATTACAGGTGTGCCCCACCATGCTCTGCTAATTTATCTATTTTTAGTAGAGATGGGGTTTCACCATGTTGGTCAGGCTGGTCTTGAATTCCTGACCTTGTGATCCACCCGCCTCGGCCTCCCAAAGTGCTGGGATTACAGACATGAGACACTGCACCCTGCCCCATTCCTTTTAATCTCCCTTGGAATTAGCTGTTTGGTTGATTTGGAGTTCCAGGGTGATACTGTCTGAGTCATAAATGATTTATTTGTGAATTTCTGTGGCTGGTCACGTATTTTGGTCCTGTTTGTATTTCCCTTCCCCTCTCTGTGTCTCCTTATAGCCTGTCTCTCTTGCTGATCGAGAGGTGATATCCCGGCTTCGGAACTGCATCATCTCGCTGGTAACTCAGAGGATGATGCTGTATGATACCAGCATCCTGTACTGCTATGAAGCATCCCTTCCACATCAGGTACTCTCCCCAGGGCCTCTCCCTTCTTCACTGATCTGTGAGCTGCTCTGTTGTTTGTTCAGAGACAATATGCACATCTCCCCAATACTTTCCCAACATCCGTCAGTATGAACTGGCCTGAAACAGCCTTAATGAGTGTCTGGTAGATCTTTCCCTAAGAAACTTGCAATATTCTCAATGCCTAGTGTCAGTCTAAGGATTTTGGGGCAGGAGGTGTCAGGTGGGACTAGTTTATGAGAGCAACCTCTGGACTACATCTTACCTCTCCCAAATTTCAGCCAGCTTTTGGATGAATGTCAGAATAATATCTTTGTTCTTGTCGACTATATCCCAGAGCATCTTGCTGATTTATTAGGCTGCTTCTAGCAGATCATATCTTGTAACGCTTAGTCTCTGAGACATGAAAGGAATACAGAAAGTTTATGTTAACGGCTTGATTTATGTTTGGATTGGCTTGGTGGTCTGTTTATGGTTGGTTTCTTTTCTGAACAAATGCCTTTTCCCTTTTTCAGATCAAAGACATCTTAAAGCCAGAAATAATGGAGGAGATTGTGATGGAAACACGCCAGAGGCTTTTGGAACAGGAGGGATAAGGAGGTGCTCCAGAAGCACGGGACTGTGGACCTTGCAGGAGTGAAGACTGTGATGTGTGGTCCCCATATGTGGCTCAGCAAAGACTCGAGAGATCATCCCTTTGTCTGCATTGACGGCCCTGTGACGGCCTCCAGCCCACAGGCCTGCTTTCTCCTGTCCTAACACCAAGCCTGGGTGGCAGATGAACAGTGCTTCCTTGGGTTGCCAGCTGAGTCCCGGTATTAGGGAATAGTTTCAGCTCTTTCAAAGTGCACAGTGTTACAGTCGAATGGGCTCCCATCCTGGAATAATATGGAGAATCCTTTGTCTTCCACTCACTGTCATTCACAAGGCACAGTGCCCCATGAAATTGCCCCAATAGAAAACATGGCATCCCTGACCTCCAAATGGTCTGTTTTGGCCTCCATTCCTATATCCTTTAAATGACTGAGAATGCAGCTGGTAAAGTTGGAAGAATAAAGTTAACCAAGCAGGCCAGGCACGGTGGCTCACGCCTATAATCCCAGCACTTAGGGAGGCCAAGGCGGGCAGATCACCTGAGGTCAATAGTTCGAGACCAGCCTGGCCAACAAGGTGAAACCCCATCTCTACTAAAAATACAAAAAATTAGCCAGGTGTGGTGGTGTGCACCTGTAGTCCCAGCTATTTGGGAGGCTGAGGTGGGAGAATCACTTGAACCTGGGAGGCGGAGGTTGCAGTGAGCTGAAATCGCGTACCACACTCCAGCCTGGGTGACAGAGCGAGACTGTGTTTCAAAGAAAAAAAAAAACAAGCAGCCTTTTGCTTGGTTGGAATCTGATTTTCTGTTGCGTGTTCCTTGTAGCCATAGATGTGATTATGTCCACACCGGGCTGCCTTAATCTGTCCTGCTTGGAGAGTGACTTGTAAGATGCTGAATTATTCATGATAATACAGTGAATGTTCTGGGTCCATGTACTCAGATAAACATGAAGAAAATAAGCAAAGAAAAATGGAGACTGGGAAAGCAAAGCTGTTTTCATCCTATAATTGAAGTAGTGTGGAGCATTAACTTGTGGATGATTCAGAGTTAAAAGATAAAAAGACGCCAGAGTTCTCGCTGAAGAATGTGAGAATTCCTGTGCATTGTTTTTTCTGATGACTATCTAAAAATGGTGCCCTGATGTAGGTTTGGGGGAACATTCTTAAAAACAAGGGTGCTATGTGCCTGTAATCCAGCACTTTGGGAAGCTGAGTGGGCAGATCACCTGAGGTCAGGAGTTCAAGACCAGCCCGGCCAATACAGTGAAACCTCGTCTTTACCAAAAATACAAAAATTAGCCGGGTGTGGTGGCACAAGCCTGTATGTAGTCAGCTACTCAGGAGGCTGAGGCATGAGAATCGCTTGAATTCGGGAGGCGGAGTTGCAGTGAGCTGAGATCGCACCATTGCACTTCAGCCTAGGTGACACAGTGAGACTGTCTCGAAAGAAAGGAAAAGAAAAGGCGGCCGGACGTGGTGGCTCATGCCTGTAATCCCAGCACTTTGGGAGGCTGAGGTGGGTGGATCACAAGGTCAGATCGAGACCATCCTGGCTAACATGGTGAAACCCCGTCTCCACTAAAAATACAGAAAAAACAAACCATAGCCTGGCATGGTGGCTGGCACCTGTAGCTCTACTACTTGGGAGGCTGAGGCAGGAAAATGACGTGAACCCGGGAGGTGGAGCTTGCAGTGAGCTGAGATCGTGCCACTGCATTCCAGCCTGGGTGACAGAGTGAGACTGTCTCAAAAAAAAAAAAAAAAGGGACACTATATGCAAGCGCTGTCTTCACATATGTGGCAAACTTGTTTGTTTGTTTTTGAGACAGAGTGTCGCTGTGTCGCTAGGCTGGAGTGCAGTGGCTCGATCTCGGCTCACTGCAACCTCCACCTCCTGGGTTCAAGCAATTCTGCCTCAGCCTCCCAAGTAGCTGGGACTATAGGCATGCGCCAACACGCCCAGCTAATTTTTGTGTTTTTAGTGGAGATCGTTTCACCATGTTGAGCAGGCTGGTCTCGATCTCTTGACCTTGTGATCCACCCGCCTCGGCCTCCCAAAGTGTTTGGATTACAGGTATGAACCACTGCACCCAGCCATATTTTTTGATATTTATAGACGTCTTTTTTTTTTTTGTTTTTTTGAGACGGAGTCTTGCTCTGTCACCAGGTTGGAGTGCAGTGGCGCGATCTCGGCTCACTGCAACCTCCGCCTCCTGGGTTTAAGCGATTCTCCTGCCTAAGCCTCCCGAGTAGCTGGGATTACAGGCACGTGCCACCACGCCCAACTAATTTTTGTATTTTTAGTAGAGGTGGCATTCTACCATGTTGGCCAGGATGGTTTTGATTTCCTGACCTTGTGATCCCCCCGCCTCAGCCTGCCAAAGTGCTGGGATTACAGGCGTGAGCCACTGAGCCCAGCTATAGATGTCTTAACATCATTGTTTTCTGTTCTTTTGTTCCGGGTAATAATAAGGAGCTGAGGACAGCTGAGGAAGGGCTTGGCTGACAAAATGCCTTCCGACAGAGCCCTAACTACTCCACGTAAACCTAGGACAGTCTCAATGGTAGTAACTTTGAACACTGCATTTGATAACTTTCAAATACAACTTGGCTCTTTTTCATTAAATGGTATGCTTCTCTATAACAACACAATAAACAACTTCTTACCTCACTTTCTTTTTTTGAGACAGGGTCTCACTCTGTCACCCAGGCTGGAGTGGGGTGGCATGGATCACAGATCACTGGAGCCTCTACCTCCCAGGCTCAAGTGAACCTATCTTAGCCTCCCGAGTAGCTGGGTCCACAGGCATGTGACGTACCACCATGCCTGGCTTTTTTTTTTTTTTTTTTTTTTTGAGACAGGGTCTTGCTCTGTCACCTAGGCTGGACTGCAGTGGCACAATCACGTCTCAACCTCCTGGTCTCAACCAGTTTCCAACTTCAGCCTTCTGAGTAGCTGGGACTACAGGTGCTGAGCCACCACATCCAGCTAATTGTTTTTGTTTTTTGTTTTTCGGCAGAGATGAAGTCTCACTATGTTGCCCAGGCTGGTCTTGAACTCCTGACCTCAAGCAACCCTCCTGCTCAAGCCATCTTCCCACCTTAGCCTCCCAGAGTGTTGAGATTACAGGCATGAGCCACCACACGCTGCCTATTTTTTTTATTTTTACGAATTTTTTTGTTGTTGCCCAGGCTCAAGCGATCCACCCACCTTTGCCTCCCAAAGTGCTGGGATTATGTGTGTGAGCCACAGCTCCTGGCCTCTTTTTTTGTTTTTCCTATCCCAAGTTGTATTACTAGTTTTGGGGAGTTTGCAGACAATTGAATATTCTATAGGCTGTGTTGCAGCTTTAGATGGATCGACCTGTCATGTTTTTGAGGTTATCCAGGCTGTATATCTCTGGAGAGAAGGGAATGGCAAAGAGTGGGAGTCTGAGTCAAGTTTGGTTTTGTTTTTTTAAGAGACAAGGTCTCTGTAATCCAGGCTGCAGTACACTGGCATGACCATGGCTCACTATAGACTTGGGCTCAGCCAATCTTCCTGCCTCAGCCTCCTGAGTAGCTGGGTTTGGTTTTCCCCAGGGCCATATGTCAGCTTATTTACCCTCCTCACTTGGTGTCTCCCAGCCTGCCAGCCCATGCTGTTCATCCAGTATCTGCTGAATGGTGATTACCTATTAAGTGGAACTAACACAAAATTGCTTATCTAAAAGCAATTATTGGTGATTATTTCCTTGCAGTGGCCCACTAGAGGGCGCCATTGTTAAGTGTAATTCCAGTAGGTGTTTTGTGTTTTTTTTTTTTAATGGAATAAACTGAAATCTTTACATGGTACTGAATCCCTTTAGCAACTTGGGGGGTTGCTTTAACTGAATCACTTTTAATGAAGATATATGAACTTGAAGGGATTTATTCAATATATGACAATATTACTCAATATTACTTTTTTTTTTTTTTTTTTTTGAGACAAAGTCTCGCCCTATCCCCCAGGCTGGAGTACAGTGACGGGATGTCAGCTCACTGCAACCTCCGCCTCCCGGGTTCACGTGATACTCTTGCCTCAGCTTCCTGCATAGCTGGGACTACAGGCACCCACCACCACGCCCAGCTAATTTTTTTGTTTGTTTGTTTGTTTGTTTTCCTGAGACGGAGTCTCACTGTCACCCAGGCTGGAGTGCAGTGGCGTAATCTTGGCTCACTGCAACCTCCACCTCCCGGGTTCAAGCGATTCTCCTGCCTCAGCCTCTTGAGTAGCTGGAACTACAGGCACGTGCCACCATGCCCAGCTAATTTTGTGTATGTTTAGTAGAGACGAGGTTTCACTGTGTTAACCAGGATGGTCTCTATCTTCTGACCTCGTGATCTGCCCGCCTCAGCCTCCCAAAGTGCTGGGATTACAGGAATGAGCCACTGCGCCCAGCTGAATTTTTATATTTTTAGTAGAGATGGGGTTTCGCCATGTTGGTCAGCCTGCTCTTGAACTCTTGAACTCAGGTGATCTGCCTGCCTTGGCCTCCTGAAGTGTTGGGATTACAGGTGTGAGCCACCACACCCAGCCAAGCAATATTTATTTCCGATTGTCAGGCATTTGCCAGGCTTTGGATTCTAGTTTTTAAGCCCTTAACAGTATCATTCAGGGCCTATGTTCTCAGGACCTCTTGAGACTGTGCCTCGGTTTTTAAAAAAAGTATCATTCTACAGTATTATACAGGCATTTTTAAAGTACAGTGCATTGGCCGGGTGCGGTGGCTCACACCTGTAATCCCAGCACTGTGGGAGGCTGAGGCGGGCGGATCACCTGAGGTCGGGAGTTTGAGATCAGCCTGGCTAACATGGGGAAACCCCATCTCTACTAAAGATACAAAATGAGCTGGGCGTGGTGGTGGGTGCCTGTAATCCCTCAGGAGGCTGAGGCAGGTGAATCGCTTGAACCCGGGAGGTGGAGGTTGCAATGATCCGGGATCGTGCCACTGCACTCCAGCCGGGGTGACAGAGTGAGACTCTGTCTCCAAAAAAAAAAAAAAAAAAAAAAATACAGTGCATCTCTAGAAAAAAATACTAGAGTCTGGGCATTGGGCATGGGGCTCACCTAAAACAAGAAAATGGCAAAGTGGAAAACTAGGGATAAGGCTTTAGATCAGGTGCAGCTGACCTCTGCTGTGACTCCCAGGAAGCATAGTCCCAATCTTTGTGGAAAACCAAATGAGATCTAGTTTGATCCTCATGAACCCTGTCTCTACAAAACAACAACAACAAAAAAACGTAGGTGTGGTGGCATGTCCCTGTAGTCCCAGCTACTTGGGAGGCTGAGGCCAGAGGATCACCAGAACCCAGAAAGTCGAGGCTGCAGTGAGCTGAGATTGTGCCAGTGCACTCCAGCCTGGCCAACAGAGTAAGGCCCTGTCTTCAAACAAACAAATCAAATTAAACAAAAAACCCAAAACCCTTGTAAAGTAAGCTATGACCTCCATTTACGGGTGAAGAAATGAACTCAGAATTAAAGGGACTTGATGAAGCCCCTTTGAATTGTGAATCAATGTAGATTTAAGCTCTAGGGAGGTGTCATAATGCAGTCCTTTAGAGGATGGACTGGACTGACTGAAAGTTTATGGACCCAGAAATTTAATTCCAGCATTGAGGCTGATCTTTTGTTTGGATTGTTATTTTGCTTATTGCCCATCCTTCCATGTAGGTTCCATGAGGACAAGGGTGGGTTTCTTCCCCCACCACTGTGTCTCAGCACCTAAAGCAGTGCTTCACATACAGATGTTCAATAAATGCTTCTTAAGTGAATTGTTATTTATTTTTTGAGACATGGTCTCTGTCTCCCAGACTGGAGGGCAGTGGCGCAATCTCAGCTCACTGCATCCTCTGCCTCCCAGACTCAAGCAATTCTCCTGCCTCAGCCTCCCAAGTAGCTGGGATTACAGGCATATGCCACCACGCCCGGCTAATTTCTGTATTTTTAGTAGTGAGGGGTTTCACCATGTTGGCCAGGCTGGTCTCAAAACTCGTGACCTCAAGTGATCCACCTGCCTCGGCCTCCCAAAGTCCTGGGATTACAAGTGTGAGCCACCGCACCCGGCCATGAATTGTTAGTTTAAAAAAATGTGTATTAGGGGTTCTGATTTGACTGCTCAATTTTAAGCTAAACTAGAGAATAAAGCATGTGCGCGGTGGCTCACACCTGTAATGCCAGCACTTTGGGAGGCTGAGGTGGGTGGATCACGAAGTCAGGAGATCGAGACCATCCTGGCTAACACGGTGAAACCCTGTCTCTACTAAACATGCAAAAAAAATTAGCCAGGTATGGTGGCGGGCTCCTGTAGTCCCAGCTACTCCAGAGGCTGAGGCAGGAGAATGGCGTGAACCCGGGAGGCGGAGCTTGCAGTGAGCTGAGATTGCACCACTGCACTCCAGCCTGGGCGACTGAGCGAGACTCCGTCTCAAAAAAAAAAAAAAAGAATCTGGAGAAAATGACTAAAGTATGAATGGGAATAAAAAGAAAGCACAATCTCCAGAAGGAATAATTAGGATATAATCAGGATAAGATAATGGGTAAATAGGCCAAGTACAATGGCTCATGCCTGTAATACCAACACTTTGGGAGGCCAAGAGGGCGGATCACCTGAGGTCGGGAGTTTGAGACCAGCCTGGCCAACATGGTGAAACCCCATCTCTACAAAAATACAGAAATTAGCCAGGTGTGTGGCATGTGCCTGTAATCCCAGCTACTTGGGAGGCAGGAGAATCGCTTCAGCCTGGGTGGTGGAGGTTGCAATGAGCAGAGATCGTGTCACTGCACTCCAGCCTGGGCAACAGAGCAAGACTGCCTCAAAATAAATAAGTAAATAATAAATAATGGGTAAATAAAGCAGAACAAGGGCATTCACAGTTGAAGAATGACACTACAGATCAGAACTAAGATTGTCAGCCAGATAATTTTGTGAGAGAACAAAGCTAAACCAAATCACATCTGAATTTATAAATTCCAGTTCTAAATCTACGCACAATTTTTCATGTTTTCCATTCCGTACCTTCCAAGTAACTAATTCCTCTTGAAACCAGTATCAAAAATAAGTGTCATCTTTCAATGCGACAGAAATATTTCTAAAATACTTAATATAATAGCTGAATGTACAACACTCATCGTGCAGCTGTTCCTCCGATATCAGTAGCAACTTGTGAAAAATCAGTGGTCTCAGATCAACAGGTTTTTGATACTGAATGGTACAGTGGGAACCATGGGTTTTGGAGCAAGGTCAGTCTGGGATGAAATTGTGACTCTGTCACACATTGGCCAAGTGACCTTGGGTAGGTAAGTCACATCTCTGTTTCCCCATCTGTATTATGGGGAATAGTATTACATGCCTCACTGGGCTATAGTGAGGATTACATGAGATAATGCAGTTTATGGAAAGTGTAAACAGTGCTCGGTGTAAAGTAGGAGCTGTGATAAGTGGATCCCTCCTTAGAAATGGGATCTCGGGCCAGGAGCAGTGGCTCACGCCTGTAATCCCACCACTTTGGGAGGCCAAGGTGGGTGGATCGCTTGAGGTCAGGAGTTCGAGACCAGCCTGGCCAACATGGTGAAACCCTGTCTCTACTAAAAATACAAAAATTAGGCACGTGTGATGGTGTATGCCTGTAATCCCAGCTACTCGGGAGGCTGAGGCAGGAGAATCGCTTGAATCCGGGAGGTGAAGGTTGCAGTGAGCTGAAATCCTGTTACTGCATCGCAGCCTGGGCGACAAGAGCAAAACTCCATCTGAAAAAAAAAAAAAGGAAAGAAAGAAGGAAAGAGAAGGAAAGAAAGAAGGAAAGAGAAAGGAAGGAAAGAAAGAAAGAGGAAAAAAGGAAAGGAAAAGGAAAAAGAAAAGAAAGAAAAGGAAGGAAAGGGAGAAATGGGATGCCTGTCAGGTGCAGCGCTCTGGGGAGGCGTGGAGAGCCTATAATAGGGACCAAGGTGCTTTTTAGTCGCAGAACATGGATTATTTGTTAGGTGTGGCTTTGGCACATCTAGGTCATTGGTTCTGCCGACTTGCTAAACCCAACCATCTGGGCATTTTCTCGGCTAATATAGAGGATGTTTTCATGTGAACACGTGTCCACCTGTGAAATGTTTATAATGTTAAAGGTTCGTTCTGGGGCAAACATCTGATAGCGCCTGGCAAACCCAACAAATGCCTTTTCTGTAATGAGTAAGCCTCCTAATGCCCAAAGAAACAGTTGAATTCGTTAGCAACATGTCGGATGTTTTCCCTATGTCTGTATATTTCTTCGCTAGTTTTTTTTTTTTTTTCTTTTTGAGACGGAGTTTCGCTCTTGTTGCCCAGGCTAGAGTGCAATGGTGCCATCTCGCCTCACCGCAACCTCTACCTCCCGGGTTCAAGCGAGTCTCCTGCCTCAACGTCCTGAGTAGCTGGGATTACAGGCATGTGCCACCACGCTTGGCTAATTTTGTATTTTTAGTAGAGACGGGGTTTCTCCATGTTGGTCAGGCTGGTCTCGAACTCCCGACCTCAGGTGATCCGCCCGTCTCGGCCTCCCAAAGTGCTGGGATTACCGGCGTGAGCCACCGCGCCCGGCCCGCTAGTTCTAATATTTATGCTTTTTGGAGGGTGAAGGGCTTGAAAGGCATCAAAAACCTTGGTTTCTAGGAGCGAGCCAAATTTTCTCCCTTAGAGACTGAAGGAGGTTATCCGACTCCGCTTCCAGGAAAATCCAATCCGCAATTTTTCCCTCGCTTTGGCTCTTCCAGGTCTCACTACTCGCGCCGGGGAGACGCGGTCCGGCCTACGCTAGGCCGGCAAGAATCTACCAGGTCCCAGGAGGGCGGGGCCGAGCCCCAGAAGTCGGGGCCCGGGCCAGGAGTCTTGGTGCAGGCGGACTCGGGCGCGTGCCATGGGACCACAACTCCCGGCACGCACCGCGGACTGCGCCGAACACGGTTGGCTGGGAGATCCAACCCTACTGCTCCCACCGGCCAATGGGACGGAGGAAAGAGGCCTGACCCGGATTCTCGGAGGCCAATGGCAATACAGAGGAGGCGGGTGCTTCCTTACCACTCACCTTGCGCTCAGAGAAGCCACATTTAAAAGGTCGTGCCGGGCCGGGCTTTCGCAGGCAGTGGGACCAGAGCCGGGAGGGGCGGCGGTGTCCCGGGAAAGCGGCTCTTGGGGCATCCGGGTCCCCTCGAGGCGGGCTCCGGACGTCGCCGTGGGCGGGGCCGAGGGCGGGGCCTGGCCTCGTTGTGGAGCGGCTCGTAATCCATCATGGCGGCCGCGGGGTTTGGTGTCTGTGCCTGAGCAGCGCTGGAGCCGGAGCCGGTTCCCGGGTCCTGCGGCTGAGGAGCCCCTCCGCTGTCCACGGCCCCTACCGGCGGGGGGCGGCTGGGTCCCTCGGCGGAGCTCGGGAGATGTGACTGCCTGAGGGCGGTGGTGGTGTCAGCGTCCGGGGCCGGGGGAGGGGGTGTCTCGGGCAGAGACCCCCGGGCTTGGGGCAGCTGAGGCGGCCGGGCCTCCTCTACACGGGGCCCGCCTTCCGCTGTCTGGGCCGCGAGAGTCCTTCGTCCCTTACAGCCCCGCCCCGGCTTTGGGACACTGCGGGTGGTCTGTTTCCCCCAGCTTGGGACACCCCGTTTTCTGAGGCGTGGAAGAGCGTCGCCCCGGAGTAAGCTGCCCGTGCCGCGCCCCGACAGCTTCCCTCAGCCCCAAGCCGCCCCTTATTCCGGATCCCGGCCCCAACTTTGGCCACGGAGCCTCCCATTCAAATCCCTCCCTTGCTGTCAAGGGGTCTCCCCTTCCCCCAAGGTGGCTCCCGCGAGCCTCTAATGCCCTGACTTCTTCCAATGTCACCTACGGCCCCCTTAGTCTCAGCTCAGCCAAAAACTTTAATGCAAAGGAAAAGTCTGGATTGGTTCCACAGGCCTTTTAAAAAGCGGACTTAAAAGTTGCTGGCAATGCATTCCTTTTCGTCAGAGTCGAGGGCAAACTCGCTGAAATCTGGGTGACCCGTGTCCTTTTCCGGAGAGCAAAGCAGAGAAGCGAGAGCGGCCACTAGTTCGGCAGGAAATTTGTTGGAAGATGAAGAAGCTAAGATAGGGGGTTGGTGACTTCCACAGGAAAAGTTCTGGAGGAGTAGCCAAAGACCATCAGCGTTTCCTTTATGTGTGAGAATTGAAATGACTAGCATTATTGACCCTTTTCAGCATCCCCTGTGAATATTTCTGTTTAGGTTTTTCTTCTTGAAAAGAAATTGTTATTCAGCCCGTTTAAAACAAATCAAGAAACTTTTGGGTAACATTGCAATTACATGAAATTGATAACCGCGAAAATAATTGGAACTCCTGCTTGCAAGTGTCAACCTAAAAAAAGTGCTTCCTTTTGTTATGGAAGATGTCTTTCTGTGATTGACTTCAATTGCTGACTTGTGGAGATGCAGCGAATGTGAAATCCCACGTATATGCCATTTCCCTCTACGCTCGCTGACCGTTCTGGAAGATCTTGAACCCTCTTCTGGAAAGGGGTACCTATTATTACTTTATGGGGCAGCAGCCTGGAAAAGTACTTGGGGACCAAAGAAGGCCAAGCTTGCCTGCCCTGCATTTTATCAAAGGAGCAGGGAAGAAGGAATCATCGAGGCATGGGGGTCCACACTGCAATGTTTTTGTGGAACATGGTGAGTGCTTTTCAAAATTTCTGCTCATGGTTTTCCTCATGCATTCATCTTAGGCCTTCAAGGAACTTTGAACAACAGTACTTGCGACAGTTCCTTCCAATTCCACTTAATAAATTTGTTACTGTAGTTATCTCTTAGTGGAACTTTCTTTGTATAAGAAAAAGTTACTTCGTGACTTCGGCTTTATTCAAAATCTATTTGAGTTGCTTATTTCTTGCCTGATTCCTCTGCTAATTCACTGTTGACCTTGGACAAGCCACTTTACTGTTCCAGGGCTTTAGTTTCCTGAGGGGCTGGACTTCAGTGGTTTCTTAGGGTCCCTGGTTCTATGATTCTGCTCTAACCGAAGTCGTGGGCTCTTCTGACAAGCATGGATTCTTTACTGCTTTGTCTACAGAGAGCTTTTATCATATTCTCAAAGTGGTTTGTGTTCCTGAGAAAGTTAAGAATCATAGATACTGGTTGACGCTAATATCCTTGACCTTTTCCTTCGTAAGTAGGACTTGAAAATACTCACTTTGGAGCCATGTGGGAAAAATCAAGTGGGGAAGCAGCATTCCTTGTGAATTTTAGATAGACAGCTTCTGTCTTACCTTCCATAAGGAGTAATCTCTTCCTCGTTGATGAAGCTTTCATCCTGTCTTCTCCCTGTTTAGAATGATATTTGGGCCAATAAAGGTTATCTGTGACATTTTTATGAACATATTTGGCATTTGAATGCTGCCCGTACATTTTATGTTGTTCATGTCCAGTAATTCTGTGCGAAGTTAAAGCTAAGGGTCGGCTTACACTGATGTCTATAACCAGTTAATTAGGGTTACTGTTTGTACTGTTGCAGCCTGACATTTTTTGGATTGTGTCCTTTATATTAAAAAATCAGTTGAGCCCACCTATCCTATAAGCAAACGTATGAAGTGTGCCAGTGGCTTATACTTTGAAATTCATTCAGAAATACCCCAACATTGGGTGACTGCAGTCAACAAAGGCTTCTGTTGGATGAACTTGCATTTGACAGCTGAAGTTTTACTTTCTTACGGGAAAATATTCACTTCATCTAAATAAATCCGGGTGCTTGGATTTTACTTTGCCTTGAAACATTAGTTCTATTTTAGCTTTGTTTTTAGGCAGGCAAATATGGTAATGTGTTGTTATGATGGTTCCCAAATTCAGGATTTAAAAAGTGAATTATTTACATTTTAACTAGTGATGATCATGCACCTTACATAGTGAAAATTGGAACAGACTTTTTGGAGAGCTTTGGCGGAACTTATCAGAATTTGAAATGTACGTGCCAATGACCCAGTAATCCCATTCTGGGAAGCTAGTAGAGAAAGCAGTGTAGTTCCCTGTGTGTCCCTGATATCTCTTCAGGGGTTGAGAGGCTAAAACTATTTTCTTGTTAATAGAGTACCAAGGTCTTGTCTCTTTTGCTGTGTTGACGTTTGCAGTAATGGTACAAAAGTAAAGCAGGTGTCTTAGCATGATTCAGGGTTGTGGCACCTAACTATACTTGTAGTCATTGCATTCTTCATGACGTGCACTCACAGTTAAACAAACTAAATATATATATACACACACACACACACATATATATCCACTTTTCACTGAAAAATGTCCTTTTTTTTTTTTTTTTTTTTTTTTTTTTTTTTGAGTCAGAGTCTCTGTGTGTCACCCAGGCTGGAGTGCAGGAGTGCAGTGTGGCGATCTCGGCTCACTGTAACTTCTGCCTCCTGGGTTCAAGCGATTCTCCTGCCTCAGCCTCCCAAGTAGGTGGGACTACAGGCACGCGTCACTGACGCCCGGCTAATTTTTGTATTTTTTAGTAGAGACGGGGTTTCGCCATGTTGGCCAGGCTGGTCCTGAACTCTTGACCTCAGGTGATCCACCCACCTTGGCCTCCCAAAGTGCTGGGATTACAGGAGTGAGCCACTGCGCCTGGCTAGTTTTCACTGGACAATACCTTGATGAAGCAGCAAAAATTATTAATTTTATTACATTTTGACCCTTGTGTATGTCTTCTTAATATTCTGTGGGTTAAAAAGGGGGGTATGCATCAAGCACTTCTGTACAGTAAAGTATAATGATTATCTCCAGGAAAAGCACTTTGGTGGTTGGGTTGCAAACTGAACTAGCCACTTTTTTCATGGACTGCCATTTTTACTTGAAACTATGACAAACTATGGTTATTCAGACTAAAAAGTGTATGAAGGAATCTTTCAAAGAAAACAACAGGTAGCATTTGTTGCCAATGATGAAATTTTAGCTTTCCAGTGAAAATTAGGATTTTGGAGAATTTTTTTTTTTTCCTCTTCGGGGTAGAGTTTCGCTCTTGTCGCCCGGGCTGGAGTGCTGTGGTGCAATCTCGGCTCACTGCAACCTCTGCCTCCCGGGTTCAAGCGATTCTCCTGCCTCAGCCTCCCAAGTAGCTGGGATTACAGGTGTGCACCACCATGCCTGGCTAATGGAGAATTTTTATCTGCCTCTGTGATATAGAGATTGGTGGTAATATTTACAGATGCCATATTTTAATATCTTATAATGAAATGTATTATTTGGAAGATCTACATAAATCAGTAAATCAATATTTTCTTTTTTGTTCGTTTTTGCGACAGAGTCTTGCTGTGTTGTCTAGGCTGGAGTGTAGTGGCATGATCTCGGCTCACTACAACCTCCACCTCCCAGGTTTAAGCAATTCTCGTGCCTCAGCCTCCTGAGTAGCTGGGATTACAGGCATGCACCACCACAAGTGAATAATTTTTGTATTTTTAGTAGAGATGGAGTTTCACCATGTTAGCCAGGCTGGTCTTGAACTCCTGACTTCAAATGATCTGGCCACCTCAGCCTCCCAAAATGCTGGGATTACAGGTGTGAGCCACCGTGCCCAGCCAAACCATTATTTTCTAAATGATCAATGCATGATATAAAATCATGCACAGGTTAAAGATCCATTCAAAGTGCAAAATGGAGGCCAGGTGCTGTGGCTCGTGCTTGTAATCCCAGCACTTTGGGAGGCCGAGGCAGGTGGATCACCTGAGGTCAGGAGTTCGAACCCAGCTGTGCAATCTAGTGAGATCTTACCTCTACAGAAATTTAAAAAATTAGCCAAGCTCCCACTGGAGCCAAAGAGTCGAGGCTGCGGTGAGCCATGAACACAGCACTGCATTCCAATTTGGGCAATAGAGGGAGACCGTGTCTCTGGGGGGTAAAAAAAAAAAAAAATACAGTTCATTGGTAGAGTTTCTTAAAGGCAGCCAGCCTTTAAGAAATTCCTGGCTAGGCCGGGCACAGTGGCTCACGCCTGTAATCCCAGCACTTTGGGAGGCCGAAGTGGGCAGATCACCTGAGGTCGGGAGTTCAGGACCAGCCTGACTAACATGGAGAAACCCTGTCTCTACCAAAAGTAAAAAATTAGCCGGGCGTGGTGGCACATGCCTCTAATCCCAGCTACTCAGGAGGCTGAGGCAGGAGAATTGCTTGAACCCCGGAGCGGAGGTTGCATTGAGACGAGATCACGCCATTGCACTCCAGCCTGGGCAACAAGAGCGAAACTCTTGTCTCAAAAAAAAAAAAAGAAATTCCTGGCTGGGTGTGGTGGCTCACGCCTGTAATCCGAGCACTTTGGGAGGATGAGGCAGGCGGATCACTTGAGGTCAGTAGTTCGAAACTGGCCTGGCCAACGTGATGAAACCCCGTCTGTACTAAAAATACAAAAATTAGATGGGCGTGGTGGCATGCACCTGTAATCTCAGCTACTCAGGAGGCTGAGGCAGGAGAATATCTTGAGCCCCGGGGGAAGAGGTTGCAGTGACCTGAGATCGCACCACTGCACTTCAGCCTGGGTAACAGAATGAGACTCTGTCTCAAAAAAAAAAAAAAAAAAAAGAAACTACCATTTACCATGTTTTGATGTAGCATCAAAGAACAATATCTACGGTTATCTAGAAAGTCTGTTTTGGGGGGAGAAAACAGTTATTTTCCAGTAATAAAAATATTTGTTTTTAAATGAATAATTATGTTTTTAAATTTCAGTATTCATTTCTAATGTGGTAACTATTGATGAGATAACCTACACAAACTAAGCCTCTTAGGGGCCTTCGGTTATTTTTCAAGAGTGTGACAAGGGCCTGAGATTAAAAAGTTTGAGGCCAGGCACTGTGGCTTATGCCTGTAATTTCACACTTTGGGAGGCCAAAGGCAGGTGGATTGCTTGAGCCCAGGAGTTCAAGATCATCCTGGGCAACATAAGAAGACCCTGTCTCTACAACAAGAACAAAAGAAATTAGCCAGACGTGTTATCACACCTGTGTTCCCAGCTACTTGAGTGGCTGAGGTGGGAGGGTCACTTGAGCTCGGGAGGCCAATGCTGCAGTGAGCCATGATCACGCCACTGCACTGCAGCCTGGGTAACAGAGCAAGACCCCATCTCAAAACAAAGTTTGAGAACTGTTGCTATGGAAAGTCTATCAAGAAGGCACATAGGGATGTTTGTTGCTGAAGTACTAACACTGAATGATGTCTGTGTTGTGGTGAGTAGAAAAAAAGCAATTTGAAAATCATTATTTATGGTATGGCCCCATTTTTGTAAAACAAAAATATCTGTTTATTTGTGTATGTCCAGGAAAAAAAAGTATGGAAGGATTTTACACCGAAATTTTTATCTCTAGGGACTTGGAGCTTTAGGTGGAATCGGAGAAAACTTTCTCTTTTTGGTTTGTGTGATGTTCCAAGTGTCTTTTTACAACAAACTTGGGTTATCTTATAATACGAAAAATTCGAAGATTTAAAAACTGAGGCCAGGCACGGTGGCTCATGCCTATAATCCCAGCACTTTGGGAGGTTGACACATGTGGATCACCTGAGGTCAGGAGTTTGAGACCAGCTTGACCAAGAAGGTAAAACCCTGTCTCTACTAAAAATACAAAAATTAGCTGGGCGTGGTTGCAGGTGCCTGTAGTCCCAGCTACTCGGGAGGCTGAGACAGGAGAGTTGCTTAGACCCAGGAGGTCGAGGTTGCAACGAGCTGAGATTGCACGCCACTGCACTCCCAGCCTGGGCGACGGAGTGAGACTCCATCTCAAAATAAATAAATAAATAAAAATAAAAACTGAATTGATGACAGCCCAACCTGTCACTTTTTTCAGATCCCTTTTTATGAAAGAATTTGCTTAAGTTGTGTCTGAAGACAAACCAATTTCTTTGGACCCTGGGTATTCTTTTTCTAAGGGAATACCATGTTATTTTGTGTTACAGATTGTTTGCGATCTTTCATAGGCTGATCTTTCTAGAGTTGGTTAATATCCATGTAGGTTAGATTGAAAAACTTGAATTCAGAAATGTACGGTGTTGGAGCAGACATGGATCTGGAAGCCAAGAATAGCGTTGGTGTTGTTGTTGATGGTGAATCTGAAAGAGTGGGCAGATGGCAACTTTTTGCCAGAATCATTCAGGGTCAAAGGGCTAGTCATATTTACAAGGGAAAAGAGGAAACCATGTTATTAAATATTTCATGCACCATATGTTCCTTTCAAATTTCAGTGGCTTGACTAAGAAAATTCACTTTTGGGAGAGTTGGTACAACAATTGAAAGCACTTAGTAGTCAACTTTTTCCTTAGTGTTTCCTTCTTCCTTCAACAAACATTTATTTTATTGAGCACAGACTATGACAGGTCGTGTTGTAGTCACTGATGATATATTTGTAAACAAAACAATCCCTGCCCTCCTAGAACTTACATTCTAGTGGGAGGAGACACATCATAAATAAGCTAAGTAAATAAAATACAGATATGTTAGTGATATGTGCTGAGGAGAAGAATAACATAGAGAAGGGGACAGGGAATGGGGTAGGAGGTGTAATTTTAGTTAGGGTGGCTAGAGAGGCCTGACTGAGAGGGCGGCATTTGATTAAAGACCCGAAGGAGGAAGATGAGCAGCAGGCCCTGTTGAAATATGTGAAAGAATTTCAGGCCGAGGGAACCAGGATGCAGAAACCTGAGGCAGAGCTTGCTAGTTTCAAGGAGCAGCCTAGAGGCCACTGCACCAGAGCAAAGAGCAAAAGGAGAGATGCAGGAGGTAAAATGGAGGGTGGGAAGAGAATGGCTGAAGGAGAGGGTGGCCTTATTGGCCCATTTCAAGGATTTTGACTTTGATTCATATGATGTGGGAAGGCCTTGGAGAATTTTCCGAGGGGACTATACTATCTGATGTATGTTTCAGTATGAAATAGAATCTCTCTGGCTGCTATGATCTGAAGGAGGACAAGGGAGCAGGGATTCCACGGGGGCATTGATTGCACAGAGCCAGGTAAGAGTGATGATGCTTGGACCAAAG
The DNA here is from genome assembly GCF_000001405.40 of Homo sapiens. NCBI lineage: Eukaryota > Metazoa > Chordata > Mammalia > Primates > Hominidae > Homo > Homo sapiens. The sequence goes on from NC_000009.12 coordinate 130,720,784, forward strand.
TGGTGGCACTGGGTGGAGGGTCAGAACCGACAAGATTTGCTCTCGGATTAGATGTGGGATATGGGGGTGTGAGAGGGGCCAAGTGTGACTCTCAGGTTTTCGAACTGAATAACTGGAAGAATAGAGTTGCCTTTTATTGAAATGAAGGTCGAGGCTGCAGTGGTAAGCTGTGATTGCGCCACTGCACTCCAGCCTGGGCAACAGAGCAAGACCCTGTCTCAAAAAAAAAAAAAATATTTACCATCAGGTAAAACCACTTATGGTTCTCAAAACTTTATTTAAAATAATAGACACTTGATAAATCAACACTGTAGGCCGGGCGCTGTGACTCACGCCTGTCATCCCAGCACTTTAGGAGGCCAAGGCGGGCGGATCACTTGAGGTCAGGAGTTCGAGACCACCCTGGCCAACATGGTGAAACCTCGTCTCTACTAAAAATACAAAAATTAGTCGGCATGGTGGCACACACCTATAGTCCCACCTACATGGGAGGCTGAGGCAGAGGGATCACGTGAACCTGGGAAGCAGAGGTTGCAGTGAGCCAAGATCATGCCACCGCACTCCAGCCTGGGTGACAGAGCAAGGCTCTGTCTCAAAAAAACAAAACAAACACTAATTCTCATTACTCTTAAAATTATACTAAGGCCAGGTGCGGTGGCTCATGCCTGTAATCCCAGCACTTTGGGAGGCCAAGGCAGATGGATCACTTGAGCCCAGGAATTCAAGACCAGCCTGGGCAACATGGCGAAACCCCATCTCTACTAACAGTACAAAAAATTAGCTGGGCGTGGTGGTACACGCCTGTAATCCCAGCTACTCAAGAGGCTAAAGTGGGAGAATCACCTGCGCCTGGGAAGCCAAGGCTGCAGTGAGCTGTGATGGTGCTATTGCACTCCAATCTGGGTGACAGAGTGAGACCCTGTCTCAAAATAAAATAAAATAAAATTATACTAAGTATCTGTATACATTAGAAGGTGGGAGGAAGTGCAATTATTGGATCCTATAGGCATTAAAGTTAAATTTGTCAGGTTTTTTTTTGTTTTTTTTTTTTTTTTTGAGACAGAGCCTTGCTCTGTTGCCCAGACTGGAGTGCAGTGGCACAATCTCAGCTCATTGCAACCTCCACCTCCCGAGTTCAAGCGATTCTCTTTCCTGCCTCAGCCTAATTTTTTGTATTTTTATTAGAGACGGGGTTTCACCCTGTTAGCCAGGATGGTTTTGATCTCGTGACCTCATGATCTACCTGGCTCGACCTCCCAAAGTGCTGGGATTTCAGGCGTGAGCCACCGTGCCTGGCTATCCGATTCTCAAAGAGGTTATTTGGACAGGCTGGGCGTGGTGGCTCACGCCTGTAATCCCAGCACTTTGGGAGGCTGAGGCGGGTGGATCACCTGAAGTCAGGAGTTCGAGACCAGCCTGACCAACATGGTGAAACCCCATCTCTACTAAAAATACAAAAATTAGCAGGGCATGGTGGCATATGCCTGTAATCCCAGCTACTCAGGAGGCTGAGGCAGGAGAATCGCTTGAACCTGGGAGGCAGAGATTGCAGTGAGCCAAGATCACACCACTGCACTCCAGCCTGGGCAACAGAGCGAGACTCCATCTCAAAAAAAAATAAAAAGGTTATTTGGAAAGATTATATCCATCTACTTAATGCTAGGGATTGGATTGTGGCACGTGGACTGTGAAAATGCAAAATTGGAGGTATGTACTTTATTTTAGAGACAGGGTCTTGCTTTGTCACCCAGGCTGGAGTGTAGTGGCACAGTCATAGCTCACTGCAGCCTTGAACTCCTGGGCTCCAGTGATCCTCTTGCCTTAGCCTCCCAAAGCAATGGGATCGTACAGGTGAGCCATTGCACCTGGCCATGTATGTACATTTTTTATAAGCATTCAGTTGTTTCCAATAGTCTAATACATTTTGTATGGCCTTCTTATTTTTCATGAAACCTTACTACCCATTTTAAGAAATTTGTAATATAGAAGAAAACAGAAGTTTCAATTGTGGGGTAAGTAAAGAAAGATGATCAAAGATGATTTGACCAAAAGAGTTTTACTTCATTTAAATGAAGCATGTTGTCAAAGAAAATGAAAGTGGGAAAAAATGTGAAATCATTTTGTATCAGTTCAGGACAGAACCGTGCTTGTGCTTCAGATCTCCAAGTGTGAACACACTGATGTGTTGTGAAGTGTGTTGCAAATAGAAGCATTTTTTGAATGGGAGGGAGAGGGATGTGTTAACATGATTTAGCTGGGAATTAAACCCATAGGAATGTGTCGGGCATATTTTCTGTGACTAGGGGGTAAAAAGATTAAAATGGCTACTGAGGATGGGCTTCAGTAAGAGGAGGTCTCCCGAAGGCCTTCTCTGCCCTGTGCCTCTGCAGTTCCCTGACTCCTTGCTGTGTTCGTCCCTGCCTTTTTGGTAGTTGTGCCCCTGATGTCACTCCCCTGTGTGTTCAGATCCTACCTGCTGGCCAGGTGCAGTGGCTCACACCTGTAATCCCAGCACTTTGGGAACCCAAGGTGGGACGGTCCTCTGAGACCAGGAGTTTGAGAGAGTGGCCTGGACAACATAGCAACACCCTATTAGTACTAAAAATAAAAAAGTTAGCTAGGCATAATAATGTCCTGTGCTTGTCTAGCTACTTGGGAGGCTGAGGCAGAAGGATTACTTGAGTCCAGGAGTTCGAGGCTGAAGCAAACTGTGATCATATCATTGTACTCCAGCCTGTGTGATAAAGCAAGACCCTATCCTTTAAAAGTAAAAAACAAACAAACAAACAAAAAACAAACCTGCTTAACCTTTCAACACTCTCTTCCAGTCCCCCCTCCCTTCTGAAACCATATTTTACATCTCTGGTCCTCATTAAATTTTCTGTAACTTCTGCCCTTGTAACTCTTCTGCAACACAAATGAATACATAATCATATACTTCCTAGTAGTATTTCCTAATAGTTTTATGTGAGTTTCATGGAAGAGAGTGTTGAAACGTAGGTAGGTTTGTTTTTTATTTTTTAACTTTTTTTTAACTTTTTTTTTTGAGATGGAGTCTCGCTCTGTCACCCAGGCTGGAGTGCAGTGGCGCGATCTTGGCTCACTGCAAGTTCCGCCTCCTGGGTTCATGCCATTCTCCTGCCTCAGCCTCCCGAGTAGCTAGGACTACAGGCGCCCGCCACCACACCTGGCCAATTTTTGTATTTTTAGTAGAGACCAGGTTTCACCATCTTAGCCAGTATGGTCTCGATCTCCTGACCTCGTTATCCACCTGCCTTGGCCTTCCAAAGTGCTGGGATTACAGGCGTGAGCCACCATGCGTGGCCTTTTAAAAAAATTTTTAAGAGATAAGGTCTTGCTTTGTCGCCCAGGCTGGAGTACAATGATATGATCACTGTTCACTGCAGCCTCGAACTCCTCAAGTAAACTGTAAGCTTGTGAATGCAGGTTTCATCTCATTTTCTGTTTCCCCAGCATAATGCTGAATACATAGGCTCTCCATAAAAAAAATTCTTGATAAGAATGATATTAAATGGACTAAATGAGAAATTAAACTTTTTATTCACTTACAAGGAATGAAAGTTCTCAAATAGCTAACTTATTTTCTTATGTATCCTAGGACTTTTTATCTGGTTCTGGGGTTTCTTTCCCAATGAATATACTTATATATGTTTATTTTATTTATTTATTTTTGTATTTTTAAAAACCAGAACATTTATTGTGTGGCTAATCTTTGAAATTCTTGGCTGGGCTCGGTGGCTCATGCCTGTAATCCCAGCACTTTAGGAGGCCAAGATGGGCGGATCACTTGAGCTCAGGAGTTTGAGACCAGCCTGGCCAACATGGTGAAAACCCATCTTTACTTAAAAATTAGCCAGGCGTGGTGACGCATACCTGTAATCCCAGCTACCTGGGATTGTGCCACTGCACTCCAGCCTGGGCGACAGAGCGAAACCCTGTCTTTAAAAAAAAAAAAAAAAAAAAAAAGCAAATAAATTCTTGAGATGAACTGGATGCTGCAACAGCTGCCCTTTTGGGTTTAGGTGTTGTTCCTTTATGGAAATCCACGCCGCTTCATTCGCCCAGTCCCTGTGGCCTTTAGTCTTTTAGCCTTGGCACACCAGTCATACTTCCTCTTGCGCTTGGCGGGGTAGCCACATTTGCCACAGGTAGACTTCGGAAGGTGACAGGCCTTAGAGCCACAGTGGCCGCACAACGTGTGCATCATATTGCAACGCTTTTCAAACGATAACGTTCCCTTTGTCATCTCCCTTCTGTGTTTATTTTTTTATTGTGGTAAAATATACAGAAAAGTTACCATTTTAACCTGTTTAGGTGTATAACTCAGTGGCATTAAGTATATTCCCAGTGATGCAGTCATCATCACTATCCATTTTCAGAACTTTTTCATCATCCTAAGTAGAAACTCTGTACCCATTAAAAAATAATATCCCATTTCCCTCTTTCCCCACTTCTTGGTAACCACTTTTATGCTTTTTCTCTCTATGAATTTGCTCATTCTAGGACTTCATATAACTATAATAATACAATATTTGCCCTTTTGTGTCTGGCTTATTTCACTTAGTGTTTTTGTTTGTTTGTTTGTTTGTTTTTGAGACGGAGTTTTGCTCTTGTTGCCCAGGCTGGAGTGCAATGGCGCGATCTCGGCTCACTGCAACCTCTGCCTCCCAGGTTCAAGCAGTTCTTCTGCCTCACCCTCCCAAGTAGCTGGGATTACAGGCATGTGCCACCATGCCTGGCTAATTTTGTATTTTTAGTAGAGATGGGGTTTCTCCATATTGGTCAGGCTGGTCTCGAACTCCTGACCTCAGGTGATCCGCCTGCCTAGGCCTCCCAAAGTGCGGGGATTACAGGCATGAGCCACCGTGCCTGGCCTCACTTAGCATGTTTTAAAGGTGCATCTGTTGTTACGTGTATCAGAATTTCTTCTTTTTTAAGGCTGAATAATATCCCATTGTGTGTGTATATATATATACACACCAAATTTTGTCCATCTGTTGGTGGAACTTGTGTATGGTGGTTTTTTTTTTTTTTTTTTTTTTTTTTTGAGACAGTCTCACTCTGTCTCCCAGACTGGAGTGCAGTGGTGTGATTGCCTGAGCCCAGGAGTTCAAGCTTGCTACAACCTTGACCTCCCGGGCTCAGGCAGTCCTCCCACCTCAGCCTCTCGAGTAGCTGGGACCACAGGTGTGCACTACCACACCTGGCTAATTTAAAAAAAAAATTTATAGAGACAGAGTCTTGCTATGGTGTCTAAGCTGGTCTTGAACTCCTGGGCTCAGGTGATACTCCTGCCTCAACCTCCCAAAGTGTTAAGATTACAGGATTGAGCTCCCTTGCGCGACCTGATATTTTAATATTTTTTTTAAAAAAGTGTAATATGCATACAGAAAGGGGCACAAATTGAATGTACAGCTTGATGAATGATCACAAATGAATACCTCTGCATTCCACTATCTTGCTTAAGAAGTAGAAAATTGTGAGCACACCTCAGAAAGCCTTGTGCCCCCTTCCAGTTTCACTCCTGCCTTCCTCCTCCTCAGAGATAACTACTGTCTTACGTTTTAGCACCATCGATTAGTTTCCCTTGTTTTTGTTTTTAATATTCCCTTGTTATCCTTTTAATGTCTATAGGGTCTGTGGTGATATGCTTTTTCCATTCCTCACATTGGTAATTTGTGTTTTTTCTCTCTGTTTCTCTCTCACACACACCTTTTCAGTTAGTTTTGCTGAGGGTTTACCAATTTTATTAATCTTTTCAAAAAAAATTTGTTAACTTTCTCAATTGTTTTCCATTTTATTGATTTCTGCTCTTTATTTTCTTTCTTTTACTTAAAAAAATTTTTTTTTGTAGAGATAGGGTCTTGCTATGTTGCCCAGGATGGTCTCAAACTCCTGGCTTCAAGCGATCCTCCTGCCTTGGCCTCCTGAAGTGCTGGGATTATAGGCGTGAGCCACTGCACCCAGCCTACTTTGGGTTTAATTTGTTCTTTATTTCTAGCTTCTTAAAGTAGAAATTTAGATCGATTCCAAACCCTTCTTGTCCAACATAGGCATTTAAAGCTGTGTATTTCCTACTAAACACTGCGTTAGCTCTATCACATAAGTTCATCACATAAGTTTTCATGTGTTATTATCAAAGTGTTTGATTTCCAAGTATTTGGGAATTCTAGATATCTTGGTTTCTAATTTAATTTCATTGTGGTCAGAGAACATCTTCTGTAGAATTTCAGTCTTCTGACATTTACCAAGACTAATTTTATGGCCCAGCATATAACCTGTCTTAGTGAATGTTCCATTTGTAGTTGAAAAAAGTTTGTGTTGTTGCATGTAGTTTTCTATAAATCAAGTTGTTTCATGCTTTTGTTTAAACATCTTCTATATTCTTACTTTTTATTTTGTACTTACTTCATCTATAGCTTTGCTGAGGTTTTTTTTTTTTTGTAGAGACAAGGTTTCACCATGTTACCCAGGCTGGTCTTGAACTCCTGAGCTCAAGCAATCTGCCCTCCTGGGCCTCCCAAAGTGCTGGGATTACAGGTGTGAGCCACTGTGCCTGGCGGTATCTCTCTTTTTTACTGAGAGAGTGATGCTGAAGATCAACAGCTATAATGATATATTCGTTTATTTTTTCCTTTAATTCTATCACTTCTTTTACTCTTAAAAGCATTTATTCCGCCGGGCGTGGTGGCACACGCCTGTAATCCCAGCAATTTGGGAGGCTGAGGTGGGTGGATCACAAGTTCAGGCGTTCAAGACCAGCCTGGCCAAGATGGTGAAACCCTGTCTCTTACTAAAAATACAAAAATTAGCTGGGCTTGGTGGCAGCTGCCTATAGCTACTCGGGAGGCTGAGGCAGGATAATCCCTTGAACCCGGGGTACAGAGGTTGCAGTGAGCCGAGATCGCGCCATTGCACTCCAGCCTGGGTGACAGAGTGAGACACCGCCCCCCCCCCCCAAAAAAAAGCATTTATTAGGAAACAGGAAAGACTGAACAAGAACAAGAGAACTAAGCATGTAACTCAAGAAGCCAGAGAACCAAAGTAATCCCACAGTACACAGAAGAGAATAATAAAAATAAAAACAAATTAAGAATGGAAATGATCAATAAAACCAAAAGCTAACTTTGAAAAATATTATTGATCTAGGCACACTTCTGGTAAGACTAATGAAGAAAAAGAAAAGGTAGAATATTTAGAAAAGGAACAATATTTAGAATGAAAATATAACTATAAATACTCTCAGTTTTTGCCTCTTTTTTTGTTTGTTTGTTTTTTGGAGACAAGATCTCACTCTGTCACTCAGGCTGGAGTGCAGTGGCAATCATAGCTCACTGCAACCTCCGTCTCCCAGACTCAAGCTGTTCTCCCACCTCAGCCTCCTGAGTAGCTGGGACTATGGGCATGCGCCACCATGTCCAGCTGATTTTTTTTTTTTTTTTTTGTGGAGACGGGGTTTCATCATGTTACCCAGGCTGGTCTTGAACTCCTGAGCTCAAGCAATCTGCCCTCCTACGCCTCCCAAAGTGCTGGGATTACAGGTGTGAGCCACTGTACCTGGCTGGTTTTTTTTTTTTTTCTTTTCTTTCCTTTTTTTTTGAGACAGTGTTTTGCTCTGTCGCCCAGGCTGGAGTGCAGTGGAGTGATCTTGGCTCACTACAAGCTCCACCTCCTGGGTTCATGCCATTCTCCTGCCTCAGCCTCCTGAGTAGCTGGGACTACAGGCGCCTGCCACCACGCCCGGCTAATTTTTTTGTATGTTTTTTTAGAAGAGACGGAGTTTCACCGTGTTAGCCAGGATGGTCTCAATCTCCTGACCTTGTGATCCACCCGCCTCAGCCTCCCAAAGTGCTGGGATTACAGGCATGAGCCACTGCGCCCAGCCTGTTTTTTTTTTTTATAGTTTGTATTTTTCTGCTGAGATTCACCATGTTTTCATTCATTAGACCTGTCTTTTCCTCTAAATCCTAGAAGGTATTTGTAATAAAGACCGTGCCTGCTAATTTAAATATCTGAGTCATCTTGGGGTCTGTTTTTATTGATTGCTTTTTCTGTACATTATGAGTCAGATTTTCCTGCATTTTTGCATGTTAAATAATTTTGATTGTATGCCAGACATGTGGGTGTTATATTGTAGGGATTCTCAATCTTGTTATCTTTCTTTAAAGAAGTTTTCATTTTGTTTTGACAAGTAGTTAGGTTACTGTAGTTACTTAAATTACTGTAAGTGACTGGTCGTTAAGTTAGTTTGACCCTGCCAGGTTTGGTTTTATGCTTTGTTAGTATGGGTTTATCCTTGGTCCAGACACCCGGCCCTTAGAATAGAGGGTACTCTTTAGACTTAATGCTTGGCCTTTTTGGGGTCGAAACAAAATAACAGAGGTGCTCAGCAAAGTCTCTCCACCCTGGATGAACTGGTACTTGAATGTCTTCCAGCACTGTGAAACCTCTGTGTCTGTGCAGTTCTCAGCCTCACAGCCACCGCTGTCTGCTAAACTGCATAGAATCTGGAAGCCATGGACCCACAGGATGCCTCCCACCTTCTTCTGCCTACCTCTGTGTTCTGTCACCCCACCCATGCCCTCATCTTCTCTCAGATTTCTTGCCCTACAAATTCTACCTGCCTCAGCATCCTCAAATCCAAGTCTTTGCTTCCTCAGTTCACAGAGATGGCTGCTGTCAGTTTAGGTTTCATCTCCCTGCACTGTGTTTGGGAAGGTGCCCCAGGCAGGAAGTTGGAAGCAACATGCAACTTACCTTATGTTTTTCTCTTTCCTCAAGGGTCACAGCCTTGCCTTGCCTTGCCTGTCATCTAATGCCTGAAAACAGTCGTCTCAAATATTTTATTCAGCCATACAGTTGTTTAGGACAAAAGGATATCTAATACCACTTTTACTGCATTATGGACAGAAGCAGAAGTTCAATTCTGCATATTCTTTTTTTTTTTTTAAGATGGAGTCTCACTCTGTCGCCCAGGCTGGAGTGCAGTGGTGTGATCTTGGCTCACTGCAACCTCCACCTCCTGGGTTCAAGCGATTCTCCTGCTTCAGCCTCCTGTGTAGCTGGGACTACAGGCATGCACCACCACACCAGGCTATTTTTTTTTTTTTTTGCATTTTTGGTAGATAGGGTTTCATCATGTTGGCCAGGCTGGTCCCGAACTCCTGACCTCAAGTGATCCACCTGCCTTGGCCCCCCAAAGTGCTGGGATTACAGGCGTGAGCCACTGCGCCCAGCCAGACTTTTTTTTTTTTTTGAGATGGAATTCTGCTCTTGTTGCCCACGCTGGAGTGCAATGGTGCAATCTTAGCTGACCGCTACCTCCGCCTCCTGGGTTCAAGTGATTCCCCTGCCTCAGCCTCCCGAGTAGCTGGAATATGGACATGTGCCACCAAACCCAGCTAATTTTGTGTTTTTAGTAGAGACGGGGTTTCTCTGTGTTGATCAGGCTGGTCTCGAACGCCCAACCTCAGGTGATCCGCCCACCTCGGCCTCCCAAAGTGCTGGGATTACAGGCGTGAGTCACCGCGCCTAGCCTCCGGCCAGACTTTTAAATGTTAGCCTTGCAGGTAGTTGTGCAGTAGTATCTCCCAGCCTTAATTTGCTCTTCTTTGATGACTCATGAGGTTAAGCACCTTTTCATATGTTTACTGGCCATTTGGAATATATGTGTACCTATGTATCTCTTGCCAGTTCACCTCTTTTGTCCATTTTTCTATTTATGTTTATTCCTCATTGATTTTTAGGAGTTATTTATATTTTTTTTCCTTTTTTTTTCTTTGTTTGAGGCAGAGTCTTATTCTGTTGCCCAGGCTGGAGTCCAGTGGCACAGTCTCGGCTCACTCCAACCTTGACCTCCTGGGCTCAAGCGGTCCTCCAACTTCATCCTCCTGAGTAGCTGGGACTATAGGTGTGTGCCACCACTTCTGGTTAATTTTGGCATTTTTTGTAGAGTTGGGGTTTTACCATGTGGCCCAGGCTGGTCTCAAACTCCTGAGGTCAAACCATCCACCCACCTCGGCCTTCCAAAGTGCTGGGATTACAGGTGTGAGCTACCGTGCCTAGCCTGTGTACTCTCAATACAGGTCCTTCGTTGGGTGTATTTATTATGACTATTTTCTTACACTTTGTGGTTCACCTTTTCACTCTTTATTTACATAATTATAGCCATTGTGCGTTTTCACTCTATCTCTCTTTTTTTTTTTTTTTTTTTTTTTTTTGAGACAGAGTCTTGCTCTGTCACTCAGGCTGGATTACAGTGGTGTGATCTCGGCTCACTGCAACCTCCGCC